>NC_000016.10:58198863-58501894 GCF_000001405.40 Homo sapiens
TGTTTGTGTTTAGGAGGAGGGAGAGCAGGAGAATTGCAAATCCGACCTGAAGGGACAGGCTGGGTTGGGGATGTGCCCAGAGTAGGTGGTCAACTGAGCTGGCCTGGCTTCCAGTGCTGCCTGCAGCCTTGAACACCCTTCTCCTTTGATCTTCTAGGCCTTTCTTCTGTCTTCCTTTCCCATCCCTCATCCTTTATCGACAGCACCTCTGCACCCAGTACAGGTTGCTTTCATTCCAGTCCCTTTTCACATTCTGTTTTCTGGATGAAACCCTGGGCCTTCCTGCTTGACACAGCTAAGAGCACAGTCTGTGGAGTCAGATCTATCCAGCACTGCTACTTAGAAGCTGTGTGACCTTAGGGCAATTACTCAACCTCTCTGTGTCACAGATTCTACAGCATAAAACCAGTAATAACGCTCACTTCACAGGGCTGCAAGGAGAATTAAACAAGGTAAACCATGTGAAACACTTAGGATGGTGTTCACTATTAGGATAGCATGTGTTCAATATGATTATTTCCAGGCCTAGGGCCTTTCTCTGCTCATTCCTCCCTCCCTGAGACCACCGTGCATCCGTCTTTTGGTTCCTTCTATCCTCCAAGCTTAACTAGGAGCCACCCCCAACCCCTCCACCCCACCTTCCCAAGGGTGTCTCCTTTTTCCTATTCAAATTTCACCTTTTTCTTTATTAGTAGTATTTTTTTAGAAATAGGGTGTCTCTATATTGCCCAGGCTGGAGTGCAGTGGCTATTCACAGGCATGATCCCACTACTGATCCGAACAGGAGTTTTGACCTGCTGTTTGCCACCTGGCAACCTGGTGGTCCTCCAGCCCCAGGAGGTCATCATAGTTGATGCCAAACTTAGTGTGGACACCTGATTGGCATTGCACACTACAGCCCAGAACTCCTGGGCTCAAACGATCTTCCCACCCCAGCCTCCTGAGGAGTTGGGACTACAGGCATGCCTCCAGCTCAAGTCTCAGCTTAAAGATCACTTTCTCTAGAGTTGATACTTCTCTATCTCAGCACCCTATCCACGTCCTTCATCAAACTGCATATCTTGTCATTATTTGTTTCCTGGGTTATTGTCTGTCCCCTCCTTTGTAAAAACAGCACAAGAGCAAGGACAGAGTGTGGGCGCTCACCACTGACTCTCCCAGCATTTGCCACAGTCAGAGACCTTCAGTAAATACAGTGCTACCCCACAGATGACTTAGGAATTACCAAGGGGAAACGAGGTCACCACCTTACCCATGGTCCAAACTTCTCATCAGTAGGGAACCAACTGATCCTCTGATGTGATGCACTGAGAAGGGACACCTCCCCCATGTGGTCCTCCTGCCAAAACATTTAACCTGAATCTAATGATAAGGACACCATCAGACAAATCCAAGCTGGGCGACATTCTGCCAAACAGCTAGCCTGAGTTCTTCAAAAAGTCAATGTCACTAGGAGAAAGAAAACCAAACGAAACCCTAGATTCGTATTCTTGTTACTGAAGACTTAGAGACATAATTAGATGAAGTGTATGATTCTGAATTAGAGTCTGGATTTTTTTTTAAAGTAGAAAGGAAAGGAGGGAAAGAGAAAGAATACAGCTCATATTGGGCTGGTGCAAAAGTTATTGAAATTCAATTGAAAGTAATGGCGAAAACCGCAGTTACTTTTGCACCAACCTAATAGAAGGTTACTGCAGGGGAAATTTGAATATAGGATGTATATTACACAATGTTAATGTATATTACACAACGTTATATTGTATCAATGTTAAAGTTTGTGAGTATGATCATTGTATTTAGTTATGCAGGAGAATCCCATAATTTTAGGAGTTACATGCCAAGTGTGTAGAGATGAAGAATCAATATTTGCAACTTAGTCTCAAATTGTTCTCCAGGAAAATGTGGGTTTCTGAGAGCATAAGCATGCATAGAGTGGGGAGGAATTGGGGGAAAATTTTGATAATTAGTGAATGTAGTTGAACAGTACATGAGCTTGCAATTTTTTGGTAGAATTTGAAAATTTTCAAAATAAAAACTAGAAAAAAAAATTAATGGAAAAAGTGGACTTTGGAATTTAATTCCTGAACCTGCAAACCTTTCTAAATCTCTTTCACTCTAGAAGACATAAATATCCTCAAGCTCTTAATGCAGCTTTAGGATTTGTTTCTGACAAGTCCCTGTGAACTAGACCAGACCAGAGATTCTTAATGCCAGTCCTTGGATGAATTTCCCCAGTTCTGGGAACCCCTGACACAATATGCAGAATTTGTGGGTTTGTGTGTGTGTGTGTGTGTGTGCATGTGCGTGTGTGTGTGTGTCCATTCTTTCCTTAGCATACATCAGATTCTCAAAGGAGGCCATGACCCAAAAATGATTCCAAACCACTGGTTTAACTACTATGTCCAACCTCAGCTGGGGCCTCATTCCTCACCTCCACCCTCGCCCACCTCTGACCCCACCCACCCTCCGTGCACCTTCCTCTCATCCCTCACCACATAGCCCACACCCATCTCACGTAACCTGATCCCACACCTGCGGGATGCCTGAGGATTCACCCACACACCACTCTGGTGCAACACACTCCTGGATTTGGCTGACACCATACTAACTCAGCCCTAAAACCTGCAGTCAGTCCACCCACAGCCAAATGGAATATTTCTGTGGTTTGTTGGGAGGTTGGGTGGGCACCCCATGGAATTGGCAGAGACCCCTGCCTCTCATTTCTGCCCACCCGCCATGAAACTGGCGTGGCTTGAGTTAAGGTGGGCAATTGGAAATGGTACTCATGCAACCCTCACCGAAGGAGTCTCACTTGGATATGAAGAGGGATAGGGTGGTGACTCTGCGGGGGAGGTGCCAGGCAGGGAGGGTCCGTGAATTAGAAGTGACTTCCCCTCATTACTCTGTGTGTGCAGTTTGAGGGTGAGTATAATTCAGTGGTGCAACACAAGGGAATGAAAGAGGGTATTTTGAATCAAATAACCCAACACTTTCATACCACCTCCAATGCCCCCAAATTCTATCCAAACACCAAAAATCCAAAAAACAAAAGCACATTTTAAAATCCCACTGAAGGCCACCTATCTTCACAAGCCTACTTTCAAAACATTTGAGAAGTTTATAGGCTTTTATCCTGCATCGATACTTCTCAAGAACCTAGCCTAACAAAATAATGAAAATTATGAACAAAGAATTATTGATCATGATGGCAATTTGTGTGTTCATCACACACATAATGATTCTACATCATTGAATCCCGCCAAAACCGTACATGGCTAAAAACCATTGAATTTAGACTTTAAATGGGTGGATTTATGTTATGTGAATTTTATCTCAACATAGCTGTTTTTAGAAATCTATAAGGTTGGAGCTCTTGTAAGGGTCCCCTTTGTGCGGAGGAGGAAACCAAGACTCCAATGACAATGACCAACTGAGGCAGAGCCTGGATTTGAACTCTGATCTTTCTGACCACCACGTCACTTTCCTTAACCCCTTTCTGATTCAGTATGTCATGCAAAGGCCCACAGACGTTCCGCATGATAATCATTATCTTTAATCATGAAAATGTAAAGTGATGTAAATATCACAAGCTGGGGGACCAGCTAAATAAATTGTGATACATTCCCTACAGTGAAACTATTAGGCGTTACTAAAAAGCATGATTATGAGGAATTTTTAGCAATGGACAAATTTTAGGACACAAGATTTTTAAATAGGAGAGCTGGGTATGGTGGTTCACGCCTGTAATCCCAGCACTTTGGGAGGCCGAGGTGGAAGGATCTCTTGAGGCCAGGAGTTTGAAATCAGCCTGGGCAACACTGAGAGACCCCAACTCTACAATAAAATTTAAAAAATTAGCTGGGCATGTTGGTGCAAGCCTTAGCTACTCAGGAGGCTGAAACAGATGGATTGTTTGAGCCCAGGAGTTCGAGGCTGCAGTAAGCTATGGTCATGCCATTGCACTCCAGCCTGAATCACAGAGCAAGCTCCTATCTCCAAAAATAAATAGATAAATAAATAAATACGTGTTAAAAATTTGTGGCCAGGTGTGGTGGTTCACGCCTGTAATCCCAGCACTTTGGGAGGCCGAGATGGGTGGATCACCTGAGGCCAAAATGGTGAAACCCCATCTCTATTAAAAATACAAAAAATTAGCTGGGCATGGTGGAAGCACGCCTGTAACCCCAGCTACTTGGGAGGCTGAGGCAGAAGAATCACTTGAGCCTGGGAGGCAGAGGTTGCAGTGAGCTGAGATTGCACCATTGCACTCCAGCCTGGGCAACAAGAGCGAAACTCCGTCCCAAAAAGAAAAGTTGTACAAGTAATTGTGGTAAGCAGAATAACATCCTTCACCCACCTCAAAGATACACACTTATGGCCGGGCACAGTGGCTCATGCCTGTAATCCCAGCACTTTGGGATGCTGAGGTGGGTGGATCACCTGAAGCCAGGAGTTTGAGACCAGCCTGGACAACATAGTGAAACCCTGTCTCTACTAAAAATACAAAAATTTGCTGAGTGTGGTGGCATGCACCTGTAATCCCAGCTACTCAGGAAGCTGAGGCAGGAGAATTGTTTGAACCCGGGAGGTGGAGGTTGTAGTGAGCCGAGATTGTGCCATTGCACTCCAGCCTGGGCAACAGAATGAGGCTCCATTTCAAAAAAAAAAAGATATACACTTACTCTTCCCCAGAATCTGTAAATATGTTACCGTATATGGAAAAAGAAACTTTGCAGATGTGCTTAAATTAAGGATTTTGAGATAGAAAATCATCACGGAGCATCCAGGTTGATTAAATATACTCACCATGGTCCGTATAAAGTGAAAGAGAGAGGCAGGATGTCAGAGAAGTAGATGTATTGATGAAGCCGTGGTCAGAATGATGTGATTGCTGGCTTTGAAGACGGAAGGGGGGTGGCGCCAAGAAACATAGACCACCTCTAGAAGCTGAAAAAGGCAAGAAAACGGATCCTCCCCTAGAGGAGCACTGTAGCCCTGCCAACACTTTGATTGTAGTCCAACGAGACCCGTTTAGAATAAATTTGTGTTGCTTAAAGCCGCTAAGTTTGTGGCAATTTGCTACAGCAGCAATGGGAAACTCCTGCAGTAGTGCATGGTTAATAACAAAGACTGTCTCCTTTGATGAAAACTTTACTCAGGCTCCTGAGTCCTTTATAATAAGCTTGATCTTGGACTTCCCTCTCGTCCTTGTTGAATCTACTTTGAGCAAGAATGCTGCTAATCAGTTGAGCAAAAAATCACTACCTTTGCCATCTGATCACCTTCAGTATCCTATCACCCTGGCCTGCCTTCCGCAATAACTCTGTCAAGTCAATTTAGCCAGAAACCCCTTGTCCCTGATGTGTCCTCTTAGTAACTTTCTGTCCGCTGACCCCGACTCTGTTCCTTAGTTATAAATACCCACGTGTTCTTGTTGGAGTAGCTGTTGAGTATGGTCTCTGTCACTCACAGCAAAACCCCTTGCAGTGGTCCCTATACCTGTCGCCATGACCCTCATTTGGATAAAGTCTGCCTTACCCTCTTTAACAAAAGTGCCTCGAATAATTTTTTCTTTAACATTAATATTTTTCAAGAAATTCAAGAGTCAGTCAGATAAAAAGTGAAACTTGTCCTTCTTTGCCTTCCACATTTCCACAGTTCGGTGTGTATCCTTCCAGGCCTTTTTCTATGCAATAAGAATGGATGATACAACCTATTATTTTGTTTTGCTTTGCTTTGTTTCAAAGCAGGACACCAGTGCATACCTATAGTTTTTTTGCTTGTTTGTTTGTTTTGTTTGTTTGTTTGTTTTTTGAGACGGAGTCTCGTTCTGTTGCCCAGGCTGGAGTGCATTGGCACAATCTTGGCTCACTGCAACCTCCGCCTCCTGGATTCAAGCGAGCCTCCTGCCTCAGCCTCCCAAGTAGCTGGGACTACAGGAGCCTGCCACCATGCGCGGCTAATTTTTGTATTTTTAGTAGAGACGGGGTTTTCACCACATTGGCCAGGCTGGTCTTGAACGCCTGACCTCAGGTGATCTGCCAGCCTCAGCCTCCCAAAGTGCTGGAATTACAGGCATGAGCCACCGCGCCCGGCCTATACCTACACTTAGATAAATTTTCAGGTATGTAACAAATGCATACAAAAAGAACTGGAAGGAAATGCGTTACATGCTTTGGGGTCTTGGAAGCATAGATTTTACTTTCATAATTGGGGGGAATCAAACCAAGGTTTTCAGGCTGTTGACCATCCTAATCCTCCCCTCAAGAACTTGTGGGTTAATGGGGGCTTTACACCAGCTAGGAAAGGACAGAGGGTAGGGACGTAGGGTCTTGAGTTCTCTCTGTAATCCAAGGAGTTTATGGGGAATTGCTAAGAGAAAAACTTTAGACAAATTAAATTTAGCAGAGTTTAATTGAGGAAAGAACGATTCTAGAATCAGGGAGCCCTTAGAACCAGAATAGGCATGGAGAACTCTGACCTGACCGTGGTCAGGCAACATTTATGGACAGAAAACAAATGAGGTACACAGGCAGTTGGGTTGGTTACAGCTCAGCTCTTGCCTTATTTGAACGTGGTCTGATCAGTGGGGCGCCTGTGATTGACTGAAGCTTGGCTGCTGTGATTGGCTGAGACTCAGCTGTTTGTTACAATAGTAGACTCCTAAGTTAGGATTTCGGTCGGTTTACCTGCAAGGTAGGTTGCAGTTCATTATATAAAGACTCAAGTACGGAGATGTCCGCAGGCCAAATTTAGTTTAATTTACCAGAGTGCTGGACTCTTACCTTGGTGTTTCTTTCAGGCACCAGACAGGTGAATAAAATATATACATTAAGGCCAAATTGGCTGCACTCCCCCTGGGAACATGCGCACATAAATTCCTTAGGAATATCACTTTCTTATTCTTTTTTGTCCTAGTCATCCTTACCGTGTGACCCACTCTGTCCTCCAACCAGAGAATGCCCCTGAGGGGGATGGTGGGAATGTGCCAGAGCCTGTCCTGGGCAAGAGAGCCAGAGGAATGGGAATTTTCTGCTGGTGCTCCTGTGGGTGACCCCTCTTATTCAGTCTTGCCTGGCTGGAGAAAAGGGCACATATTTTTTTCATTTGGGGGGTGGGGGGTGCCCACCCCTCACCCCCCAAATGAAGCTCAGTGAACTGAAACTCTTCTAATATTCTCAGGGAAGGATGAATTAATCTCTTTAGACTAAAATTTAACTAACAGCTATTGCAAAGGGATTTAAATCTTAAATAGGAAAAGGACTAAGAAGTCTGGTGAATGCAGCCTTAATCCTGGAGTTTCAAGAGATACAAAAGTGGAGGGGCTACTTTGAAGGGCAAACAGTACTTTCCTGGTGGACACACCCACTTCTGCCTGGTTGGAGTGGGCATTTGGAGGGGAGTGGGCTGACGCTGCAGTGACAGTCTCCCATAGACCCTGGCAAAGCCATCAAACTTCAAAAACACTCATCATTTTCCTGCCAAACTGCTCTTCCATAGTATCTCTTTATTTTATTTATGTATTTATCTATCTATTTATTTTTATGAGACAGGATCTTGCTCTGTCACCCAGGCTGGAGTGCAGTAGCTCGATCATGGCTCACTGCAGCCTCAATCTCCCAGACTCAAGTGATCCTCCCACCTCAGCCTCCCAAGTAACTGAGACTACAGGTGCACATCATCATGCCCAGCCAATTTATGCAGAGACAGTTTTGCCATGTTGCCCGGGCTGGTCTCAAACTCCTGGGCTCAAGTGATCCTCTTGCTTTGGCCTCCCAAAGTGCTGGTATTATAGGCATGAGCCTCTGCACCCTGCCCACAGTATCTCTTAGCCCAACCAAATTTCCCAGAATCACCAACAGCTCCCACATCCCCCCCACCACTCCCCAACCCCAACCAAGTGCAACTGGCTTCCTCTCCAGATGGCCACTCCCATCTACACTCTTGTCTAGGTGCCCACAGCCTTTGTCCTGAGTTAAGCCAGCTCCTCCCTGGATTTTCCCCCGGGGGCCTTTCCTACAGTGATCTCTGGGCTTTTAGACTCCGCACACACTAAACCAGAGGTCCTCAACCTAGGTCAGTAGTGAGAACTCAGTGGGTTCATAAATTCAGACACAAAAAAATTATGTCATTATTCACCAATCTCTAAATAAAATTTAGCATTTCCTCTCTCCCATTATGGATATAGTAAAAAAAAAAAAAAGCAATACAATACAAAACAAAACATGGCAGTATTAGCAGTACCTGTGACTTTGTCACCAGTGGAAATCAGACATGTGCTAGTCACATTACAGTTGCTGTTATTTTGAAGCAGGAATATTTGCTCCCCAGAAAGGCTAGCTGCTCTGATTGTTGCAGGCAAAAAAAACGTGGAGGAATCCTCTGGAGTTTGGACTTTTCCTCCTGTGTTCCAGCCCCTACTCTTCCTCCCCTTAGGCCTTCTGTTCAGAAGACACTGAGCCTGGGATTTGGTGACATTTACTATCCCCCGACAGACACTAGCTTCTCTATCCTGAAGAAAAACTAAATGAAACTAAATGAAGTTGCACATGCAAGCTCTACTTTTTGTTTTAGGAAGCACACCATTCTGGATGCTTGCAGAAGTCTTCCTGTTTGACTAGAGGATGACATAGAAACCCTGGGTCCTAGTCCTGCCTGTTCCCAAGCCAGTGAGGAAACTCCCGGCTGAATAAAGCCATTTCTTTAACCCAGTGTCTGAGGGGTTTTGTCCGGGGCTCATCCTGCTACATTAGTGATGGGCCCTTTGTCAGCTCTGATGCCCATGAGAGCACAGAGTATAGCAGAAGTTCCCATGGATGATCAGAAAACACAATCAATCCCAAGAAGATCAAAACTCTACATGCCTAAGGTATGATCAATCCCTCCATAGAGAAAGTGGAAGAGACACAGATGACAGTAGAGAAAGACAATTAGGAAAAGACGGCAGTGGTTGCCACCACACTGGACATCAGTGTCATTGAGAGATTCATCTTTCAGTGAGGCAGGAGCTTGTCCTGATTAGCAGAATTGTGTCATTCTGTCAACACCTATACATTATGACCATCTAATCCTTAGGGTCTATCCTAATTTTGTCATTTGCCCAAATAATGTCCTTTAGAGGAGGGGTCCCTAACCCCAGGGCTGTGGACCAGTACTAGTCCATGGCCTGTTAGGAACCAGGCTGCACAGCAGGAGGTGAGCGGTAGGTGAGCAAACATTACCACCTAAGTTCTGCCTCCTGTCAGATCATGGTGCATTAGATTCTCATAGGAACTCAAACCCTACTGTGAACTGCACAAGCAAGGGACCTAGGATGCATGCTCATTATGGGAATTTTTTTTTTTGAGATGGAGTCTCGCTCTGTCATCCAGGCTGGAGTGCAGTGGCGTGATCTCAGCTCACTGCAACTGCCGCCTCCCAGATTCAAGCGATTCTGCTGCCTCAGCCTCTCTAGTAGCTGGGATTACAGGTGTGCACCACCATGCTCAGCTAATTTTTGTATTATTAGTAGAGACGAGGTTTCACCATGTTGGCCAGGCTGGTCTCGAACTCCTGACCTCAGGTGATCCACCCACCTCGGCCTCCCAAAGTGCTGGGATTATAGGCATGAGTTACCACGCCCAGCCTTCTTAAGGGAATCTAACTAATGCCTGATGATCTGAGGTGGAATATTTCCATCCCAAAATCATCCCCCCACCCCCAAATTGTCTTCTACAAAACCAGTCCCTGGTGCCAAAAAGGTTGGGGACCACTGCTTTAGAGCAAAAAGATCCCCTCAGTAACCACGTGCAGCATTTAGTGGTCATTTTTAAAAATCTCTTTCCATTTATGACAGTTTTTTAGTGTCTTTTTGAAGATTATTTGTGAGTTATTTTGTGACATATTCCTGAATGGGGTTATCTGATGTTTCTTCATAATTAGATTCAGATTATGCATCTCTGGCAGAAATATCACAGAAATAAAGCTGTGTTCTTCTCATTGCATCCTACCAGGTGGCATACAGTTTTCTTGGTCCCATTACTGAAGATATTAACTTCAATCAGTTGATTATCAGGGTAGTGTATGCCAGATTTCTTTACTGTAAAGTGACTCTTTTTAAGCTTTTTTTTTTTTTTTTTTTTTTTTTTGAGACAGAATCTCATACTGTCACCCGGGCTGGAGTGCAGTGGTGTGATCTCAGCTCACTGCAACCTCCGCCTCCCAGGTTCAAGCAACTCTCCTGCCTCAGCCTCTCAAGTAGCTGGGATTACAGGTGCCTGCCACCACACCCAGCTAATTTTTTTGTATTTTTAGTAGAGACGGGGTTTCACCATGTTGGCCAGGCTGGTCTCAAACTCCTGACCTTGTGATCTGCCCTCCTCAGGGGATATTAAATGTCACCAAATCCCAAAGTGCTGGGATTACAGGCGTGACCCACTGTGCCTGGCCCTTTTTATGTTTTTAATGAATTCATACTTGGGACTGAGGTATTTTCTTTGTTTAAATTTTTTTTATTAAAAAAAATTCTGACTACAAAGACCTAGAAAAGAAGGGTTAAGGCATTTTGAAAACTATGTAATTATCCTAGTCCTCATCAAACTTTCTATTTAATTATTTATATTATTGGTTTTTTGTTGTTGTTGTTTGCTTTTTTTTTTTTTTTTTTTTTTTTTTTTGAGATGGAGTCTCGCTCTGTCGCCCAGGCTGGAGTGCAGTGGCGCAATCTTGGCTCACTGCAAGCTCTGCCTCCCGGATTCACACCATTCTCCTACCTCAGCCTCCCAAGTAGCTGGGACTACAGGTGCCCGCCACCATGCCTGGTTAATTTTTTTGTATTTTGTTAGTGGAGACGGGGTTTCACCGTGTTAGCCAGGATGGTCTCAATCTCCTGACCTCGTGATCCGCCCTCCTTGGCCTCCCAAAGTGGGGGATTACAGGCGTGAGCCACGGCACCCAGCCTTTTGTTTGTTTTCTGAGACAGAGACTTGCTCTGTTGCCCAGCCTGGAGTGCAGTGACACGATCACTGCTCACTACAGCCTTGACCTCCCAAGCTCAAGCGATCCTCCCACCTCAGCCTCCCAAGTAGCTGGAACCCCAGGCGCTTGCCACTATGCCCGGCTAAATTTTTAAAAGTTGTTTGTAGCTATGGGGGTCTTTGTATGTTGCACAGGCTGGTCTTGAACTCCCGGGCTCAAGTAATCCACCCACCTTGTCCTCCCAAAGTGCTGGGACTGCAGAGGTGAGCCACCAGGCCCAGCAGTTATTTATATTATTATGGACTCATGGATATCTATTTTATTCAATGAGTTATAATCCATTATTATCATGAGTTATTTTGATGCTCAAATCATTTCTATTTGCTGGTGGGAGCCCCTTCCAACTGGCTCCTGAATCCCTTTTACCTGTCCTATCGTCCTCTGATCGCTTTCTTGTTTTTGGCACAAAATTTGCTCCTGGTTCATCTTCTACTTTTCCTGTTCCAGCCCTGGAATCAACCATTGCTCAAAGGGATCCTGATTCCTTTTAGTGGAGACTAGTGTTTAGAAGCCAACATCAGGGCATGAGTGTGCTCATTGTTATTGAACTATTGCTGCTCCCAGGCTGAGCTAGAGAATACATGTATGTATACATTCAATAACATATACATGCAGACACACATTTATACATTTATTTATTTCTGTATTTATTTGTGTATATTGAAAACTATGAGTACATTTCATGCCTCCAATTCCAATCTAACACCACAGAACTCATTCTAGTTTTCTGTCTATATTTGTAATCCTCTTTTCTGACAGTGAGCAAGCTGGCAATACAGGGCTCTTTGAGATAGAGGAGGCAGTGTTAAGAAAGGTCTCTCTGAGAAGGTGACATTTAAGCTGAGACTTGAAGAAGTGAAGGCATCAGCAAGGCAGATTCTGGGGGAAGAATGTTCTAGGGAGAACACGATAGTAATTGCAATGGCCCTGCAAGAAGCATGCTGGTGTGTTGGAGGAAAAGCAGGTGTCCTGTGGCTGAGCCAGTAGGCAAGTAATGTCAGCCAGGTAAGAGGGATGGTTCAAGCACCTTATTGTAAGGACTACAGTAGTGACCAAGATAGGAAGCCATTGGCACATGTTGAATGCAGAAGAGATATTGCTTTATAAAGGATTGCTCTAACTGCAAATGTGGAAGCAGAGTCACCAGCCAGGAGACCTGCAGGAAACCAGGAAAGTGAGGAGGATGGTTGGGAAGGTGGTGAGAAATGCTCAGATTCGGGAATCATATTTTAGGGGAAGCTAACAAGATGTGGCATGTGGGGTTTGAGAGGTAGGTGGTGGCACATGGTGCTATGTAAGTGTTTGTTAAATAAATAAAATAGAAAAATTGTATGCAAAGCACTTAGCACAATGTGTCACATAGAATAAATGAATCATGACCACTGTCCATTGATGAATGAAGATGAAAACCTTCCCTGAGCCCCACTGACCCAATTCTGGCCCCATCTTGGCATCCTGAAATGTCACCTCTTGAGCACTGCTGCCCCTTTTCTACCAGAGCTCCCTCATATCCTGTTCCCACCCTTCCCAATGACTCAAAACTCCCACTTCCTCTGAGTCCTGTCCCTGCAGGGTGTGGGTTGGCATCTATCTGATAAGCTAATTCACAATAAGGTATGGACTTCTTGCAAGATGCTTACCCCTCCCAGAAGGATTCACACTTTAAAAAGGTGGCAACTTATTTACTTACCTCTGGGAATGTGGTGGAATCTCTGAGTATGGCAGGGTGGTGAAGGAGGTCATTTTGTTTTGGGCAGGCCTCAAATGACACCATAGGGAGACCTGGGACCTCCTTGAGGGGGCCCAGCCCAGGGCCAGCCTGCATTCCTCTGTCTACTGCCTCACGTTACAAACCATGGCACTTACTGCTGCTATTTACTGCAAGAACTTGATCCTGATGTGGCCAAAAGAGCATCTTTCTAGATTCTCTCCCCACGGTGGGCAGGGCTTGGTGTAGCGGCCATACCCCTTTGAGACCCCCCACCTGTGGGGTGGCTCAGAAAGGCAGTCTTCACTCATTGATCAGACTTAATCTATGAATGGAAATTTATAACCTGATGCCATGGTGCTGGGTACCTCCGATTGTGTGCAAAATTGGTGTCTGTGCGCAAAATTGGTGTCTGTGCAAGATTGGTTTAAGAAGCAAGGCCACAAAACCACAATGAGATACCACTTCTAGCCCACTAGGATGGCTGTAATAAAAAAGATAGATAGTAACAAGTGTTAACAAGATGTGGAGAAATTAGAACCCTCATACATTCAGGGCTGGTGGGGATGCAAAATGGTGCAGCCACTTTGGAAAACAGCTTGGTAGTTCCTAGAAAGATTAAACACAGTTACCGCATGAGCCAGAAACTTCATGCCTAGGTATATTATACTCAAGAGAAATTAAAACATAAGTCCCCTCCAAAACTTGTAATTAATGTTTATAGCAGGATTTTTCAAAATAGCCAAGGAGTGAAAATAACTCATATGCCCGCCCATCAACTAATTAATGGATACATGAAACCTGGTATATCTATCCTATAGACTATTATATGATAATAAAATTGTACACTTTGGTATGTGAATTATATCTCCATGAAAGTTATATATTCATAAAAATGAAAGCAAGTAAGAAGGGAAGAAGGAAGAAAGGAAGGCAGGGAGGGAGACAGAGGGGGAGAGAAGGATGAAGGAAGGAGGAAGAAAGGAAAGAATAAGGAGGAAGGAGGGGCCAGTGTAGTGGCTCACGCCTGTAATCTCAGCACTTGGAGGCTGAGGTGGGCAGATCACTTGAGATCAGGAGTTCAAGACCAGCCTGGACAACATGGTGAAACCCCGTCTCTACTAAACATACAAAAATCAGCTGGGCGTTGGGGTATGCACCTGTAATCCCAGCTATTCGGGAGGCTGAGGCATGAGAATTGCTTGAACCCAGGAGGCAGATGTTGTGGTGAGCTGAGATTGTGCCACTGCACTCCAGCCTGGGTGACAGAGCCAGAGTCCACCAAAAAAAAAAAAAAGAAAGAAAGAAAGAGGGAGGAGAGTGAGGGGAGGGAGGGAAGAAAGAAGGAGGAAGAAAAGAAAGGAAGGGAGAGGAGGAAGAAAGGGAGGGAGGAAATGAGGGAAGAGGGGAAGAAAGAAGGAAGGAAAAAAGGGAAGTTTCAAGAAAAGAAAGATAGGAAGGAAGGGAGTGAGGGAGGAAAGAAAAAGAGGAAGGGAAGGAGGGAAGGAGAGAAGGGAGGGAGGGAGGGATGGGAGGGAAGGAAAGGAAAGGTGGGAGGGAGGGAGAGAGAAATGAAAAGGAGGGAAGGAAAGAAGGAAGGAAGGAAAGAAAAAGGAAGGAAGGAAGGAAGGCCATATGGAAGAGGAAGCCAGGCCAGGTGCAGTAACTAATTGGAAATACCCAGGTCCCTGGGGACTGGTCTCACCTTCTTAGAGTGTGGGTAGAGGAGAGGAAGATGAGAGATGACAAGGAACCACAGAAATCTTGTCCACTTTCCCTTAGGGAAATACTGTGCAGAGTGTGCTTGGGGAACTATGGGATATTGAGAAAAATGATCCCAAACGTGGCAAATAAGGCAAGAAGAAGACTGTGCGTCACTTCAGTGCATGCTGGGCATTGCTTAACAGACCACTCCTGGATTGTTTCATAATCTGAGGGACGTACCTTTGTTTGACTTCAACTTTACTGTTGACTGGGGCCCAGATTCTATAAAGTTATGTGCTAATTTGTAGAATTTTGTTTGATAGAGATGCAAATGATTTTTGTCTAGTAGAAAAGAGAACCCCAAAGGTTACCGTTTTATTTGCCCTGTTGGCTATTAATCAGTTTTGTCTCTAACCTAACAAACTGATTTTAGTGTGTCTTTCTTGATGGACTATATAACCCTTTTCCCTCTAATTCTCTTTTGCACTAATCTTTACCATACTGCTGGGTCCCCCATTAACAAGTTATATGTATCTTGGTGCATGCTCACTTGTATAACAGTTGCATTTTTAATGTTCTTAAAGTTATACTTTGAAAGGGAACAGGAGTTATTTGCTGTATTTCAAAAATGATACCAATAATCATGCCTGTAATCCCAGCACTTTGGGAGGCCGAGGCAGGTGGATCACTTGAGGTCAGGAGTTCGAGACCAGCCTGGCCAACATGGTGAAACCTCGTCTCTACTAAAAATACAAAAATTGGCTGGGCATGGTGGCGGGCGCCTGTAATCCCAGCTACTTGGGAGGCTGAGGCAGGAGAATCACATGAACCTGGGACGTGGACATGGAGGTCACAGTGAGCCGAGATCACACCACTGCACTCCAGCCTGAATGACAGAGTGCGACTATGTCTCAAAAAAAAGATACCAATAAGTGATGGCCTTAATCACCATAGACACCAGAACTTAAGCTATAAGGTGGAGACACCTGGATGCACAAATGAGAAGGGATTGCAAAATACTCTGGGAACTTAAAGCAGGGGGAGACATTACAATGTTAGGACCTGGAGAAGAAGGGTTTTCCTTAAAATTTTATACAAATGTGTGTGTGTGTATACATGGATGCTTACATTCTACACAGAAGAAGAGAGAGAAAAAAACGAAAAGGCTACAAAAATAATCACCTAGCCAGGTGCGGTGGCATGTGCCTATAGTCCCAGCTACTTGAGAGGCTGAGGTGGGAGAATTGCTTGAGGCCAGGAGTTTGAGGTTATAGTGTGCCATGATTGCACTTGTGAATAGCCACTGCCCTTCAGCTTGGGCAACATGGAAAGACCCCATCTCTTAAAAAATAAGAATAATGGGGCTGGGAGCGGTGGTTCATGCCTGTAATCTCAGCACTTTGGGAGGCCAAGGCGGGCAGACGACCTGAGGTCAGGAGTTCAAGACCAGTCTGGCCAACATGGTGAAACCCTGTCTCTACTAAAAATACAAAACATTAGCTGCGTGTGGTGGCAGGCACCTGTAATCCTAGCTACTCGGGAGGCTGAGGCAGGAGAACTGCTTGAACCTGGGAGGCGGAGGTTGCAGTGAGCCAAGATTGTGCCACTGCACTCCAGCCTGGGCGACAAGAGTGAAACTCTGTCTAAAAAAAAAAAAAAAAGAAGAATGACCAAAATTATGTTATCAGTGGTTATCTCGAGGGGGTTTAAGGAAATTTTAAAGTTTTCTTCCCTGAGCTTGTCTGTATCTTCCAATTTTCCACAATAAATATGTATTACATTTGAGTTTTTTGACATTTTTTGAAAGAAAGCCAGCAAATAAATTTGACAGGAAACAAAACTCAAGAGTAAGTTAAGAGAAATGAAACCCTTATCTGAGCACACAGGGGAATAGAGTGCTGAGAAAGTGTGTTCTCCCCAATTAATAAATAAAGAGTTGTGACAGAAACACAAGAAGTAAAAACTGGGTTTTTACTAACTGCGTTGTAGATTGCTAAGAGGTCTTCAGATCAGTTTATAGCAGTGGTTTTCAATAGGGGGTGATTTGTTTCCCTGGGGCACATTAAGCAATGAGTGGAGACATTTTTTATTGTCACCAATGGGAAAGTGGTGGGTATCTAGTGGTGGAGGCCATGATGTACTAAACATCCTGTAATGCACAGGACAGCTTCTGCAACAAAGAATTATCTGGTCCAAAATGTCAGTGGTGCCACAATTGAGAAATCATGGTTTATAGGAAAAAAGCCAAAGGGAAAAAATCAGAATCTGAGTTGTCCACACTATAACTCTAATTATGTAAATACAGAGGCAAAGATATGGTTAAAACTATGTGCAACCCATTCCCACCCACCAAATCCTGCTCCTTGACAGCAGAGATGCCTGCCCTGCTGTCATCCCCACCCACTGGGGGATAAGGAATGATGAACGGGTACTTTTTTCTTTTTTCTCTCCTCTGGAATAGGACTTCTGTCCCTACCTTGGAACATTATGCAGCTTTCATAAAGAGTAAGATAAATCTATATATGCTGACATTGAAAGATGTCCAGAATATATTAAGTGAAAAAAAGCGAATCGTCCAATGATATGTACAGCACGATCCATTTTTGTAAAAGTAAACTGTACAAAGGGGTATGAATACTCACGTGTGTAGGGAAGCATCATTGCAGCAATCTACACTGGGGGAAAAATGGAAAACATGGCACTTTCACTTCATAGATTGAAGGCATTCATTTTTGTCTGCCCCCTCCCAAAGCCCAACCAAAATCAGAGTCAATGAACTAAAAAGGTATAAACTCACAAAAGAAACAAAATGAAGCAGAGACAGGAAAATAGCAGATGAGAGTTTTGGTTTTGGTGTTTTTTTTTTTTTTTTTTTTTGAGACGGAGTCTCTCTCTGTCGCCCAGGCTGGAGTGCAGTGGCATGATCTCGGCTGACTGCAAGCTCCGCCTCCCGGGTTCACGCCATTCTCCTGCCTCAGCCTCTCCGAGTAGCTAGGACTACAGGCGCCCACCACCATGCCTGGCTTATTTTTTGTATTTTTAGTAGAGATGGGGTTTCACCGTGTTAGCCAGGATGGTCTTGGTCTCCTGACCTCATGATCCGCCCTCCTCCGCCTCCCAAAGTGCTGGGATTACAGGCGTGAGCCACTGCGCCCGGCCGCAGATGAGAGTTTTAAACACATTTTTGGAAGGTGGAAAGCAGGTGAGTTTGGTAGAGCTGAAAATGCCTGCAGAAGGAAATATCAACCAGCAGTCAGTGTACCCGTTAGCCTGTAGTCTTTGCATGGAGAAGTGGCTTCCTTTCCTCTAGATGCTTGACATCCATCTAGTGGGAAAGTGATATAATGTGCGTTCCTCCCACCCTTTACTGCTACCTGCTGGAACATTATCATAATAAGAGGACAAAGCAAAAATGTTTACAAGGTGAATGGCACCCCTAAGATATGGTTCCACTGTGCTGCCCAACCTGCACACCTGTACAAGGGGTCTCCCCACAAGAAACAGAAAGATCTATGGACTAAAACCCCAAATGCCAGAAATTTAGTCAGAATGATGTGTTGGAGGTTGTTATGATTTGAATGTGTCCCCCAAAGACCTTGTGTTGGAAACTTAATCCCCAGTGCAACAGTGTTGGGAGGTGGGGTCTAATCAGAAGTGATTAGGTTATGAGGACTCCCTGCTCTTATGAATGGATTAATGTTATTGTCACAGGGGTGGGTTCATTACTACAAAAGTGAGCTTGTTGTAAAATCCAGTTTGTCCCCCTCTTGCTCCCATACTGTCTTGCCTTTTCACCTTCTGTCATGGATGATGGTGCCCAAAGGCCCTCAC
This sequence comes from Homo sapiens, assembly GCF_000001405.40. Lineage (NCBI taxonomy): Eukaryota > Metazoa > Chordata > Mammalia > Primates > Hominidae > Homo > Homo sapiens. Next base: position 58,217,123 of record NC_000016.10, read on the forward strand.
TAGATGCTTGCACCATGCTCTTGGACTTCCCAGACTCCAGAACTGTGAGCCAAATACATTTATTTTCTTTATGAATTACCAAGTCTATAGTATTCTGCTATTGCAATACAAAATGGACTAAGACAGAGGTGGAATGGGCTTGAAAACAGAAGTAAAACTAGGAACCCCATATAAGAGGTGGTGAGACCACTGTAGAGATTGTGTTTTTCAGAGATAGCCACTACAAATATCTCCCATTCCACATGCTATTCCACAGTGTGACTGTGACATTCCTCCTCTTGAGAGATATAGTCTAGGTCCCCTCCCCTTGAGTTGAGGCAGGCTCAATTCAAGTGACTCATTTGTAACAATAGAATTCAGTGGAAGTGATGGTGCATAATTTCCAAGGCTGGAACTCTCATGCTAAAACTATAAATCTCTATGTGAACAGTTTGACTGCCCTGACACTGCCATACTGTAAGGAAGCTTAAAACAGCTCATATGGAGAAACCACATGGAGAAGACCTGAGACTTCAGAGAAAGAGAGATAGATGCTTTGCCAGCTGCATGCTAATCCAGTTTCAATCATTGTTTGGCTGCAACAGCATGAGAGATCCCAAACTAGAACTACCCAGCTGAGCCCTTCCCAAATTCTTCAGCCACAGAAAGTATGAGAGACAGTAAAATCAGTGTTTTTATTTTAATTAGTTTGGGGTGATTTTTTGCATAGCAGTTATAACTGGAATAACCACTTGGATCCCCTTTCAAATCTGGGGCGCCCGGGCAACTACCCTTTCCTGACCTTGCCAGAAATTTGTTCTACAGAAAAATGAGACTTAAGGACACTAGAGGCCGGGTGCAGTGGCTCATGCCTGTAAACCCAACACTTTGGGAAGCCAAGGCGGGTGGATCACTTGAGGTCAGGAGTTTGAGACCAGCCTGGTCAACATGGTGAAACCCCATCTCTACTAAAAACACAAAAAATTAGCCAGGTGTGGTGGCAGGCGCCTGTAATCCCAGCTACTTATGAGGCTGAGGGAAGAGAATCACTTGAACCTGGGAGGTAGAGGTTGCAGTGAGCCGAGATGGTGCCATTGCACTCCAGCCTGAGCAACAAGAGCGAAATGTCATCTCAAAAAAATAAAGGACTCTAGACATGGCAGAAGGGAGGGGGAGACACTATACTAAAAACGGGGATGATATATGAAAGTCTGTGTGAACCCTAGCCCTTCCTTGGCTTTAAGGATGCTGCCAGCCAGGCACATATCCTTCCTCAGCAGGAGACTGGAGAATTATCACTAGAGAAGACTCAGAAAATTAGCCTAGATATTATGGGCCAAGCTAAGTTCTCCGCATAGAAGCAGGTGTGTGCCTTTTTAAAAAGCTAGATCTCCTGTAATCCCAGCACTTTGGGAGGCCAAGGCAGGCGGATCACGAGGTCAGGAGATTGAGACCATCCTGGCTAACATGGTGAAACCCTGTCTCTACTAAAAAATACAAAAAATTAGCCGGGCGTGGTGGCAGGCACCTGTAGTCCCAGCTACTCGGGAGGCTGAGGCAGGCGAATGGCGTGAACCTGGGAGGTGGAGCTTGCAGTAAGCCGAGATTGCGCCACTCCACTCCAGCCTGGGTGACAGAGTGAGACTCTGTCTCAAAAAAAAAAAAGTTACATCTCACTATAATTCATATTCTTACAGAAATAATGAGCTATTGCATCCATAAGACAAGAATAAGATTTTACTTTTAAAAAGGAGGGGCAGCCATTCTTGCACTGCTGTAAAGAAATACCTGATATGAGTAATTTATAAAGAAAAGAGGTTTAACTGGCTCAGAGTTCCGCAGGTTATACTGGTAGCACAGGGGCTTCTGCCTCTGGGAAGGCCTTGGGAAGATTACAATCATGGTGGTAGGCGAAGGGAAAGCAGGGACATATTTCATGGCCAGAGCAAGGAGCAAGAGAGAGATGGGGGAGATGCCACACACTTTAAACAACCAGATATCATGAGAACTCACTCACTGTAAAGTACCAAGTGGGGAAATCGGCCCCCATGATCCAATCACTTCCCTCCAGGCCCCACCTTCAACACTGGGGATTACAATTCTACATGAGATTTGGGTGGGGACACACATCCAAACCATATCAGGGTATCTTGGTTTGGGTTTCCCCAGCAGCAGACTCTGAGACAATGATTCCAGTATAAGTAAATTTTGGCAGGTATTCACAGAAAATACAAGTTGAGGATTGGGGAAGTGAGACAGGGAAGTGAGGGAAGCCAATAAAAGGTGTGCTATCCAGCCAGTTAGCGTTGTAGACAGCTGGAGCTTGATATTACTAGGAAACTCCAAGAGATGGTGTAGAACTTGCTGCAGAAGCATCCCAATCAATGGGCAATAATCCACTAACTGCTTCTAAGGGAATTGACCTTACTTTCTTCCAGCTTGTCCTGTACTCAGACTGAGGATGCTACTTGGAAGAAAACAGCCCTTGTGCAGACAGTCATAGATATTTACAGAAAATAGCCTTGGGCATCATGCAGGAGCTAATGCCAAGGATTTGTGGATAGGGCACCAACAATGTCTGCTGCAGGAAGCTACCAGAAGACAAGAAAGAGTTCTTGTAAATGAAAAATGTGAAAGTAGAAATAAAACATTCCATGGGAGTTTGAGGCAGGAAAGGTTAAAGAAATCCTTCAAAAGTAGGATAAGAAGAGAAATAGAAAGAGATAAAAATAGAAAAGAAAAATATCCAAGAGGTCCAAGGTACAACTAATAGAAATTTCAGAAAAAGAAAATACGGGGTACAGAAAATTGTTATAAGACTAATTCGTAAAATTTTTTCTCACACCTGTAATCCCAGCACTTTGGGAGGCTAAAACAGGCAGATGGCTTGAGCCCAGGAGTTCAAGACCAGCCTGGGCAACATGGCAAAAACCCATCTTTACTAAAAATAATAAAAATTAGCCAGGGATGGTAGCACACATCTGTAGTCCCAGCTACTCAGGAGGCTGATATAGTAGGATCATTTGAGCCCAGGAGGTGGAGGTTTCAGTGAGCTGTGATTGTGCCACTGCACTCCAGCCTGGGTGACAGAGTGAGACGCTGTCTAAAAAAAATTTTTCAAGAACATGACTTTCAGGTTGAAAGGAACTATCAAATGCCCAGAAAAATGAATAAAATAGAGTCACATAATCACAAAACTTCAGACTACACAAATTAAAGAGAACAGCCCAAGAACTTCTTTAAAGACAATACAGGCTTTATACACAAGATCAGGAATGAGAATGGCATTGGACTTCTCCAAATACACAATGGGAGCCCAAATGTAATGGTTTCAAAAATTCTTAGCAAAAATAATTTCCAACTCTAGAATTCTAGAATTCCAAGCCGAAGTCTCAGTCCCTCAAGTTTGAGGGTAGCATAAAAACATTTTCAGACATACAAGGTCTCAAAAAATATACTCCCATGCACCCTTTCTCAGAAAGCTACTAGAGGATCTGCTCTACCAAAAAGAAGAGAGTATCAAGAAAGAGAAAGATAAGAGACCCAGGAAATACAGAAAGCAACACAGAAGAAAGAGAGAGAGTTGTGGCTGGGCCACACAGACAGAATGAGCTTTCTGTAGTGGAGTAGGATGGCTCCAGAGCATCCTTGTGGGAAATGGAATTTCTAAATGATGTTGTGCTTGACAGTGTAGACAATAGCATCCAGAGGGGTTTTACACTTCTGTTGGAGAGTTTTAAAAGAATTTGTGATAGAAACATAGAAATCTAAGCAGGTGTAAAAAAATATTTCCCAGAGGAAATATTAAACAAAGAAAACAATGTAATCATACGTGGCTTTAGCAACAGTGGTTCTTGCTCTTGGCTAAACATTGGAATCCCTTTGGGAGTGTCAAAACATCCTGATACCTGGACCCCACTCCCAGACAGCCTGGTTGACTAGATCTAGGGTGTGGGCTGGGCTCTGAGATTGTTTAAAACTCCCTGTATGGTTCGATGTGCAGTTAAAGTACAGAACCACTGTTTGGCAGGAAAAAGTAGTTCTATGGTTACAATAATGTAAACAGGGGATACTGATTTAACTGGAAAACTATTATATGGGAATAATTGACAGACAAGTTGGTGGGGTGGTGAGTGTAAAGCATTAAATCCACTTCCACCACAGTAGGAAGGCAGTCAATCATGTCTAAGGTTGAGAAATCAAGAAATCATACATTAGCATCTTATTTGTAAATATGGAGGTAAGTACCAGAAGAAAGAGCTGAAAGTGGCAAGTCATTTTCTTTTCCCTTTTTTTTTTTTTTGAGATGGGGTCTGGCTCTGTCCCCCAGGCTGGAGTGCAGTGGCATGATCTGGGCTCACTGCAGCCTCCACTTTCTGAGTTCAAGCGATTCTCCTGCCTCAGCTTCTGGAGTAGTTAGGACTACAGGTGCCTGACCCCACCCCTCCATGCCTGGCTGATTTTGTGTGTGTGTGTGTGTGTGTGTGTGTATTTTTAGTAGAGGTGGGGGTTCACCATGTTGCCCAGACTGGTCTGGAACTCCTGGCCTCAGGTGATCCGCCTGCCTTGGCCTTCCAAAGTGCTGGAATTACAGGCTTAAGCCACTGTGCCTGGCCTGAAAGTGGCAAATCGTTTTCTTACCAGAGCAGGACTCGGAAGTGGATGTAATTGGGGGTTGATTACTGATTTTTTTCTATAAGCCTTGTATTATTTGACTTATTAATACCATGAACATGAATGAATTTGGTCAAAGTTGAAAAAAATTTTTATAAAAGATCTAAGAAAAATTGGAAACAACCTAAATATTTATCAATAAGAAAAGGATAAATAAATGTTGATATATTTATGTAAAAGAATACCATTGACATGCTTAGAGCAAGGTAGCTATGTATGTCCAACATTGCAGAGATCCTTAGACTCAGTGTGACTGGGACTGGCAAATAATAGGTGTGATATATGTCAGCATTTATATAAAACACATGTACACAAAATACAGCTTTCTATTTCCCATGGACATAGACATATGTACACATAAAAGCACATAGAGAAAGGTGAAGATAACCCACGGGCTGTGGCAAGAGTGGACTCAGGTGGTGGGTAAAGGTCAAAGCAGATTTTGCTCTGCTTCATTTTTTTTTTCCTCAAAAAAGAAAGATTTCTGTATTAGTTGCAAAATTAAATGTTAATTTTAAACATTGAATATGCATTAGACAAAATCTGGAATGTTTCCACATTGAGCTATTAATAATGGTTTCTTTGGGTGCGTGGACCGGGATGGCGGGCAGGGAGGGGACATTTTCTCTTTTTACTCTGTGTTATTCAGTAATCATAGTTTTTGTTTTACAAAGGTGATCATTGGGAAGACTTTTGAATAGAGTGGGGTTCTGGGGTCCTGATAGTTCTGGCCTGGTCCGTTTGTGTCTTCTGCTTCTGATTCCAGAGAAGGGAGGAGGGCCAGGGTTGGCAAGGGCCGGCTTGGCAAGGGCAGGCCTCAGCTCTAGGGGGATCTGGTAGAACCAGCTGTGATGTCAGAAGGGCATGTTGATAGGGTGACTCACTTTCCAGGAGGGTGGAGATGGCTCCTCTCCTCCCTTCACAGGAGCTGCCTGCGGAGCTGTCGCCTGCGGGGTGCCCTGTTTCAGCAATCCTAGAGGAGGAGTCCCTTCCAGATCAATAGAAACCAGGGACATTTCAATCCAGGCCTTTGCACAGAGTTCTCTTGCAGCCAGCCTGGGGAAGTTGTGCAAGGTTCATTGATTAGAGCAAAGGGTGAGAGGAAGGGATGGCGGAAAGTAGAGGAAGAGTCTTGGAAATGAGGCTCTGGGGGCCCTCGGGCCTAAGTGTGTTTTGGAGGGAGGGAAAGGTTTTAATGATCCCTTGAGCTTCTTTAGGGATCCTATATTTTCCAGGAGCTCCTAATTCTAGCCATTTTTAAAATTTGCTCCCCAGGACTACTTGTGAAGTAGATGGAACTGGTGTAAATATCTCCATTTTCCAGATGAGGAGACTGAGGCCCAGACAAATTAGATCATTCATCAGATGCTCAAGTTAGTAGCTGAGTCTAGTGTCCTCTCGTCCTCTCAGCCCAACCCAGAGTCTCTGTTTGCTTTTTTTTTTTTTTTGAGACAGAGTATCACTCTGCCACCCAGGCTGGAGTGCAGTGGTGCAGTCTTGGCTCACTGCAACTTCCACCTCCCAGATTCAAGCAATTCTCCTGCCTCAGCCTCCCGCATAGCTGAAATTACAGGCATGCGCCACCACACCCAGCTAATTTTTGTATTTTCAGTAGAGATGGGGTTTTGCCATGTTGGCCAGGCTTGTCTCGAACTCCTGACCTCAAGTGATTCCCCCACCTTGGCCTCCCAAAGTGCTGGGATTACAGGCATAAGCCACCGCACCCAGCCTCTCTTTGCCTTTTTATCAGCCACAGTGTCCCTCCTGAGAGAAACAGAGAGACACAACTTCCTCCAAGACAACAGCCTCCCTCCTTGAGATCCACAATTAACTCGGCAGCGAGTGCCAGACCGGCAGGGACAGAGACATGCTCAGCCCATGTTGGCCTCTCAGCCAGGCGCTGGTCCTCCAAGTCACTCCTTCCCAGAGAATCCGCCCAACGTTGGCTGCAGGGTGGTACCGTGCCCAGTGCCTTCCGTACATGATCTCATTTCAATCTTGAAACAAGCCTGTAGTGTAGGTGATATTATTATTATCACCCACGGCGAGGCTGGCCATTTGGGCAGTTTGTAACCCTGTTTTTACATTTCTCCATTTTGCTTTTTTTTTTTTTGAGACTGAGCTTTGCTCTTGTTGCCCAGGCTGGAGTGCAATGGTGCGATCTCAGGTCACTGTAATCTCTGCCTCCTGGGTTCAAGTGATTCTCCTGTCTCAGCCTCCCAAGTAGCTGGGATTACAGGTGTGCGCCACCAAGCCCAGCTAATTTTTGTTTTAGTAGAGACGGGGTTTCACCATGTTGGCCAGGCTGGTCTCGATCTCCTGACCTCAGATGATCCACCCGCCTCGGCCTCCCAAAGTGCTGAGATTACAGGCTGAACCACCGTGCCCGGCACATTTTGCTTTTAATATCCAGGAGTAAAACAACAACAACGACCAGGTCTTTCTTGATTTCTGTTTGGCTTGGTTTATTCAGCACCTGCTTATTGGGCACTTGGTCTGTGCTGCTCTCTCCTTGGCATGGGGAAAACACAGGGGACAAAAGAGATGACATCCCTGCCTTCAAGGAGCTTTTGGCCTCCTGCAGGTTGGGGTGAGACAGAAAGACCGTGAAAGTGTGTTATCACTTTTGATCTTCATAACATACTGGCGAGGAGTGGATGGGAGGTATAGGTGGTCTTCTCTAAGGTCATGCAGAAAGTGGCTGGCAGAGGACTAGAATCTTCCGTAGCCACAATGGAAACAAGAGGAATCACAAACAAGAAGGAAGGGGACACCTGAGAGTGTCACAAAGTCCTGAGGTTTTAACACACAGTGACCAGGGAACTCTAGATGCCAGCATCCTTCCCCGTGGCCATCATTTTATCTCATTCTGTTCACAACCATATGGGGGAAGCAGGCAATGCTTCTTCATTTAAGAGAGGCTCAGAAAAGCTTGCTCAGGTCACACAGCTAGTGGGAAATATAAGAGAGAGGGAGATAGGAGAGAGGGGACTCCAAACCCAGTTCCCTTCCTCGTTCCATCATTTGGTGAAGCTCAGAGGAAGGAGGATGAAACCAAGATTAAAAGGGACTCTGGGCCAGGCTGGGTGGCTCACGCCTGTAATCCCAGCACTTTGGGAGGCTGAGGTGGGGAGATCACTTGAGGCCAGGAGTTCGAGACCAGCCTGGCCAACATGGTGAAACCCCATCTCTACCAAAAATACAAAAAATTAGCCGGTGTGGTGGCGCGTGCCTATAATTTCAGTTACTCGGGAGGCTGAGGCAGAAGAATCACTTGAATCTGGGAAGCGGAGGTTGCAGTGAGCTAAGATCATACCACTGCATTCCAGCCTGCATGGCAGAGTGCGACTGTCTCAAAACAAAACAAAACAAAAAACCCCCCCAAAAAAACAAACAAACAAACAAACAAAAGAGGCTGGGCGCAGTGGCCATGCCTGTAATCCCAGCACTTTGGGAGGCCGAGGTGGGTGGATCATGAGGTGGGGAGTTCAAGACCAGCCTGGTCAATATGGTAAAACCCCGTATCTATTAAAGAGAAATATAGAAATTAGCTGGGTGTGGTGGCACAAGCCTGTAGTCCTAGCTACTTGGGAGGCTGAGGCAGGAGAATTGCTTGAACCTGGAAGGCAGAGGTTGCAGTGAGCCCAGATCACGCCACTGCACTCCAGCCTGGGCGACAGAGTAAGACTCTGTTTCAGAAAAAAAAAAAAGGACTCTGACTTTCCATACTGACCCACAACATGGTCTGATGCTTGGAGGTTTACAAAGCACTTTGATGCTCTCTGTCCGGTAGCACTGTTCTGTCTCTTCTTTTTGTGGTCTGTTAAGGCAGACCTCACCTGTGTTCCAGAAGCGAGCGTTTGTATTAGCAGGACATAGGTGGCACATTCAACTCTGTCACTGAGGAGAGTGTTATATAGGGTCTCTTTACTAAGGTGAAGGCAGGATTTAGGGAAACAAACAAGAGTTGGTGCACTGTCTTGGGTCTTGCAATAGTAGCAGGAAGCCATCACCTCCCATATCTGAAGGGGCAAGGAGGGAGGGATTACTGGACCCATGAAGAATGGTGCTGTATGAAGAAAGCACCTTAGCAGGAGCTGCAACCTTCAGTGGACACACACAGCCAGCGCATGGAGACATGGGAGAGAAGTAGCTGGAAAATGCACACTCTGACCTTACTCTTCTTGCCCTCCAGTCTCCTTCTTGTGCCTCCCATTTGCTCAACCCAACCTAAACCCAGAAGGCAGGGGAGCTTGTTTTTGTCATCTCTAAGGGTCGCCCTCCCAAGGCACAGAGCAGGGTGGAAAAGGTGGAGAGTGGCTATCGAGAGGCAAACAGAAGTGATCCAGCACAGAACATGACCTGGGATTGGTTCAGAGATGGCACGTGACCCAAGCAGACCAATAAGCATCAGTCCTGAGACAGTTGCAGACTGGGAAAAAGCCACTCTCTCCTTTTGGGGGTTGCACAGCTGGTGGGATATGAGCCCGTGGCCATCGAACATCTTGCTGCTGCACAAGAGCCTGCCTCAAGGTGAAGCCAACACAGAGGAAAACTGAGTCCCAGAAGAGACAAAGAGAGTTGGTAACTTGGTGACATCATTAATTGTGTCCCTGGATTCAGCCATGCCTGAAGGTGGAGGAAGAGCCTATAGATCCTTGTTTTGTTTAACTTGACAGGCGTTGGAATTCTGTCATTTGCACCAGAAAGTGTCCTGACTGACACAGATGCCTGATGCACAGACGCATACAGGTGCTTGACTAACGTCAGGTCAGCATGGAGGTCTTGCAGGTCTGGGCCATGAGAGATACTTGTGAACAACAATCCCTGGGGATAGTGGGGGTTCTCAGGGATCATTTTAAGCGATGAATCTAAGAATGGGTAGACGTCTCCAAAGGCCACAGCCTTTATGTGAAGTCATGACAACCACCAACATCATATCTACAGCTCTTACGTGCCAGTGGCTGCATTGAATAATGTCACCCTCTGCAAGATCCTCCAGAGGCACCACATCCCCATTTTACAGATGAGGAGGCTGATCCATAGAGATGTTAAGTCACTTGCCAGAGCCAAGATTTGAAATCAGATGTCTTGGCCCTTCTTAACCACCTTCCCCACCCCGCTCCCTGCAAACTTCCCCAAGCAAAACAAAGTAAAATCCCAATACACCAGGTCAGACATGGTGGCTCATGACCATAATCCCAGTGACTGAAAGGCTGAGGTGGAGGTTCCCTTGAGGCCAGGAGGCCAGGAAGTTCCCTTGAGACCAGGCTGGGCAACATAGCAAGACCCCATCTCTACAAAATAAAAATTAAAAAATTGGCTGGGAGTGGTGGCACGTGCCTATAGTTCCAGCTACTCAGGAGGCCACAGTGGTGGAATTGCTTGAGCCCAAGAGTCCGAGGTTGAAGTGAGCTATGATTCTGCCACTGCACTCCAGCTGGGGTGACACAGTGAGATCCTGTCTCAAAAAATAAATAAAATAAAATAAAATTCAAAATCCCAATATACCAGTATATAAAACAGATACCTTTTTAAAGCTGGCCTGGGTTTGGAAGTCAAAGTCAGGGTTCAGAGAACTCAAGCAGAGCTCCCTGAGGTTCACCGTGACACTGCGGAATTCCCTATACCTCCCCATTTGAGTATCCCTAGGATAGGCCCATCATGGAGTGTGACGGGGAGGAAGAGAAGTTATTCAAACCCACATTCAAGAAGAACCTCAAACATAGGCTTTTGTTTTAACTATCTTATGGGGGAACACAATTATACTTGCATGACTTTTTGTGGGGGGTGGTTAAAAACCATTGGTTTTATAAAATGTAAACACTTAAAATATACTGCAATGTGTATAATTCTTAATTTGGGCATTTCTCTTCTTCCTCCTTGTCCTCCTCGTTCTCCTCCTCCTCCTAGTCCTCCTCCTCCTCTTCCTCCTCCTCCTCCTCATGCTTCTTCCTTTTTTAAAAGTTGAGGTATAAATTCTCTACCAAAAAGAACCAGGAATGTTTGGAGAAATGGCTGATTCCAGATTTGGACGAGGGAAATACAGATGTACATCTAGCTTGCCAAAAGTAAGTGAGTACACAAAAAATGATGGGAACATGTCAAAAGGACACAGGACCCAGCTTGAAGGGGCTCCCTTTGGCCCAATTTGGCACAATTTGAGCATCAAATGGAATAGTGGTAGTAAGAGATTACAGCTTATAGCATAAAATTTTTTATCGATACTGATAAAAATAAGTGTAGAATCCTGACTACGAAATGTAAAAGAATGATGGAATTAGAAAAATCATCATTTGACAGCTGTCATAGGGTATTTAGGCAAGCATCACCAATGAATGCTGAAACAGGTGGGTGAAAGTACAATGAGAAACAGGATATTTACATAGACTCAAAGTGTCTTCCCACAAGATATTTATAAATTACAAGGAAAAACACTAATTTTACAGTAGAGAAATCTGGCAGGCACCATCTAACTAAGTGATCAAAGTGAAAATCACCACATAGATATCAAATGCCTCCTGATGCACTGCACTGAGAATGATGCTTCACTTTGGTGGTATTCCTGCCCACAATGCACAACCTGACTCAGGTCACGAGGAAGCATCAGACAAGCCCAAATTGAGAAGCACTGTTCAAAAATAACTGGACTTTACTCTTCAAAAATGTCAAGGTCACAAGACAAAGACAAATGAACTGCTCCAGATCAAAGAATGCTAAAAAGACATGACCGCGAAACAAAATCCTGGAACAGAAAAATCCATTCATTTATTGTACTCTAAAGGATATTAGTAGGACAATTGACAATTTTTTTTTTTTTTGAGATGGAGTTTTGTCCTCTCGTTGCACAGGCTGGAATGCAATGGCACGATCTCAGCTCACTGCAACCTCCGCTTCCCAGGTGCAAGCGATTCTCCTGTCTCAGCCTCCCCAGTAGATGAGTAGGTGGGATTACAGGCATGTGCCACCACATCCGGCTATTTTTTTTTTTTTTTAGTAGAGACATGGTTTCACCATGTTGGCTAGGCTGGTCTCAAACTCCTGACCTCAGGTGATCCACCTGCTTCGGCCTCCCAAAGTGTTGAGATTACAGGCGTGAGCCACCGCGCCCAGCTGACAAAATTTAAGTAAGTTATCTCATTAGATAATGCTATTATATCAATGTTAATATTTTGGGTTTTTATAATCTTTTAAGAAAATATCCTCATTTCTAGGAAATAAACACCAAAGTATTTAGGAATAAAGAGTCATTGGATTTGTAAGTTACTCTTCAATGTTTCAGAAAAAAACAGAGAGAGAAGCAGAGAAAGAATGATAAAATGAAGGTAGTGAAATGTTAACATTTGGGGAATTTGGAGAATCTGGGTAAAGGGTGTATGGCAATTCTTTATTCTATTTTGCACCTGAAACTATTTCAACATAAAAAGTTAAAAATAATGCAGTGTTAAAAATATATTTCATACACTGGGATTATTAATATGATCCCCAAAGGGGCAATTTATGACTAGAGGCAAAGGTCTAGATTATCATAGGCAAATTCATCATATACATTATTTTATCAGATAAATTGAGCTAATTGTTAATTTGTTAAAGCTGAAGGTTATGACTTGTTTTTGGGTTATTACTAATTATAAACAAATAAGTATACAACTGAAAAAAATTGAAGTGTAATGTACATGTGGTAAAGGACAATTTTGTGTTATGTGTGTGCATGTATATATGTATGTACACACACACGCACACACATACTACTTGACTGATGCTCATTCATTATTTAATCCTCCCAGGAACCTGGTCAGGTGGGCATCATTATTTTTATTTTACAAGAATGAAGGAAACTAAAGAAGTTTCCACACTAGCAAGGGACAGAACTCAGATTTGAACCATTATCCTTGGAATTCCAAAGCCAGTGTTTTAAAGCACTCTGCTACACTAATTATTGATGCTATTGTCATCAACCAATATTGACTGGGTACCAGTTACTTTAAGTCCCTGTGCCCCAGTTTTTTGATTTGTAAAATGGGATCACAACAATACATGCTTAATAAGTTAAGACCTGCTAAGTGCTCAGAACAGTGCCTACATATAGTAAATGCTCACATGTGAGTTATTATTATCACCTACTGTGCATAAGGCACTGGGAATACCATGAGGTCCAAGATGCCATTCTCCACTCCTGGGGCTACTGTCTATCCAGGAAGCCATCCCAGGCAATTCACACTGAGGACTGGCCCGTGGATCTCCAGTCCACAGAACCAAACAGAGGGATGCCTTGGAGGGAGCAGCCTTGGCCAGCAGGACAGAAGTCGGCCTCCCCGTATTGCTCCTTGGTCTGAGAGGAGCTACTGCACTTATTTGGCAGCCATCCTTTTGGTGACTCCCCAGGCAATCTAGAGCTTATCTAGGCCCTCCATCATCCCCCTGGGTCTGCCACCACCAGTGGAATGGTCTTAGTGAATGAGACTTGGCCTTTTGCCTGGAGATCTCCCCACTGGCCCTGGTGGTCCCTGCCAGGATCAGTGAGCATCTAACCAGAAAGAGAGAAACTATTCTAAAAGCATCTAAAACTGGCGGTGATTGTAGGTGATAGAAGAGTGGGGAAACCAAAGAGGCATGACAGTAGGAAGCCACTACTGTCTTCCCCTCCCCCACTCTCCTGCGCCTGGCTGCAGGAACAAGGAGACAGGTGATGCTACTGCACCCCATGGAAGAGACGCAGCTACAGCCTGTAAGCTTCTTCCATTCTCCTACCTGCTGGGCTCTAGGCAGCACCGTCCAGCTGACCCAGGGGCCTGGGAAACCTAGCCTGAAGGGCTCGGCGCCAACCTCGACCCCTGATCCACCCACCCACCCACTACCACAACACTCACGGGCACAGGGGAGGAGAAGGGTGAGGAATAGATCTCAGGGCACATGAGGCCAGCACCAGCCCCTGGCCTTTCCACCTGAGCATTCCAATTACCCACCCTGGCCTGGGCCTGGCCCAGATTTGAGTTCCATAAATGGGTTGAACAAATGATTGACTGTTGGGGAAAAAGGGCACAGTACCTCCCGTCACTGATTTTTTTTTTTTTTTTAGGTGAGTGCCTGGTATAATCACCCTGGACAACTATTTGGCAGCAGCTACTAAAGTGGAACATTTTATGACCTAGCAATTCTACTCCTAAGTGTATACCTAGCAGAGACGTGTCTGTGTGCTCACTGAAAGACATACACACACACACACTGGAGTGATCATAGCAGTGCTTACTGCAATAGCCCCAAACTGGGAACTCCCCAGATACTCATCAACAGTGGAACAGATAAACAAAATGGAATACTGTACAGCAACAAGCGTGAACGATCTATAATTAACCTTCATCAAAGTGGATAACTCTCATTAACATGATGTTGAATGAACGAAGCCAGTCACAAAGGAGAATGCACTGCATGATTCTAGGTATCATAAATAGAAAGGCAGGCAACACTAATGTCTGCTTCAGAAGTCAGGGTAGCGTTCACCCTTGGGGGTGGTGGTGACAGTGAAGGAGTATTTGAGGGGCTTCTGAGGCACCGGCAATGTTCTGTTTCTTCAACCACGTGCAGGTTACACGGTGCGCTCAGTTTTTGAAATTATGTCAAGTTGTACTTATAATTTGCATGCAGCTTCTTGTATGTAATTCTTTTTTTCTTTTTCTTTTTCTTTTCTTTTTTTTTTTTTTGAGATTGAGTCTCACTCTATCACCCAGGCTAGAGTGCCGTGGTGTGATCTCGGCTCACTGCAACCTCTGCCTCCTAGGTTGAAGCGATTCTCCTGCCTCAGCCTCCTGAGTAGCTTGGACTACAGGTGCGTACCACCATGCCCAGCTAATTTTTGTATTTTTAGTAGAGACAGGGTTTTACCATGTTGGCCAGGCTGGTCTTGAACTCCTGACCTCAACTGATCTGCCCCCTTAGGCCTCCCAAAGTGTTGGGATTACAGGCATGAGCGACCATGCCCGGCCTGTAATTCTTTAATAAAAAACGAATACCCTAATGGAAGGACTGTTCTCTTTTCCTACTTCCTGCTTTCTCTAGTGAGCCTCCCTGGAAACCTGATGAAGGAGGAGGCTGGGTTCAGAGATGAGAAAGAAATGAACCCAAAGGACTGGGCTCTTTTTGGGTGCCAAGCCCTGTGCTGAACCCTTAGGAGAATGGTCCAATGACCCATCTGTAACACACAGGCATAACCCCGAGGGGACAGCATCATGGTTATGAGGAATGAGGTTGGAGAGGTGAGGTGACTTGCTTCACATCACACAACTAGTAAGTGTGTGGGGCAGGATTTGAATGCAGGTCACCTCCAAACTCCCCAGGCCAGGTTCCTCATCCCTTTGTTCCTCTAAGATCCAGAGGAAACGGGAGACACAGCTAATGACTATGGCTCCTGGTCTCTGATTCTGATTTTTAAAATAGGAACTACCTTGTCAGTGAACAGGCCCCAGCTCTGACGCTTTCTGGGGACTTTGCACCTCTGCCTCAACCTCGCTGGGACTAAGTAATTTCTAGACACCGAAGATGCCTGATGTCCCTCTCTAAATGAGGTCCAAAGGCTTTGTCCTGGCCTAGGTCAGGCCTAGACATGAGTCCCTGTAACTTCAGGAAAAAGAGAACCAAGTTCAACATGAGCACCAAGAGAAAGCATCCAGCTGGGCTCGGTGGCTTATGCCTGTAATCCCAGCACTTTGGGAGGCCGAGGCAGGTGGATAACTTGAGGTCAGGAGTTCAAGACCAGCCTGGCCAACATAGTGAAACCCTGTCTCTACAAAAATGCAAAATTTAGCTGGGTGTGGTGGTGCACGCCTGCAATTCCAGCTACTCGGGAGGCTGAGGCACAAGAATTGCTTGAACTTGGGAGGTGGAGGTTGCAGTGAGCCAAGATCGCACGCACCACTGCACTCCAGCATGAGCAACAGAGCAAGACTCTGTCTCAAAGAAAAGAAAAGAAAAGAAAATATCCAAACAGCTCACAGTAGAAAGGAAGGTCAAAGGCAGCCCCCAGATAACGGAGAGAAAAACCAAAAGGTGGATATTAGTAATCACCATCTCAGCTTTTTTTTTTTTTTTTTTTTGTCTAAAAGGGTGAATCAGCTGGACGTGGTGGCTCACGCCTGTAATCCCAGCACTTTGGGAGGCCAAGACTGGAGGATCACCTGAGGCTAGGATTTTGAGATAAGCCTGGGCAACATAGCACGACCCTGTCTCTACGAAACAAAACAAAACAAAAAACAAAACAAAAATTAGCCAGGCATGGTGGTGTGCATCTGTAATCTCAGCTACTTGGGAGGCTGAGATGGGCAGATCACTTGAACCCAGGAGTTCGAGGATATAGTGAGCTGTGATTGCGCCACTACACTCCAGCCTGGGCAACACAGTGAGACACTGTCTCAAAAATAAAATAAAATAAAATAATAAAATAAAATAGTGAAGCATAGACTGACTTTCCTTCAATTCTTCAAATGCGCTCTCTTTTCTCTCTGGGCTTTTGCACAAGCTCATCCCTTTCTAAATACCACTCTTCCCTTGGCCTTTGCTTGGGGACTAAGGTTGTGGTGGAGTTTGGCTCACCTGGATTTGAATTCGACTCGGTCTTCACATCTCAGCTAAGACCTTACTTACTCCAGGAAACCTTCCTTGGTGCCTTGAAATCTGGTACACCTTGAACTTCTTCCATTACAGCATTTATCACCCTAAATTGTAATGGTCTATATCAGAGTGGAAGCTCCATGTGAGCAGGGACACCATCAGCTTTGCTGCCCACTGCTGCATGTCCAGGACCAAGCACATAGCAGTTGCTCAATAAATATTTGTTGGAAGACTGAAAGAGTCTTTTTTTTATTTTTATTTTTGGTAGAGACAGGGTCTCTGGCAGCCATCAGATGATAATTTTCACAACTTGCCCATGAGCCTGAGTTCCTTTATCTGATATTGTGTTGTTTTTGTTTGTTTTTAGAGACATGGTCTTGCTCTGTTGCCCAGGCTAGAGTGCAGTAGCATGATCATAGCTCACTGCAGCTTCAAATTCCTGGGCTTGAGTGATCCTCCTGCCTCAGTCTCTCAAGTAGCCGGGACTAGAGGTGCGTGCCATCGTGGCCAGTGGATTAAAAAAATTTTTTTTTTTTTTTGTAGAGACAAGGTCTCACTTTATTGCCCAGGCTGGTCTCCAACTTCTGACCTCAAGTGATTCTCCCACCTTGGCTTCCCAAAGTGCTGGAATTACAGGCATGAGCCACTGCACCCGGTCCCTTTATCTGATTTTTGAGCAGCTTCCCATTTGGGAAAGAAGAGGCCAGGTACTTCTTACTTATGGTTGAAGCTTAATACTTAGAATGGATCAGACCCTATTGTTCAAAACATAAAATCCCACAAAAATGCAGGCAGGAACAACATCCCCATAAAGATACTGGAGGCTAAATCAGAGGAAATGGGCCCAAAAAGGTGGAGGGACTGAGTGGGCAGGAGAGGGTGGCTTCTGGACTCACTCAGAGAGGGCGGTCTCACACACTCTGAGCCCCTTTCTGTTTGTAGCTGTCAAGATAAGCAGAGGCAATTCTCATTGCTTGCCAGAGAAGAAATGCCTCTCTGAAGCAGGGTTTCTCAACCTCAGCACTACTGATATTTGGGGCCAGATAATTCTTTGCTGTGGGAGCTGTTTTGTGTGTTGAAGGGTGTTCAGTGTAGCGGGTTGAATAGTTTTCTTCCAAAATTCATGCCCATCTGGTCTGATTTCAGCCCCACCCTGGGAATAGCTATGTGACCTTCAGCAAGTTGCTTAATTTCTTGGAACCTCAGCCTCCCTGTGAGTAAAACGGGGGTTAATGAAGGTACCTGAATTTCACAGAATCCTCAGGCTAATGAAATGATATAATGCATAGACTGCTTAGCACAGTGTTGAGCATACAGCTAGCACTCAGTAAATAATAACTGTGACTCTGGAATAAGGGTCTTAGCAGATGTAATTAGCTAAGGATCTCAAGATGAAAGAATTCTGGGTTTAGGGTTGGCTGTAAATCTAATGATGTACAATTATTATTTGTCAATTAAAGAAAAATAAATCTTACAACTGGTGTCCTTATAAGAAGAGGAGGGGACACACAAAGCCACAGGGAAGAAGTCCATGCAAAGATGGAGGCAGAGATTGGAGTGATGTAGCTACAATCTAAGGAATGACAAGATTGCCAGGAGCCACCAGAAGCTGGGAAGAGGCAAGAAAAGATTCCTCCTAGAGCCTTCAGAGGGAGAGTGGCTGTGCAGACACCTTGCCTCCAGACTTCTGGCCTCCGGAACTGTGAGATGATACATTTCTGTTGTTCTTATGGTAATTTGTTACAGCAACCCTAGTAAACTAATACCCACAGCATCTCTGGCTCCACCCACGAAATGCCAATCTCACCCCCTCAGTTAGGACAAACAAAAATGCCTCAGACATTGCCAAATGTCGCCTGGGGAGAGGGGGCCAAATCTTTCTTGCCAACTCGCTGAGAACCCCTGCTCTAACAGAGTGGATTTGTGGAAAAGACAGAGCAATGTGGGATAAGCCTGGATTTGAATTTCGGCCCCACCCCGAATGGCTACGTGACCTTGGACAAGTTGCTTAACTTCTCTGAACCTCAGTCTGTGTATGAGTAAAACGAGGCTAATGCAGGTACCTGTATCTCGCAGAATCATTATGCTGATGAAATGAGATAATGTGCAGAAGGTGCTTAGCACACAGCTAGCACTCGAGAAATATAGTACCTGAAACAATACTTGTTATAAGTGTTTTTTATTAAGCAATAATAATATTACCTAATTGGTAATAAATATATTAAGAAATAACAATGACAATTAAATTATCATTATTATCATTTAAAGCCTGCAAGCTGACTCAGTTTCTCAGGTAGTAATCTACTATAGACTGCTGCCAAACTGGGGCAGTGGCTCCTCTCAGAGGAGGAGGTGCTGGGGTGCCCATCTTGGTGTCATACTTTCCAAACTGCTGCTTCTTCTTACTTTATCCCATTTGATGGTATATTAGCCTGATGATATCCTTGTAACATGCATAGGGTAAACGCTTAAAATGTCATCCCCACTTTACAGAGGTGGACACTAAGGCACAAAAACATTAAGTTATTACCAAAGTAATTACCAGTAGCCAAGCCAGGGCTGGAACCCTGGGCCGTTTAAACACGATCTGCTCCTGACTCCCCTACCTCCAAGGCATCCCCTTTCCCACTTCTTTGAGACACCTGTTACTACCCACCTCCCCTTACAAAGCCTGGCTCCAAGAAAAGAAGCAGATACCCTACAGCTTAGAGTGACTTTATATTCAATAGTCATCTTTTCGAGGGATATTTGCACAGTGAACCTCTGTCTAGTGGGCAGACAGGTAGTTTTTGGAGCTGACGTGAAATCCTCAGGTAGGTGGAGTCCAGGTGTATTTATTAGTCGGGGTCCTGTAGGAAACAGAACCCTACTCCGTTCAGCTGAAGAGACCTTACTGATGGGACTGTTTACATTCACATGGGACTGTGAATAAGGGAACCTGCGAAGATGGTTGTGGCACCCAGGGACCAGCAGCATTCCAGGTAATTCTAGGTGAGACGGGGAAGGGGAGGGATGATAAAAGCAGAGTCGAGCAGGGCTGGCATTGTGCGTGAGGGTCAGCCAGACACGAGGTATGATCAAGGAGAGGCTGTGCGCCGCCAAAACTGGGGTGGGAAAGCGGAGAAGAAATACACAGGGCGCTCTCCCTTCCCGCCCTCCTGTCTCCTTGGATGCCTCTTATTGGCTGAAACCAACCCGAAGTCAGCCGCAAAGGAGCCTGGGAAATGGAGTCCACAGGAACCAGCCTCCCAGGGCTTAGGGCAGAGAGGGACAGGATTATGGGGAAGGGGGTTGAGGGAGGGAGCATCACTAGCACACGGATGGGTGGGGTGGTGATTTGAAGGGGTAAAGGGAAAATCAGCAGCACAGGCGAAGTGCTGATGTGGTGATAACCATATTTGTATGAACTCTTCTGCTAGGAACAGAACGCCTGGAAACATACTGACTTTGTATTCTTGGTGCTTGCTTTAAAAATCAAACAACTTTGCTTGCTAAGTTGCCAGGACCGAGAAGGGGGCAGAAAGGAGGAGGAGACCTCCTTGGAAGATAGTTGAATCTGAAGGAGGTGAAGGGATGAGCCATGTGTTTGTCTGGGGGAAGAGTGTCCAGGCAGAGGAACTACCGGGATGAAGGCTGGGAGGCAGGAGGATGCCTGTCACGATTGAGAAACAGCCAGGAGACCAGTGTGGCTAGAAAGGACTAAGTGAAAGGGTCGGGGTAGGAGGGGAGACGAGGTCAGAGAGGAAATAGCTGGGTAATAGACAAGGTCAGCCATAGTAAAGCACTTTGGGTTTTACTCTGAATGAGTTGAGAAGTCATTGGAAGGCTCTGTTAGGAAGAGGCATAATCTAACTTATGTTTAACAGGATCCCTCTGGCTGTTGTGTGGTGAATGCACTACAGGAGGTGGAGGTGAGAACAAAAGGGGATAAGAATTTGGGATTTAGCAGCATTTCCCTCCCTCCCTCCCTCCTTTCCTTCCTTCCTTCTTTCCTACCTTCCTTCCTTCTTCCTTTCTTTCTCTTCCTTCCCTTCCCCTCTTCTTTCTCTTCCTTTTCTTCTCCTCCCCCTTCCCCTCCTCTTTTTCTTCTTTCAGGTGTTTTTTTTGCCTTTTTTTTTTTTTTTTTTTTTTGAGACAGGATCACTCTGTTGCCCAGGCTGGAGTGCAGTGGCGTGATCTTGGGTCACTGCAACCTCTGCCTCCCCGGTTCAAGCAATTCTCCTGCTTCAGCCTCCCAAGTACCTGGGATTACAGAAACGCGACACCATACCTGGCTAATTTTTGTATTTTTAGTAGAGATGGGGTTTCACCATGTTGGTCAGGCTGGTCTCGAACTCCTGACCTCAGGTGATCTGCCCACCTCGGCCTCCCAAAGTGCTTGGATTACAGGCATGAGCCATTGCGCCCGGCCTCATCTTGCAGTTTTATTGACTCACAACAAACTGCAGAGTGAGGAGATAACTGCAATAATGTAGACAAAAGATGATGGTGGCTTGGACTGGGGTGGTTGTAGTAATGAGAAGAGGTCAAGTTCTAGCTTTGCTCTGAAGGTTGGGCCAGTGGGATCTGCTTACAGATCAGATGTGGAGGTGAGAGAAGGAGGAGAGTTAAGAGTTAGTCAAGGATTACTCCCAGGTTTGTTGGAAGGAGTAATGAAGTTGTCCTGGAGGGATGAAGTTGTCAGATACTGAGATGGGGAAGAATGGGTTTGGAGGGAGGGGGAAAGTCATGAGTTTAGTGGAGGTATGTTAAGTTTTACGTGTCCATTACACATGCAAGTGCAGATGTTGAGTAGGTGATTAGATGTAGACAAGGCTGGAGTAGAGAAGACAGCATGTTTATTTGTTTGCTTTACAGCTTTATTGAGGTGTAATTGAAATAAAACAAACTGCAAGTATATAAATATTGTACAGTGTACAACTTGAGAAAGTTTTTTTTTTTTTTCTTTTTTTTTTTTTTCAGCTGGAGTCTCACTCTGTCACCAGGCTGGAGTGCAGCGTTATGATCTTGGCTTACTGCAACCTTTGCCTCCCTGGTTCAAGTGATTCTCCTGCCTTAGCCTCCCAAGTAGCTGGGACTACAGGCGCACGCCACCACGCCCAGCTAAGTTTTGTATTTTTAGTAGAGACAGGGCTTCACCATGTTGGCGAGGACGGTCTAGATCTCTTGACCTCGTGATCTGCCTGCCTTGGTCTCCCGAAGTGCTGGGGTTACAGGTGTGAGCTACCGCGTCTGGATGATAAGTTTTGATATATGTTTATACCCATGAAATCGCTCCCAAAAGCTTCCTTGTGCCCCTGTGTGATCCCCTCCACCATATTCCCACTTCCCTGCCCCCTCCATATCCCAAGCAGCCATTAATCTGCTCTTCATCATTGTAAATTAGTTTACACTTTCTAGCATTTTATACAAATAGAATCATACAGCATGTACTCTTTCTAAAATCTGACTTCTTTCACTCAAACTATTTTGAGATTTATGCATGTTGTTGCCTGCGTCCATGGTTCATTCCTTTCCTTTTTTTTTGGATGATGTATAGCGTTCTATGGCTCATATATATGTGTGGATTTGTTTCTGGACTCTATTTTATTCCATTGATCCATTGTTGATTTGTCACCAATGGCATGCTGTCTCAATTACTGTAGCATTATAACAAGTCTTACAGTCAGGTAATGTAAGTCATTCAACTTTGTTCTTCCTCTTCCTTTGTTCTTTCTTCTAAAGTTGTTTTTTCTTTGTTCTTTGAATTTCCGTGTGGCTGTTAGAATCAGCTTATCAATTCACAAAAATAAAGTCTGATGGGATTTTAATTACAGTTGCATTGACTCTACAGATTAATTACAGGATAACTGATAGCTTAATATTTAGCGCTGTGATCCATGAAGGTGGTCTCTCTCTCTCTCTCTCTCTCTCTCTCTCTCTGCAGTACAGGCATTTTAGTATTTTAAATTTGTGTCTAAATACTGCTTTGGATGCATACTATTGATTTTAATATATGGTGTTTAATTTTTATTCAATTTAAAGTACTTTCTAATTTCCTTATTGATTTTTTTAACCTATTTGTGATTTAAGAGTGTGTTATCTTGTTTCTAAATATTAGAGGTTTTTCCAAATGTCTTTCTGTTTCATTTCTAATTTAATTCTATTGTGGTGAGAGAACATAACTTTGTATGGCAAATACTTTTAAATGTATTGAAATTTATTGTTTAACGAATATGGTCTTCTTAGTAATGTTCTGTGTGCACTTGGAAAGAATGTGAGTTCTGCTGTTGTTGGGTGGAGTGTTTCAGAAATGTCCGTTAGGACACTTCAGTTAATAAAGCTGCTCAAATCTTCTATTTCCTTACTTATTTTTATGTCCATTTAGCCTATCAATTTTTGAGAGATTGGTGTTGATATCTTTGAAGTCTTTAATTGTGAATTCGTCTGTCTGTTTCTTCTTGCAGTTCTATTGGTTTTTGCTTCATGGATTTTGAAGCTGTCTTATTGGATGCATAAATATCATGTCTTTATGAATTCATCCCTTTATTATTATAAACTGACCCTGTTTATTACAGGTAATATCCTTTGCTCTGAAATCTACTATGTCTGATATTAACATAATTACTTCACCTTTCTTTGGTGTTTGTATTATTGTTTGACTAGTGTTTGCATCTTTTTCCCTTTTACTTTTAACCCACTTGTGTCTTTATATTTAAAGTGTATTTTTTATAGGCAGCATGTATTTAGGTTTTGCTTTTTTATTCAATCAGATAACCTTTGCCTTTTAATCAGAATGTTTAGACCAATTCCCTTTGGTGTAATTATTGATATGGTTGGATTTTAATCTACCATCTTGATATTTTCTACTTATTCTTTTTTAAAAACAGCTTTATTGATATATAATTCACATACTTAACAATTCACCCACTTAAAGAGTAAATTCAGTGACTGTTACTATATTCAAAAGTTGTGCATCTATCACCCCAGTCAATTGTAGAACGTTTTTCTTACCCCAGAAGAAACTCCACATGCCTTATTCATCACTTATCCCTCATTTTCCCTATCCCGGCCATAAACAACCACTAATCTATTTCTTGTCTCCATGTATCTGCTTATTTTTGACATTTCATATACATAAAATCATACAATATGTGGTCCTTTGTGATTTTCTTTCTTTTTACTTATCGTAATGTTTTCATGCTTTGTCCTTGTTGTATGTATCCATACTTCATTCGTTTTTTATTGCCAAATAATATTACATTTTATAGATACAACATTTGTTCATCTGCTCATCAGTTGATAGGCATTTGTGTCTTTTTGGTTAGTTTAAATAATACCACTGTGCACATTCATGTACAAGTTCATGCATGGATATGTGTTTTAATTTCTTTTGAGTATATACTAGGAGTAGAATTGGTGGATCACATGGTAACTCTATGTTTAGCCTTTTAGTAACAACCAAACTTTGTTTTCTGAAGGAGCTGCACCATTTTCCATTCCCACCAGCAGTTTATGGGGGTTCCAATTTCTCCACATTCTTACTGATACTTGTTTTTATCTGTCTTTTTAATTATATATTATATGTTCTATTATATATTATGCTTCCATGATGACTAATGATGTTGGGCATCTTTTCATGTGCTTATTGATCACTTGTATATCTTTTTTGGATAAATGTCCATTCAAATCATTTGCTTATTTATTTATTACTTTTTTGAGACGGAGTTTCGCTCTTGTTGCCAGGCTGGAATGCAATGGCGTGATCTCGGCTCACTGCAACTTCCGCCTCCCGGGTTCAAGTGATGTCCGCCACCACACCTGGCTAAATTTTGTGTTTTTAGTAGAGACAGGGTTTCACCATGTTGGCTAGGCTGGTTTTGAACTCCTGACCTCAAGTGATCTGCCCGCCTCAGCCTCCCAAAGTGCTGGGATTACCGGCATGAGCCACTGAGCCTGGCCTATTTGCTTATCTTTTAATTATTGAGTTGTAATAATAGTTCTTTATGTATCCTGGATATAAATCTCTCATCATATATATGATTTGCAATTTTTCTCTCATTCTGTGGATTGTCTTTTCACTTTCTTGATGGTGTTCTATGAAGCACAAAAGTTTTTAATAAGTCCAACTTATCTATTTTTTCTTTATTGCCTTGCTTCTATTTGTTCTTTTTGTTTATATTTCCCTTTTTCTGCCTTCTTTTGGATCCATTCGAATATTTTATAATTCCACTTTATCTCCTTTGTTGACTTAGCTGTATTAGTTTCATAGGCTATTGTGATATATTGCCACAAACTTTGTGGCTTAAAACAACACAAATTTATTCTCTTATAGTTCCAGAGGCCAGAAGTCCAAAATGGGTCTCACTCAGCAGGGCTGTATTTTCTCTAGAGGCTTAAGGGGAGAATTCTCCAGTTTTTAGAGCTTCATTCCTTGCATTCCTTGGCTCCTAGGCCCTCTCCTCCATCTTCAAAGTCCACAGCATAGCATCTTCAAGTCTCTCTCTGCTGAGGTTGTCACATTGCTTTCTCTCTTCTGTAGTAGAATCTCCTTCTGCCTCCCTCTTGTAAGGACACTTGTGATTGCTTTTAGGGCCCACTTACATAATCCAGGATAACCACTCCATTTTAAGACCTTTAACTTAATCGCTAAAATTGTTAAGACCTTTTCCCCCTTTACAAGGTAATATTCATAGGTTCCAATGATTAGAACCTGGATATCTTTGCGGGCCATTGTTCTGTCTACCACATTGTCTAGACATTCAGTCTAGAGTTAAAGCTACTCTTTTAGTTTTATGTCTTTGCTGTGTCATTTTTGTCATTGCTTTGGGGTTTATGGTACATTTCTTTAACTTAGTACAGTCTATCTTCAAGTGTTATTATACCACTTTATGTATAGTATAAGAACTTTATACCATCACACTCCCATTTCTCCTCTACTATCATTGTCATACATTTCACTTATAAACTCTACAATGTAAATGTTTTTTTTTTCTTTCTTTCTTTCTTTTGAGATGGAGTTTTTTGCTCTTGTCACCCTGGCTGGAATGCAATGGCCCGATCTGGGCTCACTGCAACCTCTGCCTCCTGGGTTCAAGCAATTCTCCTGCCTCAGACTCCCAAGTAGCTGAGATTACAGGTATGTGCCACCACGCCCGGCTAATTTCATATTTTTTTTAGTAGAGACAAGGTTTCACCATGTTGGTCAGGCTGATCTCAAACTCCTGACCTCAAGTGATCCACTGGCCTCTGCCTCCCAAAGTGCTGGGATTACAGGCATGAGCCACCGTGCTTAGCTACAATGTAAATGTTGTAAACTCTACAATACATAATTTTTGTTATATAAAGTTATTTATCTTTCAAAGAAAATTAAATAATGAGAGAAATATATTTACTTATCCACTTAGTTACCATTTCTAGTGCTCTTCATTTCTTTGTGTTGATCCAGATTTCCATCTGGTATCATCTTCTTTCTGCCTGAAGGACATCCTTTAACATATCTTGTATAGTGAAGCTCTTCTGGCAACAAATTCTTTCAAGCTTTTGAATATCTGAAAAAAATATTTATTTTGTCTTTATTTTTAAAAGATATTTTTGCTGTGTAAAGTATTCTAGTTTGACAGGTGTTTTTTTTTTTCTTTCAGAACTCTACCAGCTTGAATTGTTACCTACAAGAAATCTATCATTTTAATCCTTGATTCTTTGTATATACTGTGTCTTTTTTTTTTTTCCTGGCTGCTTCTAAGGTTTTCTGTTTATCCCTAGTTGTAAGCAATTTAGTTATGGTATCTTTGGTGTCATTTTCCTCATGTTTATTGTTATATGAGGTTGGTTGAACTTCTTAGATCTATAGGTTTGTAATTTTCATCAAATGTGGAAAAATTCAGCCATTATTTCTTCAAATATTTTTTCTGTCTCCTCCTCACTTCTGAAGACGAGCAGGATCAAGGAAAGACACTACAAAGGAAAATATCAAGAGAAGGCAGTACAAAGGAAAATGTACTAAGCTTCTTACATTTTAGAGATGCACATTTGCATAGTCAGGCCTTTAATCTAGGAAAATAATAACCCAGAGCTTGCTCCATGCCTGGTACCTGGTTAAATGTAATCTCAATGAACTCTTCCAACACCTTAGTGGGAATGGCTTTGGATGGATAGGAGAAGGACTGGGATGGAAAGGAATGAGTAATGATTAAAGGTACAAGCTTTCGGCTCTAGCTCTGCATGTCACCTGCTGTTTGACTGAGTAATTCACATCGCCTCTCTGGCTTTCACTTCCTCACCTATACAAATGAGGTGAGTAATAGTGTAACTGGCCAAGTCCAGCTGCTCACCGCTTGGAGGCCAAAAACACAAGAAGCAAGTTGTGGTGAAAGGAAAGCAACTTTATTCAAATGCTAGCAGTTGGGGAATGGACAGGCCCATGCCTCTGAAAGACCATTCTAACTTTTTGGGCTGAGTGAAGGGGTTTAAGAAGGAAAAAGGTGAGAGAAACGCGGGAGTGGTGCAGCAGGAGGTCTTGTTATCTTGAGTCATCGCCTGTCTGGAGGACCGGTTTGCATCATGCTGACTGCGGTAGTGGTGGGCTAACTGCTCCTAACTCCCCCTAATCAGAGGGTTCCACAGCTGGGTCTCTCTGCCTGGCTTGTTTCAAAATCGATCCCTGGAATTTCTAAGCAAGCACATAATTAGATAAGCGAGTACTGTTCATAGAAGTGGCTGGTGGGAAAAGGCAAAACAAAAAGTTTCAAAGTATGTTTCAAGGCTGGAAGCAAGAAGGGAAAAATGTTTTAAAACGCAGTTTGAGGCTGGGATACTTGGTTACAATAGTACTTATTTTACAGGGTTAGGGGACAAAGCACTCGAATGTTTGCTGTTATTACTATTATTTTTTTGTTTGCCAATATTTGAAATATCCCTCTTCCTTACTAACTCAATTCTTCCTTAACATCGATTAAAGCGATATATGTTGCTCAGCTGTGACAGACTCTACTGATTGAGGATTGAGCCAGGGTCTGTTTATTTCCTTTTTCAGATCCACGTCTCTGGAGCTATCCCTGGGATATGGAGGTTTTCAGGATTAATAACTGGATGAGATACCAGCTCAGATCAGCCTCAGTCTCCTTTTCCCATCTTGCTTTTCTCCCCTCCTCTTCTCCACTCTGTTGCCTCTGGATTTTCCAGGGTAGAGCCCGAGAGCACAAGGGGAGACGTTAAGAGGCAGAGGAGGTCTCACATGACAGCAGTGATTTCGGACTTATGCTCTTGTGACCAGCTTGTGCCCCAAAGCTTCTCACTCCCAAGGCCTACTGTGGGTTCCCTAATGATTCTCCCACTGATGAATCCCACTGATTCCCTGATCCCACAGTGTTTTTTCTTAAGATTCCTCTTGATCTTCTGCATTTTATGATATGCCTCCAGCCTCTTTCTGTGGAGACATCTGACTTGTGAAAATCCTTTATCTTGCCCCATCTTGGTGTCAGAGCAGTCTGCTCCCTGGGAGCCCTTGCCCCTGCCTCCCACTTAGATGTACATATCCCTCCAGCCTCTACTTTTAACTTCTTGGGGCATGAGGCAGATGTCAGCCCCTTGCCCCCAAACTCCAGAGCCTCAATAAGCTCATCTGGTGACAGTCTGGAGACCCCTCATTTGGTATGTGAAACCCCTCCTGTAGTAACCCCTCCTATGCCTTTCCTTACAGAGAAAGTCCACAGTACTAGGACAGCTGTCGCCAAAGGAATTGTCACTTCTCAATGGTGTACCAAGAGCAGGGCAGTGGGAGGTTCTACCTACGGTGTAGGAAATAATTTAGAATTGCAAAGTCCGTAAAGACCTTTAAAACAATAATAAAATCAACCAAAAGTTGGTCTTTTAAAAATTGTTACTGGGTGCTGGCAATTCTAAACAATGACAGCAACAAAATTCTCCTGCCCCTAAAAATCATGTGTGGGTCTAAGTCCTAAATAACTGCTACAGTTAATGTTGAGCTTTTATGATACACATTTTGGCTTCAAATTGGCATATTTCGATTCAGAGAACTCCTTGCTATACAATCATCCCCTGAAACTCACAGACTCAGTTACACTCATTTATTTTGTGAATAAGTTTCTATAGGTTTGGAAAAGTTTGGGCTTGTTTTGGGTAAAGTTCTCATCTCCAGCTCCTGTGGTATAATATATTCTTGCATTTGAACAATGGTTCAAAATAAGTGATGATAGTGCAGTGATTGCAAAGACAAAGAAATGGAACTTGAGTTACTTCAGTTTTGTTATTCCGTGTGACTTTTTTGGAATTTTAATTTGTGTTTAAAAGCTAAGGCAGTGGCCGGGCGCGGTGGCTCACACCTGCAATCCTAGCAGTTTGGTAGGCCAAGGCAGGCAGATCACGAGGTCAGGAGTTCGAGATCAGCCTGAT
The DNA here is from genome assembly GCF_000001405.40 of Homo sapiens. Classification (NCBI taxonomy): domain Eukaryota; kingdom Metazoa; phylum Chordata; class Mammalia; order Primates; family Hominidae; genus Homo; species Homo sapiens. The sequence goes on from NC_000016.10 coordinate 58,245,773, forward strand.
CAACATGGTGAAACCCCGTCTCTACTAAAAATACAAAAATTAGCTGGGTGTGGTGGCATGTGCCTGTAATCTCAGCTACTCAGGAGGCTGAGGCAGGAGAATCGCTTGAACCAGGGAGGCAGAGGTTGCAGTGAGCCTAGATGGCACCATTATATTCCAGCCTGGGCAACAGAGTGAGACTCCATCTCACAAAATAAATAAATAAATAAATAAATAAATAAATAGATAAATAAAAAATTAAGGCAGTGATGTCCATCAATGGATGAATGGATAAACAAAAGTGGTGTATCTATACAACAGAATATTATTAAGCCTTAAAAAGAAGGGAAATTCTGACACATGCTGCCATACAAATGAACCTTAAAGACATGCTAAGTGAAATAAGCCAGTCACAAAAAGACGATAGTATATGACCCTGCTAATGTAAGGTACCTAGAGTAGTCAAATTCATAGAGACAGAAAGTAGAACTGTGGTTGCCAGGGACTGGAGGGAGGGGGAAGCAGGTATAGAGTTTTATAATGAATATAGAGTTTCCATTTTGCAAGATAAAAAAGTTCTGGGGATTGGTTGCACAACCATGTGATCATACTTAACACTACTGTATTGTACACTTAGAAGTGGTTAAGATGGGCTGGGCGCTGTGGCTCACGCCTGTAATCACAGCACTTTGGGAGGCCGAGGCGGGTGGATCACGAGGTCAGGAGATCAGGACCATCCTGGCTAACACGGTGAAACCCCATCTCTACTAAAAATACAAAAAATTAGCTGGGCGTGGTGGCGAGTGCCTGTAGTCCCAGCTACTCGGGAGGCTGAGGAAGGAGAATGGCATGAACCCGGAAAGGGGAGCTTGCAGTGAGCCGAGATCGCGCCACTGCACTCCAGTCGGGGCGACAGAGCGAGACTCCATCTCAAAAAAAAAAAAAAGAAGTGGTTAAGATGGTAAATTTTACAGGCCGGGTGCGGTGGCTCACACCTCTAATCCCAGCACTTTGGGAGGCCAAGGCGGGTGGATCACGAGGTCAAGAGTTTGAGAACAGCCTGACCAACATGGTGAAACCCCGTCTCTACTAAAAATACAAAAAATTACTCAGGCATGGTGGCAGGTGCCTGTAATCCCAACTACTCGGGAGGCTCGGGCAGGAGAATCGCTTGAACCCAGGAGGTGGAGGTTGCAGTGAGCTGAGATCACACCATTGCCCTCCAGCCTGGGCGACAAGAGTGAGAATCCATCTAAAAAAAAAAGATGGTAAATTTTATGTTATTATTTTTTTCTTTTTCTTTTCACCTGCCTCAGCCTCCCAACGTGCTAGGATTTAGAGGTGTGAGCCACTGCGCCCGGCCATGTTATGTATTTTTTAACCACAATTTTTAAAACATGTAAAGCAGCTTGACCAGCAAGGTGATCCAAACAATATTTTTGTTTGGCAAATGCAAACTTTAGTTCATACATGTAATATGTTACCAAATTAGAATAATATCTTTAAGATTGAAATTTATTCTTTGTGTTGGTTTGAGTCCTCCAAACCAAGATAAAATTAGACATGAAGAGATCTCTTTCTTGGGGAAATCGTCTGTGATGGACAAAGGAGAGGAAGCTGGAGTAGACAAGGACAGCCTCCCACTGTGATGACATCTGGGAGAGGACGGAGTGAGGGCCAGGGAGCAGGCATCCCAGATCAAAGCACGGCGCTAACAAAGTTCCAGCCAGCCTGATCGGGAGTCTTTGAGTCCATGATGCCAATTAGGCCAGGTACAGTGGCTAATGCCTGTGATCCCAACACTTTGAGAGGCTAAGGCAGGAGGAGCGCTGAAGGGTAGAGTTCCAGACTAACATGGGCAACATAGCGAGACCCCCATTTCTACAGAAAAACAAAAAACAAAAAACAAAACAAAACAAAAAACAGAGAGAGAAAGAAAAAAAAAAATTAGCCAGGCATGGTGGCATGCATCTGTAGTCCCAGCAACTCTGGAAGGTGAGGTAGGAAGATTGATTGAGCCCAGGAATTCAAGGCTGCATTGATCTATGATCGTGCCACTGCACCGCACTCCAGCCTGGGCAGCAGAGTGTGATCCTGTCTCAAAAAAGTAAAAATAAACTCTCCCTTCCAAAAAAAAAAAAGAACAGAGTTTCCAATTAGATGTGTCCCCTGGGGCCATTTCTCTCTCCACACAAAATAGATGACCAGCCACACCACCACTCACAACTCTGCCAGTTGGGAAGCTTTCCCTCTCTACTGTCTTTCACTACCTTTCGTGAAGTGGTTGTAATGCAGCCACTGTCCATTTTTGGCTTCCAAGCCAGCCCATCTGTAAACTGAGCTCAAGCCTTTGCCTTCTCTTCCAGGTGGTCATGAACTCCCCAAGCCCCTGCAAATATAGTGATAAATTTGAGCTGGGGGAGGGATCCTGGTGCAAATGTGGTGGGTGCCATGTTGGTCTGGGCTACCTGCTCATGCAGCTTACTCATGCTTTCTGGTCCTGCTGGAGCCCAATGCTGGATTAACCATTTCCATTTGCAATGGACTGAGGCTGGGCCTGTCCTGCTTAATAACTCAGCTGGTAGAGGGCAGGACTGGATGCATGGTCACTTGGTACCCCATATATCCAGCGTTCTGTCTCTACCAGGGTATAGTAACAGGCCAGGAGTTATTTCTCAAAAGACACGTAATTCTCTGCTGTGGATTGTATGGTCTTGTTTCAGAATCCTGGGTCCTTTATTGTGATTCTCCTGCTGGGTCTTGCTTTAAGATTCCTGCTGCATCTTTTTTCACCACTGACACCCCCAATGCCATAGAGTCTGTTGTATCACACAGCCCAGTTGGCAGGGCTGTTTGCATCATAGCCTCGAATTGCTACAGAGCCCATTCTTGCTCTGGGTTCACTTGGAGCTGGCATCTATTTATGTCACCTGGGGATAGCATCCATTTGTGTCACCTTGTATATGGACATATTAAGTATTGCTAAATGTGGTCTGCATTGTCCCTAGAACCTAAAGAGGCCTACCACCAGAGAGAAGGTGGTAGGGCTCCAGCTCTCTGCTGTCATCTCCAGTGATTCTATTCTGGCCCCAACCTTGTGCACCCTGAGCAGCAAAACAAAAACCCTCCCTCAGATCCAGGGAGTGCCTGTCAATGCTAATGCATGCCCCTTGCAGGGGAAGGGGGCTGACCCGCTCCCCAAGCACTTCATCACAGCTTGCTTTCTAAGCACATCCAGAGTTCACCCTCCCTAGGAGAAGTCTCCCCGTCCTGCCCTCTGTCCTCTTTCATCCCCATGGGGAGCAGAGAGAGAGCTCCTGTGTTGCCTCCCTGATCCTTACCATGTCCCACATCAGCGTAGAAGTTAACAGCATGGACTTTGGGTTCCACCGGAGCTTGATTCCATTCTTGAGTGGAATGGAACCTAAGCTACTCCATTCCTTGGTTTTCTGATCTGTAAGATGACGGCAATAATACCAACTGTACCAGATTGTTTTGAGGATTTAAGGAGATGACTACGATGCACAGTGTGACGCATGATGTTGCTGTCATCACCCCAGGTTCCAGCGGCTTGTTTAGAGGCTGTTTCACTCATTTAATTGGAAGCTCCTTGAAGATCAGAATGGTCTTTTCCAGACATTCCCCCTAGGATACTAAGGACACAGTAGATATTCAGTAACTATTTAGGGATGTCTCTTGAATGTATACCCATTTTTATCAGCCACGTTTTTTTCCTTCCAGAAATGCAGGATGTTAATATCTGAGAGGAGCTGCTGTTAGCATGTAGGAAGCACCAGGTGGTGAACAGAGCAGGGGCCTCCCAGTGGGACAGGGGAAGAAGGACACTATGATAAATCGTGTTAATTTTCTAGGCCCCAGTTTCCTTATTGGGAGAATGGAGAGATTGATAGATACCATTACAAGGTTGTGGCGAAGGTTTTCATAAACTATGCTTAACACGCTGCCAAGGACACAGTAAGGGCTGAGAAACAGCAGCTGCTATTATTACTATCAATTTAAGAGTTATTGTTAAAGAAGTGAAACTGAACGCGCTTAGGTGTGCGCTCAAAGCCAGCAACCTGGCTGGGTCCGCACGGAGACAGGCGGGGCAGCGCGGGGAGGGGCCACCGGAAGCCCCACCCCTTTCCTCGCGTCCGGTCGCCCGGGCAACGCGCCACCGCGTCGCAGCCGGAGTGACGCGTGGCCGCCGGCACCCGGAGCTCCTGGGCACACGGCATTGGCAGGGGCCGCTTCGGCAGAGTGATGACTGATGATGAGTCCGAGAGCGTCCTCTCCGACTCCCATGAAGGGTCGGAGCTGGAGCTGCCTGTTATCCAGCTGTGCGGGCTGGTGGAGGAGCTCAGGTACCGCCGCCCGCGCCTGGGGGCCGCCCCTCTTCCTCCTAGGCCCTCCTCTCCGGGCGGCCTCGGACTTGGGGACCAGCATGGAGAAGATCCAAGCCCTCACTGAGCACTGGGGAGACTTTTCCTCTTTACTCCTTACTCCACCACCACTGAGCCAACAAGCTGTTGGTGGAGCTAGAACGGGGTGGTAGGGCGAGGGGATGGGGCCGGTGGTGAGAAGCCCAGAGGGTAATTGGGGAAGTGAGGGTTTCAGCCGGAGGAGTCTCTCTCATGCCAGACGGTGTGCTTAGCCGATCCACAATTCTACAGCAGCAATTTGGACCAGGTGACTTCTAAGCCCTTTTCTGATGCTAAGATTCTATGATAAGGCTGGGCGCGGTGGCTCACGCCTGTAATCTCAGCACTTTAGGAGGCCGAGGCGGACGGATCGCTTGAGGTCAGGAGTTCGAGACCAGCCTGGCCAACATGGTGAAACCCCGTATCTACTAAAGATACAAAAATTAGCCAGGCGTGGTGGCGCGTGCCTGTAATCCCATCTACTCTGGAGGCTGAGGCAGGAGAATCACTTGAACTTGGGAGGCGGAGGTTGCAGTGAGCCGAGATTGTGCCACTGCACCCCAGCCTGGGCAACAGAGAGGGACTAAGTCTCAAAAAAAAAAAAAAAAAAAATTATATGATAAAACTAACACGGCAGCAGAATAGAAAGCAAGCTATTGAGATGGTTTTAGTATGAGGCAATGTGTGCCTGAACCTGGATATAAGCATGGAGATGGACAGTAAAGAATGGCCCGATAGTCTGCGTTTATTTTGTTTTATTTTATTTTGCAGTCTGCTTTATATATTCTACTATAGCAAGTAAATTGGATATAAAGATTCCATGATGTAGTTAAGATTAGTTGTACAACTTACTGGTCTTGCACAGAATATCCTAGCTCTAGCAGCTGAATAGATGTTACTTCTATACATCTACAAATACTTTAGGTCAGAACTGAGGTATTATTACTAACAGCTCTCATTTTTGAGTGTTTCTATGTACCATGCATTTACATATATGATCTTATATGATGACACTGCAACCCTAGGAAGTGGGTAAGGAAACAAAGACGCAGAGGTGAAGTCACTTCCCTAAGTTCACACAGTCAGTGGTAGTGCTGGGATTCAAACTCAGGTGTGACTCCACAGACTACATACACCTGGAGCATGCTCTATGCTGAAAAAGCAAGCTACTTTGATAGATTGTGTTTTCCATTCAGCTTTTTCCACTAGTTTGTTTTGTTTTGTTTTGTTTTTGATACGGAATCTCACTCGCTCTGTCGCCCAGGCTGAAGTACAATGGCATGATCTCGGCTCACTGCAACCTCTGCTTCCCAGGTTCAAGTGATTCTCCTGCCTCAGACCCCTGAATAGCTGGGATTACAGGCACCTGCCACCACACCCAGCTAATTCTTGTACTTTTAGTAGAGATGGGGTTTCACAATGTTGATCAGGCTGGTCTCGAACTCCTGACCTCAGGTGATCCACCTGCCTCGGCTTCCCAAAGTGCTGGGATTACAGGTGTGAGCCACCACACCTGGCCCCACTAGTCTTAAAATTCAGCCAAACAGGAATTATTAAAAGTAATAGCAAAAACTGCAATTACTTTTGTACCAACCTAATAGATTAATAACACATGAAAACATCAAAGCTGTTCTCTCTCTCATATACATATACATACATATGTGTGTGTAACACACACACACATACACACGTATGAGAAGTTAAGAAGTTAAAAAGGTTATAACCTTGGCATATACAGGATAAACTAGGTATGTTATCTCTTCCTCTGTTCAAAGTTTTCCAGAGTTTATGATAAACTTCTGGTTGATACTTTTCATCTATTGGGTACTGAAAATAAAAGAACTGAAAAACAAACCAAAGGAAACATCTGAAGATTGTGGGTGTGTTTAACTTCAAGAATATAGTAATTCAGGTTGGGCACAGTGGCTATTATTGCCTATAATCTCAGCACTTTGGGAAACCAAGGTGGGAGGATCACTTTAGGCCAGGAGTTCATGGCCAGCCTTGACAACATAGCAAGATACCACCTCTACAAAAAAAATTATAAATTAGCCAGGCATGGCATTGTGCACCTGCAGTCCTAGCTACTTGGGAGGCTGAGGCAGGAGGATTGCTTGATCCCAGGAGTTCCAGGTTACAGTGAGTGCAACAGAGTAAGACCCTGTCTCTTAAACAAATAAAATATATATATGTATATATATAATATATAGTAATTCAGAAATAATCTCCCACATGGGTTCAATGATACTTGAAGATGAAACCTATGAGAATTTTCAATGTAATACTAGTGTTCTGAATTTTGTGGCTCATTAAACATATTAATAAAAATATCAAATATATAGCACTTACTATGTGTCAGGCACTGTGCCAGAGGCTTTGTCTTCCTTATTGGAACCCTAAAAGTTAAGTGCTATTCTTAATACCCATTTTATAGGTGAGGAAACTAAGGCACCAAGGGGCTAACGGGTTTTGCAGGTCTACTAGTTATTAAACACTAGTTATTTGAGGTTTAAACTCTTATTACTAGAACTTACTCAGGTACCCTGTCTTGCAGCTATGTAAACTCTGCTCTCAAAACTGAGACTGAGATGTTTGAGAAATATTACGCTAAACTGGAGCCCAGGGATCAGCGACCTCCACGATTATCAGAAATTAAAATATCAGCAGCAGATTATGCACAGGTACACAATGGAGATCTAGATCATTCTTTTATTGTTTGTCACCTTAAATGCAAGTGGTATTTGTTTATCTGCCTTTGGTGCGCCCTCTGTGGCCAATTGACCATGGGACCTTCTCCCTGTTTTACTTTTGATTTTTCTTTGCCCTCTAGGGTTTCTCTTTCAAGTGACTGTGAAAGAAACTGGGTTCAGTTAATAGTGGATTGACTCTCCCAGCATATCTTAGTTTACTTGAAAGAATTCCCTTTGGCTAGGTGCAGTGGCTTAGGCCTGTCCCAGTGCTTTGGGAGGCTAAGGTGGGAGGATCACATGAGACCAGGAGTTCGAGACCTTCCTGGGCAATATTGCAAGACCCCATCTTTACAAAAGAAAATTCTTAAATTAGCCAGATGTGGTGATATGCACCTGTAGTTTTAGCTACTTGGGAGGCTGAGGTGGGAGGATTGCTTGAGCCCAGGAGTTTGAGGCTGCAGTGAGCTATGATCACACTGCTACACTCCAGCCTGGGCAACAGAGCAAGACTCTGTCTCAAAAAAATTAAAAAAAAAAAAGAATTCATTTAAATTGAGGGACTCAACTGTTTACAAGGCCCAGCCAGCCACCTAAATGAGGAAAGTGGGCCTAGCACAGGCCCTTGTCTCAAAGGGGTTATCTGTATAGGCTTATCCTTTGAGGGCCAAGCAAACCCATATGTACCCTGGACCACCCGCTTCTGACCTTTGCCTTAAATGCATAGAAAGTCCAAGATGTTTGTTTGTCTGTTTTGCTGAACACAGTCCCCCACGGATGCAGTTTCTTTCCTGTGTTCAGCTCAGGAAGTACCTCTGAGCTTTCCCCTGTCTTTGACTTGAATGCTAGTCTATAGCAGGTTCACAGCCTTTCCACCTTCAAGACGTTTACCCTTATTTATTTTCACTTCATTGTCAAACATAGGCCTTTGAAGTATTTAGTGCAGGGGCTTAGGATGACTTGAGAAATAAATGTCAGCTCAGGCCTAATATCCAGCATCCTTTTACCATGAATTTGTTCTCCCTGGCTGTCACTCTGGGGAACTTCTAGCAGGTCAGAGGATCATTCTGATGCCTATCTTGGGCTGGTTCATTACCAATTCCTCTTTGACAATGGCTTTGTTTCTCTTGGGTTGCAGTTTCGAGGCAGGCGTAGATCCAAATCCCGGACAGGTATGGACCGTGGGGTAGGCCTGACTGCCGACCAAAAACTTGAGCTGGTACAAAAAGAGGTTGCGGACATGAAGGATGACTTACGACACACAAGGGCAAATGCGGAACGCGACCTGCAGCATCACGAGGTACACCTTCCTGCCAGCGCAGCCTGTCCTGCCCAGGCTCCCCACCTCTACCCCACTGAGAGGTATCTAGAGTGGGTTCATGTGATTGTTGGGGCTTTGGAAGAAACACAGGTAGGATGAAGCGAATCCAGGGCCTATCTTCAAGGAACTTACCACCTGCTTGTGGGGACAACACATTTTTGAACATTTTTTTAATGGGAAATTTCAAAAATACACGAATGTAGAGAGGCTAGCACAACAAACCCCTATGTATTCAACACCTGGGTGGAATGATCATCAACATATGGCCTCTTTTGGTTGATCAACTTTCCCTTCATCTGGCTGGGTTACTAGGAAGTGAATCCTAGTGAATCTCTGTACATATTTCAGTATATATCTTTAATATATGAATTCTTTTAGAAGATATAACCATGATAACCCTAAATGCTCTTAAAATTTTACAGTAATTTCTTTTTTTTTTTTTGAGGTGGAGTCTCGCTCTGTTACCCAGGCTGGAGTGCAGTGGCGTGATCTCAGCTCACTGCAAGCTCCGCCTCCCGGGTTCACACCATTCTCCTGCCTCAGCCTCCCTAGTAGCTGGTACTGCAGGCGCCCGCCACCACACCCGGCTAATTTTTTTTGTATTTTTAGTAGACACGAGGTTTTCACCGTATTAGCCAATGGTCTCGATCTCCTGACCTCATGATCCGCCTGCCTCGGCCTCCCAAAGTGCTGGGATTACAGGCATGAGCCACTGCGCCGGGCCTACAATAATTTCTTCATAATACAAGGGGTTTGAGGTTTAAGTCAGTATATTAGGGTTCTTGAGAGGGACAGAACCAAGAGTATACATGTATATATGAAAGGGAGTTAATTAGGGAGAATTGGCTCACGTGATTACAAGGCAAAGTCCCACGCAATCGATCGGCTGTCTGCAGGCTGTGAAAAGAGAGAAGCCGGTAGTGGCTCAGTCCAAGTCTGAAAGCTTCAAAACCAGGGAAGCCAATGGTGCAGCCTTCGGTCCGTGGCCGAAGGCCCTAGAGCCCCCAGGAAGCTGCTGGTACAAGTCCGAGGGTCTAAAGGCAAAGAACCTGGAGTCTGATGTCCGAGGGCAGGAGGAGCAGAAGCAATTGTCGGGCATGGGAAGAAGAGGGAGAGCCAGAAGACTCAGTACACAAGCTTCTTCCACCTGCTTTGCTCTAGCTGCTCTGGCAGCCAATTGGATGGTGCCCACCCACACTGAGGGTGGATCTTCCCCCCGCCCAGTCCACTGACTCAAATATCATTCTCTTCTGGCAACACCCTCACAGTCACACCCAGAAACAATACTTTACCAGCCATCTAGGCATCCCTGAATCCAGTCAAGTTGACACCTAATATTAACCATCACAGTCAGTGAATTGAGTAAAAAGTCCCTAGGTCAGCATTTCTTTCTTTTTTTTTTTTTTTGGGATGGAGTCTTGCTCAGTTGCCCAGGCTGGAGTGCAGTGGTGCGATCCCAGCTCCGCCTCCCAGGTTCACACCATTCTCCTGCCTCAGCCTCCCGAGTAGCTGGGACTACAGGCTCCTGCCGCCACCACACCCAGCTAATTTTTTTTGTATTTTTAGTAGAGACGGGGTTTCACCATGTTAGCCAGGATGGTCTCGATCTCCTGACCTTGTGATCCACTCGCCTCAGCCTCCCAAAGTGCTGGGATTACAGGCGTGAGCCATCGCGCCCGGCCCCTAGGTCAGCATTTCTATACGGCACACGTGCCCATGGTTTGTGCCCTGTTACAGAACAATATAGTAGTGTCTCTTAGTGAGTCCAATACAGTCAGTTTCCTCCAGAGAAGAAACATCACTGTTAATTCGGTTGCCCACAGGATGACGTTGTTGGCTTGCATTTGAGAGCCATGTTGTATGAAAAGTAGATACTTCTGTTCTATTTCTAAAGTTTTCTATTTTTCTGTTTCTAAATGTGGGCATTCGCAGAATCACACTCGTCTCAAGAGGGACCAGTCAGTAGACTCATGTCTCCCATTGATGCAACCGTCTGTATCACATCAACTGATCCTGCTCTCCCACCCCTCCTCTCTCTCTTTCTAAACATGCATTGTTGAATTCTAGCAAGTTAAAGGAGCTTGGGATGTGGTAGCATTATCCTGACCCGCTAGGTTGTGCAATGTGAGCATCAAGTGCAGAGATCAGAGATCAGTATGGGCTAGAGTGGTCAAAAAGAATTTGTTGAGGAGGTAGGGCTTAAAAGAGACTTGGCATGATCTTGAAGAATGATGGCATCTGTTTAAAGCACAGGGAAAGAAGGGCACCCCAGGTAAGGAGAATGACATGGGCAAGGCAGTGGAGGTGGGCACAAGCATGACATTGAGGAGGCCGGTGTGATTAGAGAAGACGCTACTTTGGAGGCTGCTTTAGGAAGTCAGGTTGAGTAAGGCAATGATTTCTTGACAGCCATGCCAAGGAGTTTATCTTTGATGTCTTAGAAAGCTGGACCCCACTGAGGATACTTGAGTAGGAGAGCAATGTGTTGAAAGTAGCATTTCAGGTGGGTTGATGTTCTACCATGTGGAGATGATGGGGCTGGAGCCTGAGGCCGGCCAGTGAAAATGCTTTTGCCTCTTGGTGTTCAGAAAAAAAGTCTGAACTAGGATGATTTGCAGTCTGGCTAGAGATACCATTCCATTTTATTTTTTATAGTAATATGTGTGTGTGTGTGTTCTTATTTCAAGGCAATCTATGTTGTAGAATGTTGAAAAATACAGTTAAGCTAAAAGAACATTTGAAAACATTCACAATTTACCACTCAGAGGTAATTTCTGTTGACTTTCCATTTACCTCCTACAGTTTAGATAATTTTCTATGCATATATGAATTTCTTTTTTTTTTTTTTTTTTTTTGAGACGGAGTCTCGCTCTGTCGCCCAGGCTGGAGTGCAGTGGCGGGATCTCGGCTCACTGCAAGCTCTGCCTCCCGGGTTCACGCCATTCTCCTGCCTCAGCCTCCCAAGTAGCTGGGACTACAGGCGCCCGCCACTACGCCCGGCTAATTTTTTGTATTTTTAGTAGAGACGGGGTTTCACCGTTTTAGCCGGGATGGTCTCGATCTCCTGACCTCGTGATCCGCCCGCCTCGGCCTCCCAAAGTGCTGGGATTACAGGCGTGAGCCACCGCGCCCAGCCTGCATATATGAATTTCTTCCAAAAATAGTATCATGTTATTTTGTAAACTGTATTTTTCACTTAACAACATCTCTTTACGTCAATACATATTTTCATTTTATAACATCTTTTTTTTTATTTTTAAGAGATGGGGCCTCACTGCGTTGCTCAGGCTGGAGTGCAGTGGCTATTCGCGGTCGCAATCATAGCACACTACAGCCTCGAACTTCTGGCCTCCAACAATCCTCTTGCCTCAGCCTCCTGAGCAGCTGGGACTACAGGCACCATACCTGACTTTATAATATCTTCTTTATTTTTTTTTCCATTTTTCCCCCCAATACTCAGGCTTGGAAATATAAAGTCTTTTTTTTTTTTTAATAACAGAAATATAATAAGAGTGCCTATTTATTTCCCCACTAATCCATCTCTCTAGATGTAACTGTCATTCATGTTTTGATGTATATCCTTCCAGATATTTTTAATGGATAAATAATTTCAAATATGGAAATACATATTTAGATAGATAGCTTGGCCAGGCGCGGTGGCTCATGCCTGTAGTCCCAGCACTTTGGGAGGCCGAGGTGGGCGGATCACCTGAGGTCAGGAGTTCAAGACCAGCTGGGCCAACTTGGTGAAACCCCTTCTCTACTAAAAATACACAAATTAGCCAGGCGTGGTGGCAGGTGCCTGTAGTCCCAGCTACTCAGGAGGCTGAGGCAGGAGAATTGCTCGAACCGAGGAGGCGGAGGTTGCAATGAGGTGAGATTGTATCACTGCACTCCAGCCTGGGCAATAGAGCGAGACTCTGTCTCAAAAAAAAAAAAAAAAAAAAGATAGATACCTGACACCTGTTTTTGTTTGCTCTCTTTTTATGGATTCTATTTTTTTGAAGAATGCTTTTAACTAATAACATTGATATAGTCAAGTTTGTATCTTAAGGATATGTTCCTAAGACTAAGAAGAAACATAATATTTTGGGACACAAAGAGGCCTGGGAACTTAGGTTTTCTTAGAAGACACATCCTTGAAGATTGCTGGAAACGTTCTTCTCTCTTTGTGCTGACTCCCCCAGGCGATCATTGAGGAGGCTGAAATTCGATGGAGTGAAGTTTCGAGAGAAGTGCATGAGTTTGAAAAAGATATTCTAAAAGCCATATCCAAGAAGAAAGGGAGTATTTTGGCCACTCAGAAAGTGATGAAATACATTGAGGACATGAACCGCCGGAGGGTAAGTTGGCAGACAGAGCTTAGAAAGGGAAAAAACATTCTTACAGGGATGTTATGGAAATCATCCATGTGAAGCAGCCTAGCTCCCTTTGGTCCACCATAAATGTTGCCCACATATGCGGATTTTCTTTGCATCCCTGAAAGTGTATGTGTATATGCATGTTTTAAAATGTATGTTTATGGCTAGGTGCAGTGGCTCATGCCTGTAATCCCAGCACTTTGGGAGGCTGAGGCGGGTGGATCATCTGAGCTGGAGGACCAGCCTGGCCAACATGGTGAAACCCCATCTCTACTAAAAATACAAAAATTAGCTGGGCGAGGTGTTTGTGCCTGTAATCCCAGCTGCTCGGGAGGCTGAGGCAGGAGAATCGCTTGAGCCTGGGAGGCGGAGATTGCGGTGAGCCAAGATCATGCCACTGCACTCCAGCCTGGGCAGCAGAGCAAGACTCCGTCTCAGAAAAAATAAATAAATAAATAAATAAATAAATAAATAAATAAATAAATAAATGCGTGTTTATCAAGGCTAACACCAGCCAGGCAGGAGGTATACTAACAGTACCTCAGATTGATCTCTGTTTTTTGTTTTGTTATTTGTTTCAAGATCTGATATATTTTCTTGAGAAAGGTATGAGACTGGTCTGGTCCAGCCTATCTAGAGAGGTGACTGTGGAGTAGGACAGGTAAATCTCTTTTTCAAAATTTTAAAAAAACCTTTAAAAAAATTGTTATAGAGATGAGGTCTCACTGTGTTGCCCAGGCTGGTCTTGAACTCTTGGGCTCCAACAGTCCACCCACCTTGGCCTCCCAAAGTGCTGGGATTACTGGGTGAATCTCAAGCTCTTTGAGATCCTTTGTTATCAGGAGATGGACCTTGGGCTGTTATGAGAAAAAAGGAGAATTTGGGGGGTAACCTTCATTTCCAGAGATTTTTACAACACGTCAAGCTTTAGATCCTGGAGACAAGGTAGGGTTATTACTAATCCTAATATGTTAACAGTAATAAAAATTATGTAAACTACCGTGGGAATACAAGACCAAAAAATCGTAAGATCATTTTGTCAGGAAAGGCCCCTACAGTAGCATACACCCAAATAATCTTGAATTTGAAAGCAATATAAAATTTGCATGGTGCAAAACCAGTGTCCTCTGCTTCTTGGTCATGAAATGTCATACCAGCCCCAGCTTGAGTAGAAGTAAAAGGACCTAAAATAAGTGACAGAATGTTAGGGCTCAAGGTTTGGTTTGCAGCCCCAGAACCATCCACTTTTCAAACCAATGGGAAAAAGGAGAGAAATGGATTAAATGCATTAAAATATGCCTTTATGTTTTAGGATAATATGAAGGAGAAATTACGTTTGAAAAATGTTTCTCTCAAAGTTCAGAGGAAAAAAATGCTTTTACAATTGAGGCAGGTATGTGGTCCTTTTTCTCTCTCTCTCTGTTTCTTTTTAAGGTTACTGTGGTAGGCTGAATAAGGTTCCCACCCCCACCCCAAAATATCCATATCCTAAACCCTGGAATCTGTGAATACATTAACTTACATGGCAAAAAGGATTTTGCAGATGTGATTAATTTAGGATCTTGAGATGGGGAGATGGTCTTGAATTACCTGGGTGGGCCCTATATAATCTCCCTCCTTATCAGTGGGAAGCAGGAGGGTGGGAGAAGCTATGATAACAGAAGCAGAGATCAGAGTGATGAGCTTTCATGAGAGGGAGAAGGGGTCAGGAGTCAAGGACTGCAGACAGCCTCTAGAAGCTGGAAATGACAAGGAAACAGAGTCTCCCCTAGAGCCTTGGGAAGAAATGCAGCCCTGCTGAGATCCTGATTTGAGCCTCCCAACCCATTTCAGACTCCTGACCTCCAGAACTGTAAGATAATAAATTTGCATTAAAACCACGAGGTTTGTGGTGATTTGTTACAGGAGCAACAGGAAACTCATATGATGACTGTGCAGGCAAATCAGAGGTTTTCTGTAGACAGAGTTGGCGTGAATTTAAAAGACCCTCAAGACATACTTGTTGGCCCTTTCTGGGAATATGGCCTGGTGGCACAGTTATATGTGCTTTGGTGTGTCTAGCATCGCCATCAGCTGACCCTAATGGCTCCTGATGAAAGGCAGTAAGGCAAACATGGTTCCATCCTTTCCTAGCTCAATATTTTTATTATTAACTTGAATTTGGGCACTGGTAGCATGCTCATCAAAGGGGGCTACTGACAAGGACACAAAACTGGGCAGGAGAATTAACATGTTGGGGGACTATTGCTTGAGTCACTCGGGATCCAGAAAGACCTCACCAAGCTGGGACAGATTTAACAGCATGAAGTGATGAAGGACAAATGTAACACCCTGCACTTTTGATCCCCCAAAATATCTGTTCAGGTACAGGATGGCTTAGCTGTAGAGTACCTGATAAAGTCAGCTCAGGTGGTGGTGATGCTATGGCCTAGGCTGCGTTCATAGAAACACAGTGCCCAGACCAAGGAAGGGGTAGCCTTTCTCTACTCTGTCTGAGCGGCCCCTACCTGGAGTGTCATGTCACAAGGTGAGCCCCACCCTTGAAATAATTGGTAAACTAGAGTTCACATCGGAGAGCAAGCCAGATGTCAGGAATAGAAACCATATCCAAGAGCCTGGGACTGATGTGCCCAAGGAGAGAGGGTCCAGGAGGGCCACAGCCACTGTCTCCAAGTGCTCAGGGCTGCAGCAGGAAGGGAGAGCAGAGCTGGGGCTGTGGATGGAGGTGTCAAGGAAGGAGATTTGAGTTCAGCGCAAGAAAAAATTCTGCCGTGAGTGGTCCCAGTGGAACTGTCTGCAGATCATCAGTTCCTGGTACTTGGAGGTTCATGCAAGCATGGGCATCAGGAAGAGGGGCTTTAAGCTGGAGATGGGGAGTAGATGGATGATCTTTAACCTTAATGCCGCTGCTACACAAAGATAACACAGACACGGGCCCTGCCCTTGCGAGCTCATAGACTAGTGGGCAGCAGTGTCACGAGAAAAGGTGTATATGTGTAATTGTATACAGAAGCTACATACCAAGGACCACAGAGCTAAAGCTTCCAGGGGCTCAGCAGAGAGAGGGATCACCCTCTGGTGTGGAAAACAGGTTGGGAGCATTGGAGCTGGAGGAATGGTTGTACTGGGGCTTAAGGAAGTTGTGTTGTTTTGGGAAGGGGAAGAAGATGAATCCCAGGAGATAGCACAGACAGCATGAGTGAGGCATGGGAGTGAGGAACAGCAGTTCCCAAGTTGGGCTGTTGTCTACCACAGATATAAAATGGCATAGACCTGGCAGGGCTGGTAAAGTGGGCCAGGTCAGGGAGGGAACCTTATACACTCATGCACTGCAGTGCAGAAATATCAGATGATCAAAGGAGGGGGAAATCGGTGGGCTGCTTGTCCTGGGTTTTTCATGTTAAAAACAACTTTTAAATGGCCTGATTCTTACTCTTCCTTCATGGTCCTGTTTAGGCAACACCCACTGTGGGATGCCCTCTGTGCGTGACTCGGTCTTTCTTCCTCCCCTGGCCTGGCTTAGGGACTTCTGTGTGCCCTCTGCCCCCACTCCCCCACATGCCCCCCGAACAACACATCGCACTGCACCACACTGTTGAGTCAATGGCTTGTTGGTAAACCCTCATATGCACTGCCTGGGGCCAGGGAACATTGTATTTACTTAAATCTCTACACCCAGTGCCTAACACCATGCCTGGGACCAAACAGATGCCCAATATGTGTTTGCTGAATGACTGAATGATGACTGACCTCCAAAGTCTTGTCAAGAGTTGCAAGATGTGAGCCATACATTCAGAATCACAACTGACGTATCATCTTTTCTTTCATCTTTCTGAGCTGTAGAAGGAAGAGGTGAGTGAGGCCCTTCACGATGTTGATTTTCAGCAGTTGAAGATAGAGAACGCTCAATTTCTTGAGACAATTGAAGCAAGGAATCAAGAACTGACCCAGCTAAAGCTGTCATCTGGAAACACTCTGCAGGTTCTCAATGCCTACAAAGTAAGGCCATCCCTGATACCCAGGGCTCCCCCAAGGCTTTCCACACTCACCTTTCTGGCCACAGGGAGGTTCTTGTGCATTCCAGTTTCACACAGCGTTTGGGTGCCCCCTCGCTGTCAAGCCATGTGTCCTAAAATTCCCTGAATGCTCCCACAACCCTGGCTGTGCATGAGAACCAGAGTTTTTCTTTAAAAAACAAACAAACATATAGATAGATGATAGGTAGATAGATAGATAGATAGATAGATAGATAGATAGATAGATAGACAGATGCTTAGTCTCACCCTGACTAATTGAATTAGGAGGTGAGGGCCATGCCTCTTATTTATTTTGTTTTTTATTGCTGTTACTAATTCCCCAAGTGATTTTTATGCATGGCAAGTTTTGAGAACTAACCACATTTAGAGCCCTGTTTAATTTGAGCACATTATAAGCACTTTCCTGCTTAAAACCTTGCAAAAGAAAGCAGTCTTAGCTATAAATCAGAAAACTACTAAATAATTTATCATCCAAACAGAACCCTTTTGGGAGGGAAAAGAGGCACTATTAATAATTAAGCAGAGACTATAGGCACACAAAGGGCCTGGCCCCAGCAGACTAGGCTATCTGGTCACCCTGCTAGAGACCATCTAATGCCGTATTCAGCAACTGCAGGCCAGTGTGTCCCCACCCACTGCCCTGTGAGCTAAGAATGATATTACAGAAGAACCTTTATAACCAATTTGATTATAGAAAACACTAACTTGAAACCAAATGAAGCAAAATTGGTTTCTTCCCCCAGAAATTCCATTTCTCTCATTAGTAGACCTATATTCTACAGTATTGTACTCAGTTTTTATATTTTGAATTGAATCAATAAAACATTGGTAGGATTTTTTTCTCTTGTTAATATAAGTACACAATACCCACAATTTTGCTTCTGGGCTTGCAAAACCTAAAATATTTACTATCTGGTCCTTTACAGAAAAGTTTTGCCGACCCCTCGCATAGTGCTCAGGTGGCAATGGTGGCTGTGGGCTTAGGTAGCTCGCAGGTGGGCTTTGTTTGGCCCACACAGTTTAAAAATGTGAATATGAATGTCTTTAGACCAAGTTTATGTTTGTTCAACATTTTCCTTTTACAAATGAAAAAACCGGGGGTCAAAGATGCAAAGTAGACAGGGTGCAGTGGCTCACACCTGCAATCCCAGCACTTTGGGAGGCCTAGGCAGGCACATCACCTGAGGCCAGGAGTTCAAGACCAGCCTGGCCAACATGGCAAAACGCTGTCTCTACTAAAAATACAAAAAATTATCTGGGCGTGGTGGTGCACACCTGTAATCTCGGCTACTTGGGAGGCTGAGGCATAAGGATTGCTTGAACCCCTGGGGGCAGAGGTTGCAGTGAGCTGAGATCATGCCATTGCACTCCAGCCTGGGCAACAGAACAAGATTCTGTCTCAAGAAAAAAAGAGCTGGGACTCCCAGTCCAGTATGCATCCCACCTAACTCAGTGTGTATCCCACTCTACTGCCTTTTCCAGCATAAAGTACGTAGAAAACAATGTGCTGGCATTCTGAAATTTATGTGTCATAAACATCCAACAGATCCTCTACTTTTAGCTTCTCTCATCAGTTTTTAGCTTATCTGATCACTGTTATTTATAGAGGAAGCCAGTTCCTGTGACTTCCAGGCCCTCACTGCCTGGAGAGCAGGTTGTACTTGATCACATTGGACCTCGATCTTATCCTGTGGAATCAGTTAAGCAGCACAGGGCCTGCCTGGTCCTGTGGGGGAAAAGCCAAGGGTTTTGGAAATGGAGCTACTGATTTTTAAAATCAAACTGCCAGGTGGCAGGGCCTGATCTCTTTAGGATGGGTCTAAACACACAGTGCAGATTGCTTGCAGTATCCGAGATCAGCAGCGCAGGCCACAGTGGGCAGAGTGAGAGCCATTCCTGGGGGAAATGGAGGCAGAACAACTGAGTTGTGGAGTCAGACCTTGCCTGTGCTTGAATGGGGGCTCTGCTGCGGGAGGTGCTTCATCTGGGCAAGATTCTTCACCTCTTGGAGGCAAGTTTTGTGTCACCAGGATGGTGCTCTGTCTAGTAAGTGTTGCGTCCCCAGCATCAAGGACAGTGCCTGGCTAAAGCAAGTGCTTAGCCAATATTGTCGAATGAACTGCTTGCAGAACAGGTGTGTATTTGGTAGGGGTGGGAGGGTGACAGGAGGGGCCACTTTGATATAAATATGAAACATTCATTCTCCCAGCAATCAGAAAATGAAAATAAAGAAATAAATATCAAACACTGAAGTGTGAAACCTTGTTAAAGACATGCAGAATAATTGTCCTCTATACCAAAAGTACCAATACCTCCACAAGGGTAGGCACTGGGCTGAGTGCTAAGGGTACAGCATTTAGACAGCACCAGGCAGAAATGGGCTCTTCTCTTCTGTGAGTTTCATGTGTGAGCCTGAGTCAAGGTGGCAGCTTTTTCTCTGACTTTATGCCCTCAAGCCCTGCCTGCTGGAGTCTGGTAAAATGTAAGCATGTGACTACAGCTGCGATGAGTCACTCCAGACTGCCTGTAAACTAGTGATCTGGGGCCTTGTAGGTAGAATTCTAAGATGTCCCCAAGAATCCCTGGCCCTTGGTGTCTACACCCTGTATAATCTCTGGCCAGGACTGTGAATATGATGGATTCAGTTAAGTTCTGTTCTGTTCAATGATTCGGTTATACTGTATGGCACAGTTGATCTAAAGACAGGGAGATCACCCACTTGGGCCTGATCTAATCACACGAGTCCTTTGAAAGAACAGAGTTTCTCTGGAAGAGGAAGTCATAGATGTGAAGCATGAGGAGAAATGGCTGGAGGAGGTCTTCTCCATTGTGGGCTAGAAGACAGAGGGGCCACATGGAAGGGATTCAAGAGGGGCCTCTGGGAGCTGAGAGCGACCTCCTGCTGACAGCCCAAAAGAAAACAAGGGCCTTGGTCCTACAGCTTCAAGGAAGTGCCTTCTGCCAACAATAAGTGAGCTTGGAAGAGGACCCTGAGCCCTTGACAAGAACCACAGCTCTGGGCGGACACCTTGATTTCAGCCAGATGTGACCATGGGGGAGAGTCCAGCCACACTGTGCGCAGACTTCCGGCCTATGGAAGCTGTGAGATAATAAATGGGTGTGGCTCTAAGCCACAAAAGTCTGTGGTAATTTGTTATGTAGCGATAGGAAGTGAATGCAGTCCTTTACAGAAGTGGCCTCCTCAAGGGACCCACATCTTGACTCAGCATCACCAATTTCGCTCTCATCAGCCTTCGTGGATACCTGCCCCGGCAGAGCCAGTGATGGCCTCGCTGCTGCTCTTGTACCTGCATTCCTTCCTGCCCTGCCGCTCTAAGTTGGTGACCGCTTGTCTTCCCTCCACTCTCCTTCCTCCCACCTGAATTGCTGGACTTGCGGCAAAGTCCTGCCCCATCTCCCCGGCCCCACGTCTGACCCCATCAGTGTGGTCTCATTCACTTTTGCTTTCCTTAGCAGAGCAACTTTCATGCAGGACATGGAACAGGAAATGAGCCTTAAAGAAGTGAGGTCTGAAAATAGGAGTGGGGAAGAGAATGGCCCCTGGGTGCCAGAAGTTCCCCCAGGCAGGTGGTTCTAGGCTCCTCTGTTTTGACACCCCGGGGCAATGCCCTTGCCCCCTCCTCCTGCCTTCACTTTGACTGTGGCCCTGCTGCTCTCTACCCACTCTCCCAGCTCCTATTAGATCCTCCTCTCTTCAGTTCTTTCCTTAGCTTGGAATGTTCTCTTCTCTCTTCACCTAGACATACTGATTCAATCTTTCAGCTCTCTTTCCAGCATATATATATATATATATATATATATATATATTTTTTTTTTTTTTTTTTTTTTTTTTTTTCAGGAAAACCTTCTCCAACCACTGTCCTGGCATTCTCACAGCTTGGCACAATTGCAGTCTTACATTTCTTCTTGAAATTATTTTACTGCCTCTCCCCTACTGTCCGGGCTGTGAGCCAGCCTTCTGGTGGCAGAGCCTAGTTTGCTTCACTGGCCAGTGCTTGGTGCAGGGACTGGTGCCTGGTGGGTGGGTTTTCAGGGTTTGTTGAGCAAGCTCCCCAAATCACTGCGTCTTTCCCTTGGCCCACTCCTCTGCCCAGCAAAGCACATCCCAGCTCCTCTGGATGACTCTTCCCCACTGACAGAGAGTGGTCAAAAGGGGGCCAATCTAAGAAGCAGGGGTGGGGCCTGCAGAAGCCAGTGAAGGGCAGATGATGCAGTGGGAATCTGCAAGGCTGTGCTCCTGCAGGACTCCTCTAAAACTAGCAGGTCCGGCCTCGTTAGGCGATGAGATGGTGGTGGAGCCTGTGGGCTGTGGAATCTCTGTATGGGCTCAATTCCCGGCTCCCCCTGGTCTCTGTGACCTTGGGGAAATGGTTTTACCTCCCTAAAGGTCAGTTCTCTCACCTATAAATGGAGATAGCAGTAGCACCCACCTCATGAGGAGTATTCCCCACGCTCCATCCACATGAGATAGTCATGGCAGCTGTTTGTCGTATGTTCTCCATGTGCCAGGCACTGTGTTCAGCACTCTACCAGGCTGTCTCCTGTAAGCCTCTCCACAACCCTACATGGTGACTGGACCCAAGTTTAGAGAGGTTCTGGGACCTCCCCAGAGATCTCCTTAGTGAGTAGTAGGGCAGGATTTAGGTCCCCGTGTGCCTGACTTCTTTGCCTCTCCAGCTGAGGCCAAGACTCCAAGGTCCTCTCCTCCCCCACCAGTTCTCAGACATCAGGATTTGGAAAATCTGGGCAACCATGAGAAAGGCAATTTGGACTTTCTGGATGGTCCTGCTTTTCTGTTCGTTAACAAAGAGATGTCTCCCCTTCCTGCGGTTCTGAGAGGTCATCTTAGCTCAAGACTTGCTGTGTTGTTATATTTCAGAGCAAGCTTCACAAGGCAATGGAAATATACCTCAATCTGGACAAGGAGATCTTGCTGAGAAAAGAGCTACTTGAAAAAATTGAAAAAGAAACACTACAAGTAGAGGAGGTAGGAGAGAGCAAAATGTGGTATTTCTGATGTTTGTCTCCTTGTGTTTATAAGGGCTTGAGTCAAGGTCCACCAAGATCTAAGCCACCTTGCTGGTTTATCTAGAAAAGCCTAGACAATAAAAATCAAAATAGCTCTGGGCCATCAAAGCACAAAGTGGCACCTGGAGACCTACAGTCCAGGTGTGTCGCATTTTACTGCTGGGTTGGGTTCTAGAGTCAGCTCAGAAAACAAAAATTTCGTACAGTCCAAATAACATTTGGGAATTCCTTAAGTGACCCATAAAGTACAATATTCGATGTTTCGTGTCTACAACCCCAGGAAAAATGTTTAATGCCCGTAGTAATGTACCTGATAGGAAAAAAAGTGCATATGCCAAAATAGAATGTTTGATGTAAAGGAGAGACAGAGAGAGGAAAGAGAGAGAGAAAGAGAGAGAGAAGAAAGAGAGAGAGGAAGAGAGAGAGAGAGAGAGAGGTCATAACCATACGACATCTCGCCGATACCCAGGCTGTACACTTACATCCTGAGTGGCCTGCAGCAGAGACCGGCTGAAGGACAGCAGACCTGTGACCTCTGTCCTGGGCTCACTCCAAGGCCTGTGGTCACTGTGTGAAGAGGTGAATGGAGTCATCTGAGCTCCTTGCCTGTGTAAATTGCAATTTACCTCTCTCATTACTTTGCTGAGCATTGATAGCTGAATTTCCCTAACTTAAATGCACATAGGATATGATGCAAAGAGAACTTTTTGGGGAGGGCACAGGAGAAAGAGTGCTGGACTCATGACCAGAAGGCCTGGCATCAGGTTTGGTGCTGCCAATTTCTGGTCTTGAACAAGCTTTTAAATAGACAGGACTGTTTCCACATCTGTGAAATAGATCTACTGCCCTTGTTGTAGTGGCTAGAGAGGACCACATATAATGATGCTTTGTCAAACTCTAAAACTGTTTGTATGATTATTAGTGTCATTGTCTTGTGCTGCCCCAAATTTGCCTACAATAGCCCCAAAGCCACAGGATTATTCACATCTAAGTTTTGTCATAACATGCACATCATTTTCTCGATGGACAACCAATACCTTCTGAAAAAAACCCCCAATTTCAGTACAGAGTGGCAAGTAGCAAAGGTAAAGCAAAAACCTGTGAACTCTCTTAATGCAGAATTGCCATGGTCCTTATTTATTTTTTCCTTGTGTTGATAGTTATTAGATTACAAGTAAAACTTAAAATTGATTTTTTTTAAAGCCTGACATTCATTGCTTAGTATATTTTAGTTTTCTTGTTAACGTTTTGAAAATAGCTTTATTGGGATTTAATTTATATGCCATATAATCACCCATTTAAAGTGTACAGTTCAGTGGATTATAATATATTCACAGAGTTGTGTAACCATCAACACAATAATTTTAGAACATTTTCATCACCCCAGGAAAAAACCCTGCAGCCATTAGAAATCCTTCCCCACAGGACAGGTGCAGTGGCTCACGCTGTAATCCTAGCACTTTGGGAGGCTGAGGTGGGCACATCATTTGAGGTCAGGAGTTCAAGACCAGCCTGGCCAACATGGTGAAACCCCGCCCTACTAAAAATAAAAAATTAGCCAGGCATGGTGGTGGGCACCTGTAGTCCCATCTACTCGGGAGGCTGAGGGAGGAGAATTGCTTGAGCCTAGGAGGTGGAGGTTGCAGTGAGCCAAGATCGTGCCACTGCACTCCAGCCTCAGTGACAGAGGGAGACTCTGTCTCAAAACAAAACAAAACAAAAAAAACTACTTAAATACATTTATTTATAAGAAGAAAGGAAGGAAAGAGGAAAGAAAGGAAAGAAAGGAAGGGAGGAAAGAAAGGAAAGAAAGGAAGGAAGGAAAGAAAAGAAAAGAAAAGATCCTTCTCCATTCCCCACACTCCACTCCCACCCTCCAGCTCTCAGCAGCCACTAATCTACTTTCTGCCTCTGTGGATTTGCCTATTCTGGACATTTCATTTAAAAGAGATTATACAATAGGTGGTCTTTTATGAGTGGCTTTTTTCACTTGGAATAACATTTCAAGGTTCACTTGTATCATGTATCATTTGTTTATTTTTATGGCTGAATAACATTTCGTTGTGTAGATAGACCACATTTTATTTATCCATTCATCAGTTGGTGGACATTTGGGTTTCCACTTAGGGATTATCATGAGTCATCCTGATATGAACATTCTGGTACAAGTTTTTCTGTGGATACATGTTTTCTTTTCCCTTGACGTGTTTTCTTTTCTCTTGGACATACACCTAAAAGTGGAATTGTGGGTTATACATGGTAATTCTGTGTCTAACACCTAGAAAAACTACAAATCTGTTTTTGAAAGTGGCTGCCCCATTTTGTATTCCCACAATGTATGAGAGGGTTCCAGTTTTTGTACATCTTTGTTATTCTCAGTTTTTTAAAAAAATGCCCATCCTACTTGCTATGAAGTGATAGCTCGTTGTGGTTTTTATCTGAATTTCCCTAATGACATGGAGCATCTTTTCATGTGCTTATTGGCCACTTGTCTATCTTTCTTTGAGAAATGTCTAGTCAAGTCCTTTGCTTAGTTTATAATTGGGTTATTTATCTTTTTAACTTACCCATTGTAAGTTGAAAATATCATAAGTTAAAAATGCATTTAACATACCTGACCTACTCAACATTATAGCTTAGCCTAGCCTATCTTAAATATGCTCAGAACACTTACATTAGCCTACAACTGGGAAAAATCATCGAACACAAAGTCTGTTTTATAATAGGATGTTGAATGTCCCATGTAATTTATCGAACACTGTACTGAAAGTGAAAAACAGAAGGGTTATATCGGTACTCGAAGTATGGTTTCTACTGAATGTGTATTGTTTTTGCACTATCTTAAAGTAAAAAAAAAAAACTTAAGGTGACCCATTGTAAGTTAAGGATCATCTGTATAAGATTCACAAATATTTTCTCCCATTCTGTGGATTTTCTTTCACTTTCTTGATAGTTTTGTCTGCAACACAAATGTTTTTAATTTTGATACAAGTCCAGTTTATCCATTTTTTTTCTTTTGAGCTTGTGCTTTTGGTGTCATATATAAGAAACCATTGCCTTACCCAATATCATGAAGATTTACTCCTCTGTCTTCTTTTAAGAGTTTTATAATTTTAGCTCTTATGTTTAGGTTTTATAATCGATTTTGAGTTAATTTTTTAAATAGTGTGAGCGAGGATTTCAAAAGCTGAAAGAAGAAAGGAGATGAAATATGTTTACAGAGTTTGTCGTATTAACCTTTTTATTTACATTTCTTCCTGTGAATTTGAGTTACTATCTGGCGTTTCTTATGCAAATACAGCTTTGTTTCAGCCTCCCTCCTTTGTGCTATTACTGTCAAATGCACTCCATGTTTATATGTTATAGTTCCCCAAATACAATTATATATGTATTTTTATACATTTGATTTTTAAATCAGTTAAGTGAAGAAATATGCAATTATACTGTCTTTTATAATTACCTATTATACAGTTAATTTTATTTGCACTACTTTTTTAATGTTGATTTCATATTCCTGTCTGGTATCACTTGTTTTCAGCTTGAAGAACTTCCTGTAGTATTTCTTGTAAGGCAGGTCTGCCAGCAATGACTTCTGTAGGTTTTTGTTAATCTGGGAATGTCTTTATTTTTCCTTTATTTTTCAAAAATAAACTTTTTATTTTAGAAATTTTAGATTTACAGGAAAATTGTGAAGATAGTACAGCGAACCAACATATACCTCATACCCAGTTTCCCTTATTTTAACCTCTTACATCAGTACAATGTGTTTATTACTATTAATGAACCAGTATTGATACAGTATTATTAACCAAAGTCTGTGCTTTTGTCACATTTCCTTAGTTCTTACCTGACGTCCTTTAACTGTTCCAGGATCCCACCCAGGATATCCACATTACATTTACTGCTATGTCTCCTTAAGCTCCTCTTGGCTGAGACAGTTTCTCAGAATTTCCTTGATGTTGATGACCTTGACAGTTTTGAGGAGTACCTGTCAGGTTTTTGTAGAATGTTCCTCCACTGGAT
Source organism: Homo sapiens (assembly GCF_000001405.40). Taxonomy (NCBI): domain Eukaryota; kingdom Metazoa; phylum Chordata; class Mammalia; order Primates; family Hominidae; genus Homo; species Homo sapiens. The sequence goes on from NC_000016.10 coordinate 58,271,651, forward strand.
TTGTTTGATATTTTTCTCATAATTATATTGGGGTTTATGTGTTTTGAGGAGGAAGACCACAGACATAAAGTGCCATTCACATCACATCATATCAAGGGAGTCTACTGTCAACATGACTCATCATTGATGTGAACCTTGATCACCTAGATGGATAGTATGTTATAGATTTCTTCACTGTGAAGTTACTCTCCCTCCTTTCCATACCGTACTCTTCGGAAGGAAGTCACTATGTACAGCCCATACTTAAGGAGTGGGGATTTATGCTCCACATAATTTATTTGGAATTCTTCTGTATAGGAGATTTATCTATTCTCCTCCATTTATTTATTTTTAACATCATTTATTTATATCAGTTTCCACTCATAGATTTTTTTTTTTTTTTGAGACAGAGTCTCACTCTGTCGCCCAGGCTGGAGTGCAGTGGCGTGATCTCGGCTCACTGCAACCTCCACCTCCCGGGTTCACGCCATTCTCCTGCCTCAGCCTCTCCGAGTAGCTGGGACTGCAGGCACCCGCCACCACGCCCGGCTAATTTTTTTGTATTTTTAGTAGAGACGGGGTTTCACCACGTTAGCCAGGATGGTCTCGATCTCCTGACCTCGTGATCTGCCCGCCTCAGCCTCCCAAAGTGCTGGGATTACAAGCGTGAGCCACCGCACCCGGCCAGATATTTGTTTTGTATGTTGGCTTATAATATCATAAGCCATGCATTGTTTAATGATGGGGATACATTCTGAGAAATGCATTGTTAGGCAATGTCATCATTGTGTGAACATTATAGAGTGTACCCTATGATGGTATACCTAGATGGTGTAGCCTACTACACACCTAGGCTACATACAAAAGCATGTTATTGTACTGAATGCTGTAGGAAATTATAATACAATGCTAAGTATTTGTGTATCCAAACATATCTAAACATAGAAAAGGTACAGTAAAGATACGGCATTATAATCTTATGGGACCATCTTCATAAGTGGTTCATTGTTGACCGAAATGTTTTCTGTGGCATATGACTGTATTACATTATTTATTTTGTTGCTCAAATTGTTCCAGGTTGGCCATTGGGAGCTCTTTCAGTTGAATTTGGTGTCCCTTTGAATCTCTTCATCTTAATGGCTTTTTTTTTTTTTTTGAGCACTTCCTTTCTGGCACCAGAAGATGCTCTAGGCTCATCTTAGATATTTTCTGCCTCAGTCCTAGAATCCACCATTTCTCCAAGGAGGCTTGGTGTCTTTTATTTGAGAATGACATTGGAAACCAAGATCTGAGTGTGTTGATTGTTTGCTTTCATTTTGAAAGATCATTTTGAGGATATAATATTCTTGAGTGGCAGGTTTTTTTTCTTTTCAGCCCATTGCCTTCTGGCCTTCATTGTTTCTGATAAGAAATCAGCTGTTAATCTTGTTGGGCTTCCCTTGTATGTAATGAATTGTTTTCTCTTGCTGTTTTCAATATTTTCTCTTTGCTTTGCCATTTAACATTTTGAATATGATGAGTCTGGGTGTGGATTTATTTGCATTTCTTCTGTTTGGAGTTTGTTGAGCCCTTTGTATGTGTAGCTTACTGTTTTTCAACAAATTAGTGAAATTTTCAGCCATTATATCTGAATAATTTTTTCTACTCCTTTCTCTTTCTTTTCTCTCTCTGTTACTCCCATTACCTGTATGTTGGTACACTTAGTGGTATTCCACATTTCTCCGAGACTGTTAATTTTTCTTGGTTCTCTTTTCTCTCTGCCCCTCAATCTACATAATCTCTATCAATCTACAAGTTTACTGATGCTTTATTCTACTGGCTTAAATCTGCTGTCAATCTCCTGTGGTGACTTTTTCATTTTAGTCATCATATTGAAAAGATTCCAGATTTTCTATGTTTTAAAAAATGAATTTCTACCTCTTTGTTGATTTTCTTTACTTGATGAGACATTATTATTATTACTTTAATTCTTTAAACATGGTTTCCTTTGGTTCTTTGAATAGCTCCTTTGAAGACTTCGTCTGCTAAGTCCACCATCTGCTGTCCCTCAAAGGCAGTTTATTTTGCCTTCCCTGGGTGGATCATGGTTTCTTATTTCTTTGCCTATCTCATAATTTTTGTTGGAAGCTGTATATTTTAGGTGATATAGGAATTCTTGATATTGGTCCCTCCCATCCCTTTCTTGGGCTTGTCATTGTTTTTGCTTGTTACTTGTTTAGTGACTTGGCTGGACTAGATCAGTAAACTAGATCTGTTCCCCTGCTGTTAGTACTCTCTAATGTTTCTCCTCACATGGTACAGCCTTAGTCATGGATACAATTGCCCTGACGACCAGGGATAATTGTTGCTTCTGCTGAGTTCTCTTTGACTCTGCATCTTCCTACTAAGCTTACAGCTGGTCTACTCTATTGGCATCACACTCAGCCATCAGCCTTCATTAATTGTTAGCTAATTGCTCTATTGCTTTCAACAATACCCTGAGACATTAATTGTTTTACATTCTGATCCAATTAAAGTCAGAACCCTTTGCAGGGGCAAGGTGTTGCCAGTCTTTGAGGCTTGCTCCAACTCTCAGAGGGCTCTTCTTAGTGGTCTCTTTTGCTGTTCTGTTAAACATATAGCTGGTTTATTATTTTACTTGCTGCTACTAACATTATGGAACTACCAGCCTCCTCTAAATTGCTTACCTTAAAAAACTCCATTGTTTCCCACACAGTTCTTAGGCATGAGCTCCCCATCTCTGTTCCAAATAGAGTCCCCTTGGGCAGCATTCCAGAGCCCTCTGATTTACAGCCTGATTTTGTTTGGCTCTGTGTCCCCACGCAAGTCTCATCTCAAATTGTAATTCCCATTTGTCAAAGGAGGGACCTGGTGGAAGGTGATTGGATCATGGGTGCAGTTTACCCAATGCTGTTCTCATGATAGTGAGGGAGTTCTCATGAGATCTGATGGTTTTTAAAGTGGCAGTTTCCCCTGCATGTGCTCTCACTCCTGCTACCTTGCGAAAATGTGCCTTGCTTCTCCTTCACTTTCCACCATGATTGTAAGTTTCCTGAGGCCTCCCTAGCCATGCAGAACTGTGAGTCAATCAAATCTTCTTTTCTTTATAAAATTGTCCAGTCTTGGGTAATTCTTTATAGCAGTGTGAAAACAGACAAAACACAGCCTCTCTCCCTGGGCAAAACTTCTGCACTGCTGCCCTGGAACTGGGGTGGGACAGTGGACAATTTTTCCCGTAGTGACATTGCTGCTCTACAAGTGGGTTGCTGGGTGGGGATCTTAGTCGCTGGTCTTCTCAGCATGTCCCTCACAGCTGTAGTACTTACGTTTTAATGCCTTCATTCTTGCTACTTCATTATACTTATCTTAGGTATTCTCAAATCACCATCTGGACGGGAGTATGCATTGATGGTTCTGCCCACATCTTTGGGTCTCTCCACAGTTGTTTGTTTAGGCTAAACAGACAGGAGGTATTCACTGAACACTTGACAATTTTTTATTGCATTCTGAAAACAAGTTAATAAAAATTAAATTATTGGTTTGTTTTATAGTGTATTGAAACAATGGAAGGTGCAAACCAATTACCTGGGGATCATGTTAAAATGCAGATTCTGAGTGGGTAGGTCTCGGGTAGCCTGGGAGTCTGCAGCTCCCAAGTGTTTCTAGTGCCACAGATTGTGCTTTGTGAAGCAAGGAATTAAAAGACAATACCATATTGGGAAGATTCAACATAATAAAAATGTTAATTCTCTTTAAGTTGATCTGTGAAATATGATATTCCAATTAAAATACCAAGGAAGGTTTTTTTGTTTGTTTGTTGTTAAGGATCTAAATCAACTGACTCAAAAATTCCTTTGGGGGGTAAAAAAAGAGTATCCCCAAATTCTGAATGAGTAAATGAGAGGAGTAGCCCTATCAGATAATGAAATATGTTATAAAGCTACAATATTTAACACACGCTCAGGAATAGGCTGGAAGATCAAAGAAAAATTTATAAGGTCCTATAATGAGCCCTGATACAGATCACATAAGTATACAAATATTTGATAAAGCTTTGATATTGATACCTTTATGATAAAAGTGGCATGGCATTAATCAAGGGACAGCCAGATTATTGAATAAATGACATGGGGTAACTGGGGTAACTGGGCAAACATTAAGGAAAAAATTAAGTTGGAACTATGCCTTACGCTGAAATTAATTCAGGTATATCAGAGATTTAAATGTAAGTAATAAAACCATTAAAATCCTAAAATAAATACTGGGAAAATTTTTAATATAATCTTGGAATGAAGAGGTCTTTCAAAATGTAAAACCTAGAAACCATGACATCAATAAAGTGAGTTATATAAAAATGAAAGTTTTTTGCATAGCAAAAATGATCATAAGCAAAGTCAAAAGGTAAATAACTGGAAAAATGTATCTAAAACCACAAGGAGCTAATAACTCCAAATAAATAACTTCTATAGATCAACAAGAAAAAACTAATAACTAATAGAAAAAATGGACAAAAGTTGTCAAGAGTTTACTGAAAAGCTAAAAAACTGAAATGTGAAAAATATTCTACCTCACTCGTAATACAAGGAATACAAAAGAAAGCTATGATGGGATATTATTTTCCTTCTCTTAGATTGACAAAGATCAAAGAGTCGATAAAACTGTAGTGAGAGAATGAGGGAAAACCGGCAGTCTCAAACATTACTGGAGAAGTGTAATTGTCTTGATTATTATAAAGGGAAATTTAGCACTGTTTACCAAACATTAACATGCACATATGCTTAAGGCTGGGTTTTGCACCCTAAACACATTACTGACATTTGGGGCTGGATAATTCTTTCTTGTAGGGGGATGTCTTGTGTATTGTAGGGTTTTCAGTTGCATCGCTGCCCTCTACCTACTAGATGCCAGCAGCACCCCTCTAATTCCCACAAAAATGTCTTTAGGCATTGCCAAATGTCCCCTTGGGGGCAAAATTGCCTCTGGTTGAGAACCACTGCCTGGAACAAGCAATTTCACTTTTAGCAGTTTATCCTACTGATTCACTTGCATAATGATAATATGATGTATACCCAGATAGTTAGTAATTGCAGCACTGTTTATTGTAATAGCAAGAGATTAAACAGTTAAGTGACTGTGGGAGAATTGTTAAATTATGGTACATCCATGTGGAAAATTATGCAGCTTAAAAAGAATGAGTAAATTCTTCATGTGTTGATACACAAAGATCTTCAAGATTTATTGAGTGAAAACATCTGGATGAATAAAAGTGAATAGAGTATGCTACTATTTAGGTCAAAAAAAGGAAACATGTTTGTATAAGCCTAGATTTCTGGAAGGATGCACAAAACCTAAAAACAGTGTATGCTTCTGGGCAGGAGATCTTCCTGATGGGGTGACAGGAGTGGGATGGGAGCTTGCCACAGTGTACCATTTGAACTGAATGTATTGCCTAAACAAAAGAATTAGTAAAGTAAAAGTTAAAAGGATAATGTTAAAATTTTTTTTTAAATTTTTTTTTTTAGACAGTTTCGCTCTATCACTCAGGCTGGAGTGCAGCGTCGTGATCTCGGCTTACTGCAACCTCCACCTCCAGGGTTCAAGCAATTCTCCTGCCTCAGCCTCCCAAGTAGCTGGGTTTACAGGCCTAAGTCACCATGCCCGACTCAGTTTTGTATTTTTAATAGAGATGGGGTTTCACCATGTTGGCCAGGCTGGTCTCAAACTCCTGACCTCAAGTGATCCGCCCGCCTTAGCCTCCCAAAGTGCTGGGATTACAGGCGTGAGCCACTCTCCCCAGCTGATGTTAATTTTTAAAAAATGCATTCTATTAAAAGGGCTAATTTTTACTGCATGATAATTTTTTAAATAAATATTTAAAAGACAAGGATTACTCACGAAATTGAATTACCATAGCTTCTAGGCATTCTGCGTCTGGGAATATACCCAAAAGAATTGAGAGGAGAATTGAACAGATTTTTGTACACCCATGTTGACAGCACCATTCTTCACAATAGCCAAGAAGTGGAAGCAACCCAAGTGTCTATCGAAGGATGAATGGATAAACAAAATAAATAAAATGTGGTATATTCATACAACGGAAAATCATTCCACCTTAGAAAGGAAGGACATTCTGACACATACTACCATGTGTAGGAAACTCAAGGACATTATGCTAAGTGAAATAAGCCAGTCACAAAAGGACAAGTACTGTTTGATTCCGCTTATATGAGGTACCCAGAGTAGTCAAATTCATAGAGACAGAAAGTGGAATGGTGGGTGCCAGGGGCTGGGAGAGGAGGGAAGGAGGAGTGATTGTATAATGGGTACAGAATTTCTGTTTTACAAGACAAAAAGAGTTCTGGAGATGGATGGTGGTGATAGTTGCACAAGAATGTGAATGTACTTAATGCCACAGAACTGTATAGTTAAAAATGGTTAAGATGATAAATTTTATGTTATATATATATCTTATAATTAAAAAAGACATGGAAGTGAATTGAGTCTGATCAAAGTATACTTAAATACACAATTTTTCACACACAGAAAAACCCTAAGAAGTCAAAATAAGTACAACATATTCCTTAATAAAGGAGAGGAAGAGGAAGGAGGGAAGAAAAGGAATGAAAGAAACAAGACTATTTAGACTGCACTAGGTGTTTCTGAACTGGCTTAAAATATGTTTGGGAAAAAAATCAGAATCTTGTGATTCCCACCCCTCCCCAACCTCTTTGAAAATGTAAACATTATTTTTGGAACTCTATTGGAACTATGGGGAGAGATGGCAGGGCCAGTGAGTTCTCAAAGCAAGAGCTGCTGGGGTTCCCTGGGTGTAACTGGTCCTTCCCAACCCAGGACCGGGCCAAAGCCGAGGCAGTGAATAAGAGGCTCCGGAAGCAGCTGGCCGAGTTCCGGGCACCACAGGTGATGACTTACGTCCGGGAGAAGATCTTAAATGCGGACCTGGAGAAGAGCATCAGGATGTGGGAAAGGAAAGTGGAGATAGCAGAGGTGAGCCACGGGGAGCCCCAAGATGGGCAGTCTTTTATGTCTTCAACGTTTTCACTTAGGATTTTGTTCTTTGGGGTAAGAATACAGATGTTTGGATATGTAATTTCTGGGAGAAACCTCAGCAGTTGCTTTAACTATTAAACCAAGACGAAGGATGATTTGTTTTTTTTGAAAGTTCCCCCTTTTGCATTGTTAGGGGCAGAGTCTTTTCCATTTTCAGGGAGAAACTCTGTAGTAATAGTGTGTTTTTAGTTGCTTGTTATCTTAATGAATTCTAGAAGTTTCTGAATCCCTCTGCACTGGTAATTTAGTGATTGCTACTTTATACATGGAGAAGTCCATTTTTTTTTTAAATGAGATAGTGATGGATTTTTTAATATCACTCAGGACCTCATTCCATGCATGTACACAGTCGCCATGGGTCTTTCTGCTTTTGAACGAATCCCGCAGACTTTGAATATGGTACCATGTGACAGGAAGCACCCTTGCTCCTGTGAGCTGCGGGAGATAAATGGGCAATGGGAAACCATATGCTGGTGTCAGAAGAAAGACAAGCACCTAGGCTGCCGTGGCCAGGTTGCAAACTGAGGTCATGCAGGACATCATCAGAGTAGCTTAGAAAGCCAGTCAGGTCACTTGGAAAACTGGTACCTTGGCGTTTTCACATCTAGACCCTGGCTCCCATTTCCTGTGTTACTTTGTCCTGCCTCTCCTGCGGCCATTTTGCAGCAGAGAGTAAATTAGGATCCAAATTTGGGCCCCTCAGATCCGAAGCTGAGAAGTAGCAGAATCGTGGCAGGAACATGCAACTTCTCACTTTACTGAACAGAAGAAACATGCTCTATAGAAAAATCTTCCGGTGGGTGCTGCCCCTTTGTGGCCCCTACACAGCAGCATGCATGGAGGACACGCTGCCCCACACAGGGTTGCCTGCACCATCACGGGGCTGGATGAGGGCTGCATTCTCAGTAGCCACAATCAGTTTTCCCCAAGTGACTTTCTCCCCCATCTCCTTTATCATTTTTTTTCTTTTTTTCTTTTTTTTTTTTGCAGATGTCCTTAAAAGGCCATCGTAAGGCTTGGAATCGAATGAAAATAACCAATGAGCAGTTGCAGGCAGATTACCTTGCTGGGAAGTAGCCAGAGGCAGGCCACGGCTTACAGACCACTACATGACCTATAAAAGTAATCAGCTCCTTTCTAGTCACGGGCTCCTCTCACTGTTCCCTGTCTGCCTGGTGTTCCCAACCCCCCACCCAGGCTGCGTATCATCTCCTGGGCCACATCTGCCCATGGGGAGTGTTTTCACAGCCTGGCCCCTGGAACTGTTACCACTGAAAGAACCACAGGGCACTCTAATGGTTTGACACTTGTTAGCCAGCATTTAGTTCACAAGCATAGTGAAAGTGACCTTCCCACACCTGGGAGAGGGATAGAGGAGGGAGAGCCAGCCCAGTGTATGCCATGGGCTTATCCGTGGCAGCCCCAGTGTGCAACTATCAAAAACAGACATCAAAACAGCATGGTGAATGCCTGGCACTCAGCATTCTCAGTTTACTCTTCAGTTTGGTGGGGTAGCTCCTGGACTAGATACTGCTGCAAAAGAAAACAAGCACGAAGGAAACCAAGATGATTTCTTCGGGCTGATACAACCTGTTCTGACCTGCAAAAATCCTACCTTCCCCCACCTCCCCACCGTAATAGTCATAGTATAAGGGTTGTACAGACGCCTCAGGAGACCTGCCTGATTCCTTTACATCCTTCTCCCTAACATCTAGACTATCTCTAGAGCTGTTTCCTAGTCGTGAATGCGTGATGGTCCTTCTTTGTCCCTGCAAGTATGATCCAACATGGCCCAGTTCAGAATCAGAATATGTCTTCTGTGTCATGGTGGCATTTGGTCCATGGTGGGAGAAAGAAATCAACTTTTCCCAGTGGTGGAGTGAGGACAGGGGAGGGCCGGCCCTCTCAGCCTTGGATGTGATCCATTTGCTGTAGTCTTCCACCTTGGTGTACAGAAACAGGCCAGGGCACGTCTCACCACCGAAGTTCAGGACTCCTCTCAGAACCCACAGATCGAACTGCTGTAGCTGGCACATCATTGGGCTTCCTGGGTCCCCCTGTGATAAAAGACAGAAGGCTTCAAGTCTTAGAAAAACTAGTTTTTGTTGTAAATCTATCCTTGTGCAATATACTGTTTGTTCTAGAAATGTTTTACGCTGGTTCTCACTGGAAATGGGGCAAATTATAGGATACAATTTCAAATCTAGGCAGCCACCACCACAAATTCCAACAAGATGACTTTTCCTTTTATTATGCAAATTAGCTGTGGACTTCTGCTGATTGCCTATAGCTTCCTGGTTCATATTTCATTTTCTTGCCCCTTTCCAGTCCTTTGGCCAAACCTTCCCTCTCTTCTGGCTTCTCATTCCTGAAATGTTGGTGTTTGTTTCTGTTTTGTCCTGAAATGCTCACATTTTCCCTTCTCTGCCTTGCTTCAACCCTTAGTGTAAGCCACTTCCTGCCACCTGGCAACTGCTTACCAGCCTGGCTGGCCGTGCTCTGGGTCTTCCCTACTCCCAATGGAGCAGTCCTCTGGGACTTGGGAATTCTGCCACATACACTTTATCTAACTTAAAGTGACGGAGTAGAAGCTTGGCATCATTAGCTAGATATGGGACCCTGGCAAGTGACCAAATCCTCTCTGAGCCAAGGTGGGAACACAGTTAATGCCTGTAACACGTGCTGAGCACAGCACAGTGCCTGGCACACAGCAAACACTCAATAGAATATTAGCTACCATCATCCTGATGTCGCTATAAAGGCCAGCATTTTTCTGAAAAGTTGGGGAAAATGGGAAAAGCAACAAGGCAACTAGTAGGTATCACTTACCTTACCTGCCCAGACCCCACACCCCTAGGTCTCCTCTCAAAGGAATTCCTGCCCCTCCCATGGCCCATCTTGGTCCGAGAAGGGGGTGGTCATCCCCAGGCTAGCCAGCCACTTCTGACCTGTGTGGCCTGCCTGGCTGGAAGGCCCAGGCAATGACATGTTGCTCTCGCAGTTTGGACTGAGACATGGAATGGGGCCGCAATTAACAACAGGAAACAATCTGAACAGACTGAACCACGAGCAGCAGAAAGGCAGAAGAGCAGCCGCTTCAGCCCCTTACCATCCGAGACCTGGGTGTGTGGTCTGTCTTGGTCACTCTCTCTGTCTCTCTTTCTCTCTTTCTTTCTCTGTCCCCAAGGCTGGAGTGCAGTGGTGCAATCTTGGCTCACTGCAACCTCCACCTCTGGGATTCAAGCAATTCTCCCACCTCAGCCTCTCGAGTAGCTGGGGCTACAGCTATGCGCCACCATGCCCAGCTAATTTTTTTTTTTTTTTTTGAGATGGAGTCTTGCTCTGTCCCCCATGCTGGAGTGCAGTGGCATGATCTCGGCTCGCTGCAACCTCCTCCTCCTGGGTTCAAGCGATTCTCCTACCTCAGCCTCCCCAGTAGCTGGGATTACAGGCGCCCACCACCACACCTGGCTAATTTTTATTTTTAGTAGAGATGGGGTTTCACCATGTTGGCCAGGCTGGTCTCGAACTCCTGACCTCATGATCCACCCGCCTCGGCCTCCCCAAGTGTTGGGATTACAGGCGTGAGCCACTGCACCCGGCCTAATTTCTGTATTTTTAGTAGAGATGGGGTTTCACGATGTTGGCCAGGCTGGTCTTAATCTAACTTCAAGTGATCTGCCCGCCTCGCCCTCTCAAAGTGCTGGGATTAGGCATGAACTACCATGCCCAGTGGGGTATTCTCTTTCAATAAAGCTCCTCTTTTCCAAGGAAGCCACACCAGAACAGAGATGAAGACCAGTGGGAAAACATGGGAGCAACTCCGTGGGCAGGCCAGCGGGGAGGCCATGCTGCAAAGCTGCCGTGATTCCCTGGTGATCTCTCAGCAGGCCAAGGCCAGACATGTGAGGAAGGCCTTGAGGACTTCATTCTGTGCCTCTCCTTGGATGGAAGGGGGTGCTTTAGTGTGGCACTCCTGACTTTTCAATTGACTGGTGAAGAGGCCCTTGTGTGCACCTCACTATGTCTGCCTAGGTCATGGGGGCTCCCTGGCCAAGAATGACGTGGTTCCCCCTTTCATCAGTCCGATTCGCAGTTTGTCTTAACTGTAGTGGTATAGCCAGAGCAAGAAAAAGAATGTGATTTAGGACAAATGATTGGATGAGTGATTGGTAGATGTCCTCAGCTATGGCGTGGTTTTGCAGGTCACTGTTCCACCCACCTGGGCACAGCATATACGCTTTTTCTCTTCCCCATAATCCTGTAGGGGCTGCGACTTCTGAAGCACAAGAGGCAGAGGCGAACAGCTCCAGGTGCCCCTCTGGAGCTACCCTACCTCATCTCCCAAGGGAGCGGCCACAGCCCAGAGTGGGGTCTTTCATTTTGTGATCTTTTCCCTTGACATTCAGCAAAAGCCCTGACAGTGGTAGAATAAAGGCAGGATGGGTGAGTGCAGAGTGATTCTGCTTTTGTTGGGTTTCAGGGAAACCCATAGGCAGATTCTGAACCTGGTGGTTGATTCTACATGTGGGAATTGTGGCTTTGAAGACCTCTGGACATGAGAACATATTTCCAAGACAGAGGATTCTATGGGGACGGGTCACCATTAAATGGTGTGCAAGCATAATTCTGTTCAAAAATGAAGGCATGTTTAGAGGTGTGTCACAGTTAAAAACCAACCTGAACTTTGCAGTTAGATTTTAAAAGATGGTCAGTTAGAGTAGAAATAGCTTAGAATATTCCATTGAGTCTAAGATACAGTTAGAAATCAACATCTTTGAAATTAGGGTGTGTCTTTTAATCAGTTGATGTCAGAGTTTAACGGGCAGCATTTTTTTCTTTCTTGGGATTACAAAAAATGATGGTGCATTCTATAATTGGCAGCATCTTAGATCTGAGGAAGTATGATACTTGTTTGACGGAATGGTTGACGGCAGAATTTTGTTAAAAAGCTATATCTTCACTGTATTTTAACACATTATCTAATTTAAGAAATTGTTAAGATCCCCCACCTGGCAGAGGACCCAGTACAAAATAGGCACTCAATAGATGTTACACCAACTTTGGAAGGGCAAACATATTTCTTAATGAGAGGCAGTCCTTCATGTTTTGCAATAAAATGACTTTTAAAAAAAATTGTCTGTATATATGTATTTTTTCCCCTTGCTCTAAAAATCCTGCCTTTCTGGATCCTATGGGGAAAAAAAATTCCCCATCAGGTGTCCTGAAGGTTATTTAGAGGAGAGTGTGTGTTAAGCCTCATAGAAAAGCAATTCTAGAGCAGAGGAGATAAACACTGTCTGGATATCTGGTAGACCTAGGTCCTTGTCTTTGCTGTAACTTTTATTGACTGTGTGACCCTAGTAAGCCACACTTTCTCCAGATTTGGATATGAAGGGGCCTGAACCAGGTGTGTGTGACTTCTACACATTTTTTTTTGAGGCAGTAGGACAGCCACATCCGTACAGCCCTCATCTGGGTGGAGGGCAGGGCTTCTCAGAGAAGAAAAACTCAGTAACTGATAGCATCAGAGGGGAGTCTAGGTTCCCTAGAAGCTGAATACAGCAGCCCCACACTGTAGACCTGCTCAAAGCATATCGGCCTCTGTGGTTTGGACTCAGACTTTCAAATTTTTAGCTAGTTAAAAAGCACCTGTGACTTAGACAAGCTTCATCATGTTACACTGAAAATCGTGACTGGTTAGTTCATTCAGCAGATTTTTATTGAGCGCATACTGTCTGCCAAGTGCTATTCACTCCAGAGACAGCCACTCATCCCAAGCCCTGCCCTCACAGAGCTCCCCATCTAGGGAAGGGGAGTCCTGAGGCTCCCCTGGATGTGACCAAGGCTTACTCTCAACACTTAGCTTCTACTCCATGATGTTCTTACCAAGCAGGCAGTCTTGGTTTCCTCTTTCGTGTGGCTGCCGCATTCTGTCTTCTGGAGTTTGTATAGGGGACACATGTCAAGATCTTTCACGAAGATTTTCCTCAGGACACTCATCGTCATGTGATTTCCTGTCTGGACCATGCAACAGAGAGCCCAGGGATTATTAACGAGAAGGCAGTCCCCTATGTCAACACAACTCCCACTCATATAGCCAAACGAGAGTGAGAATTTTTTTTTTTTTTTGAGTTGGAGTCTTGTTCTGTCACGCAGGCTGGAGTACAGTGGTGTGATCTTGGCTCACTGCAACTTCTGCCTTTCGGGTTCAAGCAATTCTCCTGCCTCAGCTTCCGGAGTAGCTGGGATTATAGGCATGCACCACAACGCCCAGCTAATTTTGGTATTTTTAATAGAGATGGAGTTTCACCATGTTGGTCAGGCTGGTCTCGAACTCCTGACCTCAAGTGATCCACCTGCCTTGGCTTCCCTAAGTGCTGGGATTACAGGCATGAGCCGCTGTGCCCTGCCAGGAATGTTCTTATAAATCCCTTTTTTTCATAGAAATAAGAACCTGTGACTGAGTTTTTACTGAAAACTACCTCCACTTTGAACTTGAATGTGCAAACAGGCAGAGAACACCCTTCCTCCTCTTCTAGAGAGTATCCATTTCCTTGTTTCTTTCTTTCCCCAAAGTGAAAGAAAACAACGATGGCTTAGACAAGAGGACAATCAGCCGTAGTTCGGGGACTAACATCCCCTCACCTCTCTGTACACTTGTATTCATTCCAGGGTGTCCACTGCCTCTGTACTTCCAGTTTTGGTGTAGGGCTAGAGGGTAAAGGACCAATGTGATGTAAGAATGGCCACTGGATGGGTGCAGTGGCTCACGCCTGTAATCCCAACACTTTGGAAGGCTGAGGTGGGAGGCTTGCTTGAGCCCAGGAGTTCGATACAAGCCTGGGCAACATAGCAAGACCCCATTTCCACAAAAATAAATTTAAAACAATTAACCAGGCATGGTGACATGTGCCTGTAGTCCCAGGTACTCGGGGCTGAGGCAGGAAGATCACTTGAGCCCAGGAGTTCAAGGCTGCAGTGAGCCGTGATGGCACCACTGCATGGAAAAGACCCTGTCTCAAAAAAAAAAAAAAAAAAAAAAAGAAGAAGAAGAAGAAGAGTGGCTACAGAAAGCCCTGGGAGTCTTGACTGATTAGGTAAGGGTTTCAGCCAAACTCTAGAACCTCAAGCAAACTCCATTATTAAATTAAGATAGGCCCTAGATTGGATTATCCAGGTCACCCCCACTGCCAGCACACACGCAGCCTTCTCTGGGAGGAGGAATGCCTTAACTGCAGATGTGGGATTCCATCCTGACACCCAGCAGTTCTGCAAGACTGGTGGTGTATGCAGCATTCTGCCGAGGAAGCAGATGGACTGGACCAGGTTGCCAAAATGCATCGCTGTGTCTGTCTTCAGGAGGGCTATGTTGTTGCTCATGGAGTTGTTATCAAAGTCCTCATGGATGATGATGGTATTGACTGGATACTCTGTGTGAGCAATCTTGCTAGGATCCATGTTACTTATACCCACTATAACGACAATGTCCTTCCTGGAGAGAGAGCAAGGGAATCTTGAGAAGCCAAGACAGCAAGGAAGCTTCACGCTTCCCTGTTTTCCCATTTAAGTTTTTTCAGCCTGGAACACTCATCCAGCTCATATTTCCTGTGTTAATTCTTCCTCACCCCTTTGGACTCAAGTTTCTAGGAAATCTTTTATGAACCCCTAGGCTTGTGCCCTCTTTTGTGAGCCTGCAGAATCCTGGAGATTCTTTAATCTTAACACCATTTGCCCCACCACTAAAGAAAATCTGTTAACATGTTATTGCTGATTAATGTTTTTTCTATGAATAGTTTTTTTTTTTTTTACATATTGTAGTTTGCAAAAGTAGTAATTGCAGTTCTACCAAACATGTCATCTTGACTCCTGCTTTTAGTATTTACATTTTAAAACAGGCATCTTTCTTTATTATATATTCTGTAAATACATTTTGGAGAAATTGAAGTTCTAATGACAATAGAATTGAGTTGGATGTTTTCCCTTTCTCCTCTTGGGAATCACCCAAGAAACTATGAGAATGAGGAACAAATACAAACACCGTAAAACCAAGAGACGCTAAAGAATCCAAATCTCAGAGTCAAAGGAAGGGCTGATGAAAGGAAGGATGGCAGGAGTGCAAGAGTTATAGATGACACTGACTGCCACAGAGCTCAGAAAAAGCTCGTTGAGCATGTTCTCAGCAAAGAAGCGAAAAGGAAAGAAACAAGACCATGACCAAAATGAAGGCCAAATCAAAAGCAGCATAAAGGAGAATAGGGCCCACAGAAAACACAATTAGGGGCATTGAGAAATATGACCAAAATGAAATGAAAATTAGCAAAGATTTTTAAAGGCTTGAGAGGAAAATGAAAGATAAGGCCGTCACAGGAGAACCAGCTGACCACAAAGAAAGTAACCAAAATGATGAAACAGGAAAAATATTTCAAGATATAATTTAAGAAAACTTTTCAGAACTAAGACTTGAATCTATAGTTTGGAGACAGCTAACCTATCTCCAGTAGTGTTGCGTGTCCACTATCTCTATAGTTTGGAGTAGTTAACACTGAGACATAGTTCTGGTCAGGTCCCAACAGGAAATAAATGTTCTACTCAAATAAGATAAATTGGGGTGCGTTTAATAAAGGGACTCTTTACAAAGGTCTTGGCAGGATGCAGGGAAACCACAAGGACAGCGCTGGGCACTGCATGCTATAGGCAGCTCCTGCTGAGGTAACAACGCTGTGCTGACACCATCTCTGGGCTCTAGGTGAGGGGAGGATGTGATCAGACAGAGCTGTGTAGAGTGGGTCACTTAGCTGGTAAAAGCAGCCAACCAGCAGCCAATACGCAGTAGCCCTCAAAGGAATAAGGACACTGACTTCACTTTCCCCACTCCCTCTGATCTCTTGCCTCTTTTATGCATGTTGGCCAAAACCAACTGGAATCCAGAAGGCAAGAAAGACCACTGGTATAACCCATACAGGTGGTCCTCCTGGGGCCTGGCAGGGTAGAAGAGTAGAGTGGATCTGAAGGGGCAGGTGGGGGAAATCCAGCACAACTAGTAAAGTTGCTGGACTTGAGTGACAAAGAAGGAATCCTTGGACATCCAGACTAACAAAGATGAGGTCATCTTAATTAAGTTTGGCTGTATTGTCTAACCAAAGTACTGGCATTACAGGTGTGAGTTATTGCACCTGGCTGGTAGGTGATTTTAATTCACCTCTGACAGTCTAGGACAGATCAAGTAGACTTCCTTGCCCAATTTTATATATTGAATTATACACCAAGCATGGAGAATGAACTTTTTAATTTACCTGTGAAAATATTCACATAGACCACCCATAGTAGACAGACAGGACAACCTCAACAAATCCTAAATAGATCACCACGTGGTATAATTCAATAATGTTAGAAAACAAAACAAAAAACCCTAGCACCTGGACATTTTAAAACTCTGTCTTGGCCATGCATGATGGCTCATGTCTATAATCCCAGCACTTTGGGATGCCAAGGTGGGTGGATCACCTGAGACCAGGAGTTTGAGACCAGCCTGGCCATCATGGCAAAACCTCGTCTCTACTAAAAATACAAAAATTAGCTGGGCATGGTGGCATGCGCCTGTAGTCCCAGCTACTCGGGAGGCTGAGGCAAGAGGATTGCTTGAATCCAGGAGACGGAGATTGCAGTGAGCTGAGATCGCACTGCTATACTGCAGCCTAGGCAACAGAGCAAGATTGTCTCAAAAAAAAATTAAATTATATAAAATTAAAAAATAAAGCTCTGACTTTAATAAAACCCTTGAGTCAAAGAGAAAATCAAAACCAAAAGAATAGGCCAGATAGAAAATAGCCATAATGAAAACACTACATAGAAAACAGAACTTCCATGGAGGGCTAGTTGGCAGTAGCTCTCAGGATTTTAAATGCATGTCTTTCTTAGCCCAGTCTTTCTACTCCTGGGATATCTACACTATGGTACACTTGCATGTGTGTGAAATAATGCGTGTACAAGTATTTCTGTTGCAGCATTTTTGGCAGTAGTAAAAGATTGGAAACAGCCTAAATTTCCATTAACAGAGGACTGTGTAGTTATGGTACTTCCATAACAGGTTATGGTGCAGCTGAAAAAAGAATGCATTAGCCCTTTATGTACCAATAAGAAAAGGTCTCCAAAATTTATGATAAAGTGAAAAAAGGCTGTGAGTGAATTAATGTGTATGATGTGCTACCAGTTGCATTGTGGGTGTGTCGGGAGTGCGTTATGAACTCAATTGCGTTCTCTTGAAAATTTGTAGGTTGAAGTTCTAACCCCCAATTTGACCATATATTTGGAGATAGGGCCTTTAAGGAGATAATTAAGATTAAATGAGGTATAAGGAGATAATTAAGATTAAATGAGGTATAAGGCTGGGGCTGTAATCTAAGAGGACTGGTGTCCCTATAAGAAGAGAAAGAGACACCAAGAGTGCACAGGCACAGAGGGAAGGGCCATGTGAGGACACAGTGAGAGGGTGGCCATCTGCAAGCCCAGGAGAGAGGCTTCAGGAGAAACCAAATCTACTGACACCTGGATCTTAGACTTTCAGCCTCCAAAACTGTGAGAAATAAATTTCTGTTGTTTAAGCCACCCAGTCTGTGATATTTGTTATAACAGCCTAAGTAGACTAATACAAGGGGAAAGAAAATTCTCTTAATAGATATAAGAATCAATATAGCCAGACCTATAGGTATATAGATATCCATGAGTGCTTTGAGTATTTAAGAAGGAATAGGCAAGAAATTGGTGACAGAATGTGGCTCAAGGGAGAAAAACTAGTGACTGAGGGGCAGGGGAGGGAAGGAGCTGCTTTTAACTGTACGTCCTTTGGTTTCTCGTGAACATTTTACTACATACTTTTTTTTTTTTTGGACATGGAATCTCGCTCTGTCACCCAGGCTGGAGTGCAGTGGCACAATCTTAGTTCACTGCAACCTCCACCTCCCAGGTTCAAGTGATTCTCCTATCTCGGCCTTCCGAGTAGCTGTGATTACAGGTGTATGCCACTATGCCCCGGTAATTTTTGTATTTTTTAGTAGAGACAGGTTTTTGCCATGTTGATCAGGCTGGTCTCACGAGAACTCCTGACCTCAAGTGATCCGCCCGTCTCAGCCTCCCAAAGTGCTGGGATTACAGGTGTGAGCCACTGCACCCGGCTACACATGTATTTTTAATTAAAAATACAAATCCTATGTTAAACTATTCACCAGCTGCATAATATTCCATCAAGGATTTATATTATAATTTATTTAGCCAATTATAGTCATTATTCTCTCTCCCCCAATACTCTGTGTGTGTATATACGTAATTATAGATTATATACTATATGTTACATATGATATTGTATACATAGATATTCCATATACATATATACATATATTACAATATCATGTATATTACATATAATAAAGTATATAATTACATGTATAGTATACACTATATATTATGTATATATATATTTATATGTATAGCATGTATATATATGAAAAATTATAATTTCATCCCGATAGTGGGACATTAGGTTTCTTTTCAGTGTTTTGTGTGTAATTAACCATCCTAGGAACAGCTTTGTACATACAAATTTTCCAGTGGTTGAAATTATTTCCTTAATGTTGATTCCCAAAAATGAAGTCACTGGGTCAAAGAGTGAGAAATATTTACCAAAAACATTATTCTTTTAATAATATTTATGATTTTCCCTGGTTTAAAAGAATGCATATTTGTATTACAGAATTTGCAGAATACAGAGAAGCTAAAAGAAGAAAGTAGAAATCGTGCGTTCTGAGCATTCAGAGATAAGCACTCTTAAAAGCGCTTCTGTATTTTTTCCGAGGCTTTTCTCTCTGTACATGTATTTGTGGCAGTAACGTTTGTAAGGCCCAAATGTTTTAAGGTAAGGGCTCCTATTGACTGGTTGAACAGTTGATAAGTGGTAGGGACCCTAGTGTTAGGAGCCAGTGCCTCCGTGATGGCGGTAAAATCAGAAAGAATATCCCACCTGCATTGAATGGAGGACTCATCATTGCATTTTTCCGTTGCAAGGCCTGCAGTCCTCACAGCAGAGATCAGGCTTGGCAACTGGTGAATTTAGGGCTCACGACAGAGCAAGCGCTGAGCTGGTAAAAAGCCCTGTCCCCCCAGAATGCACCTTTCAGGGCCTCCCCAGGCTGAGCAGGAAACAGGGTCGCCCCCACCCTCACCCCCGGCGATGTTGCGGGCCCCAAAGGCAGGGGCACTGGCCTGTTCTGAATGGCGGATGCGATGCTGAGGACCCAGAACTCGCTCAGGATGCAGCCGAAAGCCAGGTGTGTGTACTGGGAGTCCTGCAGCGACACCACCCACGGGAACTCCATGCTGCTGACCAAGCCCTCCTTGGGGTCAGGACCGTAGAAAACGGAAGCTTTCTGGACGCCACAACCTGCGGAGCAGGTGCGGGGCCTCACTGCCGGGGCAAGGAGACCTCAGGACCCTCTCTCCTGTGGGCTGTCTGTCTCGATCATCACTAACGCTATCCGCAACCCCTTTTCTTTCTTTTGCCTAGTGTGTCTTCTTCACCCTAAAAGATGCTCAGTGGCATTTTTGAATCCCAAAATTATGTTAGACTACAAATAAAAACTCTCATCTATTGAACACATAACGGTACACATTGGCAGTGTCTGCCACCTTTCATATTCATCAGCAGTTCTCAAAGCCTGGTCTGGGACCCCTGGGAGTCCTCAACACACTTTTGGGATCTGCAAGGTTAAAGCTATTTTCATTTTCTTTTCTTTTTTTCTTTTTTGAGACAGGATCTCACTGTGTCACCCAGGCTAGAGTGCAGTGGTGGGATCATAGCTCTCTGTGGCCTCAACCTCCCGGGTTCAAGCAATTCTCCTGCCTCAGCCTCTGGAGTAGTTGTGACTACAGGCGCCTGCCACTACCCCCCGGCTAAATTCTTTTATTTTTAGTAGAGATGAGGTCTTGCTATGTTCCCAGGCTGATCTAGAGCCCCCTAGCTCAAGAGATCCTCCCTCCTCAGCCTCCCAAAGTGTTGGGATTACAGGCATGAGCCACTGCGCCCAACTTTAAAACTATTTTCATAAGAATGTGAAGACATTATTTGCATTTTTGCTCTCTTCATTAATGTATAGTAGAATTTTCCAGAGGCTCTAGGATGTCATCACTGTGATGGCTAGTAGTATGTGTGACCTTGTGTATTCCTTTTTTATTTTTTATTTTTATATTTTTTTAAGATGGAGTCCTACTCTGTCGCCCGGCTGGAGTGCAATGGTGCAATCTCGGCTCACTGCAACCTCTGCCTCCTGGGTTCAAGCGACTCCCCTGCCTCAGCCTCCTGAGTAGCTGGGATTATAGACGCATGGCACAATGCCCAGCTAATTTTTCTATTTTTAGCAGAGATGAGGTTTTGCCATGTTGGCCAGGCTGGTCTTGAACTCCTCACCTCAAGTGATCTGCTTGCCTCGGCCTCCCAAAGTGCTGGGATTACAGGAGTGAGCCACCACACCCTACCGGTGACTCCTTTTTCAGCCATGCATCCAACCACACTTGGCCCTGGCAGGTGCTGAGGTAGGGCCTGGGATTCCAAGGATGGATTTCAGGAGCCCATCAGAGTGACATGCTGAAGAGTGATGGCCATATAGAGGGATATGTGACACAGGAAGTGTGCCCAAAGTATAAGAGGAGGGGTCACGAATTCTGCCCAGGACATAAAGTCTCGGAGGGCTTCCCCCTGAGGGCAACCTTGCATATGAGCCCCAAAAACAGTTTCCAAACCATGACCCTAAGAACTGATTGTAACATATAGAATTATCATTAAAGGAGCACAGAGGACCTCTCCATGATGGAGCACATATGACCAGACATCTCCATTAATTGACACTTGATGACTTTGCTGGAACAATGACAGACTGATTTTAGCAAGATGATGTCTGGAAGGTCACTAAGTGCATCAGAACCACTAGAGACAAGATCCTTATCTTTGGTCTGAGTTCTTTTTGGGACATTGGCAATCTACGGTGCAAGGCATTTGCCAACCTTCCCTAACCCCACAAGAGTTTAGGAGTGTGTGATGACTTTTGCTTTTTCAAAGCTCTAGTTGGCTAGTTTATCTGACCTCACAAAACCCTTGGAAAGCCAAGATGTAATGAGGAAATCTGACCCAGAGATGAAATGCTTGTCTTGGCCCCTTAGCTGTGGCTTTTTAAGGAGGGAGAGGACCTTTCTGTGTTTTCTGGGTATCCCCTGGTCTCTTTGGGGCTGCAAGAAGACAGAGAGCTGCAGGAGGCTGAGGGAGCTGGAGGACTCCCCTCTATGTGTGTGCGTGTATGTGTGTGCAAGTGTGTGAGTGTGTGTGCATGTGTGTGTTTGAGAGTGTGTGTGTGCGTGTGTGTATGTGAGGGTGTGTGTGGACTTTCTCATGTCTCCCTTCTAACCCCAGGGAGGCAGGGCAGGGCGGGCTGGGACGGCAGCAAGGTGGGACAGAGCCTGCTTTAGCTAGCTGTCTCCCCTCCACCTGCCCTCTGTAGGCTGGAATTCTTAGTCCTGGGCAGCCTAGAGGTCAAGGGAGGAGGGGACCGCAGCTGCCACTTCTGCCATCTGAGGCTGTGGCTGCCTCCAAGACACCTGCAGCAGTAGAAGCCCCCTGCTCCCGGGACCAGCCCTGCAGTTGGGGGTTGTAGTTTGCAAAAGAGCAGTATTCTCCTGGAAGGACAGGGCAGGGGCTGGGAGTGAAGAGGCAGGCCTCTTGCTCACCCCTGTACCCAGAGGGCCTTATTTTCCTAACCACACTCCCACCCTAAGGATTGGCCCTGACTTTAGTTTCCTCCATCCACGTCCCATGATTCACTTCTTTGCCTGGTTCCTGCCACCAATGCAGGCCGCCCGGTGCAAAGTGCCGTGAGTCATCTTCCCTGAGCCCCTCCTTGGACATTAAGGACCACTTCATCTTCCCGGATGATCCCCTTCTGTGCCACGTGTGCAGCTAAAGTCAGAGGGAGGAAAGCAGCACACTCACTGGTGGAAGAATAGAGAAGGCCGAGCAGCACCAGGAGCACCCCTCGCATCTTGCCATCCCCAGAGAGACCCGCCGCGGACACCATGGGCAGCTGGGGAAACAAAACCCAATGACTCCATCCTCTTCCCAAACACATGCAGGGTTTTCTATGCCTCTTTTTTCCATCCTCTTCCCAAACACACATGTTCCCTCCCAAACATCAGAGGCTCCCCCTCTTTCTACTAACAAAGGTTCCAAGATGTAGGGCACTGACCTGTCTTATCCCTAGTGCTTGGTTCTGTGTGGTAAAGAGGCAGGACCAGTTGGCCCGCACTGTGGTTTGTGAGATGGCCAGAGAAGAGAGGGCAGCTTACTCTTGTCAGTTTTCTTCTCAATCCAGCCCAAGCCCCTGAGCACCCCAGAGAGTTGGGTCTCTGAAAAGGGCTGCTTTTTGACTCGTGGAATTCAACCCTTGCCTTAACTCTGTAGCCATAAAATGCTGCTGAAAGAAAAGTAGAGTTTTAGTGGAAGCCCACCCTGGGATTAATGCCTCTGCTGTGGTTTTACCCTTCTAAACTCTGCTGGCTAAAAGAACGCTAGGGCTTCTGTTAACTGTTAACAGCCTGTTTTTTTGTTTTTTATTTTATTTTATTTTTTTTGAGACTGAGTCTCGCTCCCTTGGCAGGCTGGAGTGCAGTGGCACGAGCTTGGCTCACTGCAACCTCTGCCTCCCAGGTTCAAGCGATTTTCCTGCCTCAGCTTCCTGAGTAGCTGGGACTACAGATGTGCGCCACCACGCCCAGCTAATTTTTGTATTATTTTGTAATATTTTGTAATATTTGTATTTTTAGTACAGATGGGGTTTCGTCACGTTGGCCAGGCTGGTCTCGAACTCCTGACCTCAGGTGATCCACCCGCCTCAGTCTCCCAAAGTGCTGGGATTACCAGCGTGAGCCACCGTGCCCGGCCAATAGCCTGTATCTTTACATAGGAACAGCCCCAGCATTTAGCTTAGTTCATTTGCAAAACCGCGGTAGGAAGTAGACACTCGAGTTATCGCCATTTTACAGATTCAGAAACTGATACTCAGAGACATCAACTAGCCAGTCCAAGGTCACACAGCTGTCAAGCAATGCACAGAAGCCCAAGGAACCCATGTGCACAGTTCTAAGTCACCATGTTCCACTCATGACACTGGATGCCTCTTGTCCTCAGAATGGTCCTCAGAGTTCGTCCATGAACTGTTCCTGCTCAAGGAGAAATGAACTCAGGCTGGCCTGACACAGTAGAGTTCAACAGAAGGATTTCTTCTACTGCCTTGGGAAGAATGTTCCATTGTGGCATCACGGTTACCATGGCACCACCAAGCAACTGTCTGGACATGGGGACTTACGAGGAGCTAGGATGAAAGGCCTCCTTGTTGCTTAGCCTTGGCAGGGCTCTTCTGGAAGCCAGGCTCTCTCCTAGTCTGAGAAGGCAAGCTTTTTGCTGGATTACAAAGTCTTCTCTGGTCGTGGCCACGGTCTGTCTACCCCACTCAGCGCCCGCCCTGTGTCCACACATGCTTGTCAGACTGGACTGAGGAAGCCCACAACTGGGGTGGGTTTGGAATTTCCAGTCCCCGTCAGCATCTTACACTCCCAGGGTGGTTTCTTTCAGACTTAGCCCAGTTTTCTTTAGCCTCTCAGTTTCCGGGTCCAATCTAAGCTACCAGACCAGCTCTGCCAAACCAGAGGCCCAGATGGGATCTGCCACTCCAGCCACTGTGAGCAGCTTTGGTTTCAGCCCAAATGCCAGGACTCGAGAAGTGTCGACAAGGTTGAGGTAAGATGTTAATTCCACGGAGCCACAGGGGGAGGGTGGGCGCACAGGCCTCTGGTGCAGACGCTCAGAAGATCCTTACTGGATGGGTAGATGAATGGCTGATGGAAGGCAGGAAGGCTGGTGAGAAAGTGGAAACTGGCTGGGCACGGTGGCTCACGCCTATAATCCCAGCACTTTGCGAAGCCGAGGCAGGCAAATTGCTTGAGCTCAGGAGTTTGAGGCCAGACTGGGTAACATGGTGAGACCCTGTCTTTTACCAAAAATACAAAAATTTAGCCAGGCGTGGTGGCACACACCTATAGTCCCAGGTACTCGGGAAGCTGAGGTGGAGGTTGCAGTGAGCTGAGATCGCACCACTGCACTACAGCTTGGGCGACAGAGTGACAGCCTGTCTCAAAATAATAATAATAATAATAAAGTGAGGCCTGAGTCCAAAGGGAGCCGCTACCTCCTTCCCCCATGGTTCCCCTGATGTCCTGCCGGCTTCACCACCCTCCCTCACCTTTAACCCTGGGCAGGGGGGCGGGGGTATTGGCTTCTGCTACAAGAACAGAAAATTTTTGGCAGTGGGAGAAGTGCGAGTTGATTCTTTAATTTGTTCCACATCACAGGTATCAAAAAGCTGTATTTTAAATTTTTATTTTTTATTGTTTTTAGAGACAAGTTCTTGCTCTGTTGTCCAGGCTAGAGTACAGTGGTGCAATCACAGCTCACTGCAGCCTCGAACTCCTGGGCTCAAGTGATCCTCCAGCCTCAGCCTCCCAAGTAGCTGGAACTACAGGCCTGTGCCACCAAGTCTGGCTAATTTTTCATATTATATTTTTTTGAAGAGATGGGGTCTCACTGTGTTGCCCACGCTGGTCTCGAACTCTTGGGCTCAAGTGATCCTCCCACCTAAACCTCCCAAAGCATTAGCCATTATATAGATATGAGCCACTGCACCCGGCCCTCAAAGAGCTTTCATTACCATATGTTTCCTCCCTCACAATCCCCAGTCACCCTGGCAGGACAAAGGCATTTCCTGAGCTTTCCAGGTGAGAACGTGGTGGCCCAGAATGTGTTTCTCATTCAGTTGTTCTTTGCTTAATACCCGTATCCAGCCGGGCACGGTGGCTCTCACCTGTAATCCCAGCACTTTGGGAGGCCGAGACAGGCGGATCACGAGGTCAGGAGATCGAGACCATCCTGGCTAACACGGTGAAACCCTGTCTCCACTTAAGACCAGAAGTCTTAATTTTCATGAACTCACATGTATTCATCTTATTCAGTTAGGACTCTTTGTGTCTTGTTTAAGAAATTCTTCCGTAGCTCAGCATCAGAGATCTAGTCTACTCTATCTTCTTCTCAAACCCTTGAAGTCTTGTTTTTCACATGTAAGTCCTCAACTGTATGGATTCATTTTTTGTGCATGGTGTGGATACTTAGTTATGCCAGCATCATTTGTCACAAGTCTCCAATGTGACTCCAGCACATATCAAAGTATAAATTTCTTTGTTGAACTTCTCTTTGTACTTAGTTTTCTAGTTTATTATTTTCTGCCCTTATCTTTTATTGTCTGTTTTCTTCTACCTTCTTTGAGTTTGTGTTATTTTCCTAATTTTTTTTTTTTTTAGACAGAGTGTCGCTCTGTTGCCCAGGCTAGAGTGCAGTGGCATGATCTCGGCTGACTGCAACCTCCACCTCCCAGATTTAAGCAATTCTCCCGCCTCAGCCTCCTGGCTAATTTTTGTATTTTTAGTAGAGACAGGGTTTCACCATGTTGATCAGACTGGTTTCGAACTCTTGACCTCGTGATCCACCCACCTCGACCTCCCAAAGTGCTGGGATTATAGGCAGGAGCCACCATGCCCGGCCTATTTTCTAAAATTTTTAGCTGGCATTTAGTGTGTTAACTTTAGCCCTCCTTTCTAATATAAGTCTTTAAGGCACTGTATTTCCCCTAAGTACCATTTCTCTGTAGCTCTTAACTTTTGATACCTTGTGATTTCCTTATCATTCAGTTCTATTTTTACATTTCCATTGTGATTATTGTTTGACTCTTGAGCTACTTACAAATGTGTTCTTAAATTTCCCAAACATATGACTAGTTTTATTTACCTTTTTGATACAGACTTCTAACCCAGTTGGTTGGAGAATGTGATCTGTGTAATACAAATCTTCAAAATCTCTGAGACGTGCTTTGTGGCCTAATATGTGATAAGAATTGTTGTACCTGTACCATGTTTGCTTGAGGAAAATGTACTGTCAGTATCTGTCAATTATCCTCCAACTTGTTGACTGTGCTATTCAAATTTTCTGAATTATTCCTGATTTTTTGTCTGCTTGACCTATCGATCATTCAGAAAGGTGCCTCCTATTATACTAGTGTATTTGCCCATTTCTCCCTATAGTTATAGCAATTTTTGCTTTATGTGTTTTGAAGCCATTTTCACCCAGATACACAAGTTTAGAATTGTCAACTATTCTTGGTAAATTGAACTATGGTTGATTCTCATTATTCGCTGTAGCTATGTTTTATAAAGTCCTGACAAACACTGAATTAATGAGTACTGAACTTTTGTTCCTTGGGGAAATAACAAGAGTAGGTTCCTGAAAGCCTCTGGTCACAACAGTTTTATAAAATGGAGTACAATGATGCGATCTCGGCTCACTGCAACCTCAACGTCCTGGGCTCAAGTGATCCTCCTGGATAATTTTTTTTTTTTTTTTTTGTAGAGACAGGGTTTTGCCCAGGCTGGTCTTGAACTCTTGAGCTCAAGCGATCCACCTGCTTCAGGCTCCCACAGTGCTGGGATTATAGGTGTGAGCCACCGTGCTGGGCCTCTGTCTTTTTAATTGATACGCATACTCCTCTTATGTTTATTGGGATTATTGATTTATTTTTTCTGCTCCTCTTCCTCCTCCCACCTCTCACCCTCAAGAAGGCCCCAGTGTCTGTTGCCCCCCTCTTGGTGTCCATGTATTCTCACCATTTAGCTCCCACTTATAAGTGAGAACATGCGGTATTTGATTTTCTGTTCCTGCATTGGTTTGCTAAGGATAATGGCCTCCAGCTCCATCCGTTTGTTTCTGCAAAAGACATGGTATCATTCTTTTTTATGGTTGCATGGTATTCCATTGTGTATATTCCATGGTATATATGTACCACATTTTTAAAATCCAATCTATCATTGATGGGAATTTAGGTTGATTCCATGTCTTTGCTACTGTGAATAGTGCTGCAATGAACATTCGAAATGCACATTTAACTTAATCACCTCTAACATTAATTACTATCTTAACTCTTTCATGATAATACGACAAGCTTAAAATACTTTAAACTTCTGCTCATGCTCTCGTTCCATATTTTAGTTCCATACATTATACTTTATCATTTTATTCAGATAATAATTATTTAGATTTGAGTATCTCTTCCATGAATAGTCTTTAGAAATTTTAGTACAAGCTTCTTGATGACAAATGTTTTTGTTTTTCCTAATGTAAAAATGTATTTTTTTGTATCCCTTTCTGAAAAATGGTTTTGTGGGTATACAACTCTAGGTTAAGAGTTATTTTCTCTCAGTTCTCTGGAGGTGCTTTTTCTCTGTCTTCTGAGTACCATTGTTTAAGGTCTCCCTGAAATCCAATTGTTTTTCCATTATGGGTGCTCTGTCCTTTTCCTCTGGCCCCTGTTAAGAACTTCTTTCATTTTTGGTGTACTATGGTTTTACTATGATACTTTAAGCATTAATTTATTTTTAGTTTATTATTGTAGGATATATTATGCTTTCTAGCTTTGTGTATTTATATTTTTTCATAAGTTCTGAAACAATCTCAGCCATTATCTTTGCAAATATTGCCTCTTCTTCAGGCTCTCTATTCTTTACTTTTGGGATTTCAAATAGATATATGTTAGACTTTCTCATTCCATCCTTCATATATCTCATCAAAGCCTTCATATTTTAATTTTTTATCACTTTGTGTTGCATTTTGGGTGATTACTGTAGACATATCTTCCAGTTTATTAATTCTCTCTTCATCTTTGTCTAATTTTCTGTTCAACCATCCTCTGGAGGTTTTTAAAAATTCAACATTCAATTTTTTTTATTTCTAGAAGACATGTTTTTAAATCTCCCTGTTTGTTTCTGGTTGCATCTTGTCAGGAGCTCATCTGTGTCATTACATCCATTATTTCTGCAACCATTTCATATATATCTGCTCTATATTTGGTATTCGACAGTTCCAAGATCTGCTATTTGGGGGAGAGGGGGATTCCAAATGTTTTTAGTTTCATCTACTCTCACACAATGTGGCTTGCATTTCCTGTGTGCCTTCCTAATAATTGTGAATTCATTTTTTGTTCCTAATATAGGGCTCTAACTTGGATACACTTTCTTCCAGACAGAAGTTGCTTCTGCCTCTACTGGTCACCAGAGGGCGCCACTAACCAGGGACTGTGGCTTGGCTTCCTACCCTCTCTGCTGGTAAAGTGTTTTAACAGCTGTGCTGCTGCCCCTAAGGCAACCCCTCCTCTCCCAGAGGTTAGCAGCTCATTTTTCTTGGAATCTTCTCCTAAAGTTAGTGGGAGCAAGGATAACTCAAAGGGTGTGTCCTCTGCACTGTTTTGCAGTGAGAGGTCATCTCAGATCACCTAGTCTGCAGTGATGCTCAAAGCTGAAGGGGCTGAGCCTCACAACATAGTACACACTCAAAGCTGGACTAATGGATGCCCAGTCGAGCAAAACATAATTTCCAGGTAGTCATCGTGCTTCCTGTTTGTACTTTTGGATTTTTGGTTTCTATTGTTTGGCTTTATTCACTCAAATTTTTGGCTGCTTGCTTGAACTCATCCTACTCTCAGATTCATATGTCCCAGTGAAAGTGATTCACATTAGAGTCTCAGCCACTCTTTTTCTGAGTTACAGTATTTACACTTCTGTTTTTCATCACTGTTTTTACACTTCACTGAACCTCTTTTAACCTTCCCCTCATTTTTGTGAGTTGGGGCTATAATGCCATGCAGAGCTGATAGTCCCACAGGCCCAGGGTAAACCTGCAACCAACCCTACCAGATTCCCTCATCTCTGGAATTTGAGTCTTGAGCCAAGGGACAAAAAGAGTGTAACAGCTGGAGCTGCCACGCTAGGCCAACAGCAGGTTCTTTGGCTCCACTGCCACATCAGGAGCTCTTCCCTGTCCTGTCCTCCCTGAGAGTTGGAGCTTCTATGTTCTATCTCAAATCCCACCAGCACATTTCTTTTCTGCATGCTAGTCAGAGACAGTTTGTGTTGCTTCTGACCAAAAAAACCCTTACTGATCCACGGGTCTTGTGCTTGGAGTATCTTTCATGCCTAAACATTTTAATTCCAAGTCTGATCAATGACTAGTGCCAGTAAGGTCTTTTCAACAATAAAAAGAGCAGCAGTCATTGGAAAACAATTATTTGTTAGAGTAGACTTGTGTTTCATCATGGTTAATGTTCATAGAGTTTTTATAAAAACACATTGTGGAACATTTTGTATATACAAAAGAATACATTTAATGTATATCAATAACAGCATAAACACAAAAGCAACAACATTCTGAGGTACCTGCAACCCAGTTTATGAATTATGTTAGAACATCACCACGGAGTATATATGAAGCCCCTTGTTGGCCCTTCCCCATCATGTTCCTCTTCCTCTCCAAGGAGAACAGCACAGGTTTCTTTCATTCACCATCATCTAGTAGGATTTACCTCTGGAATGCAAGGATGGTTCATCAACCACAAGTCTATAAATCTGATATACCACATTAACAGAATGAAGCATAGAAATTGTTATCATCTCGATACATGGAGAAAAGCATTTAATAAAATTCAACACCCTTTCATGATTAAAAAAACTCACAACAAATTAAGTATAGAAGGAATATAGCTCAATATAATAAAAGTCATATTATGAGATAATATTATTATCAAGCCCACAACTAATATCATACTCAACAGTGAAAAGCTGAAAGCTTTTCCTCTAGGATCAGGAACAAGACAAGGATGCCCACTTTTACCGTTTCAATTAAATATATTAATAGTACTGGAGGTCCTAGCCAGAACAACTAGGCAAGAAAAAGAAATAAAAAGCATCCAGATCAGAAAGAAAGAAGTAAAGTTGTCTTTGTTGGCAGATGACATGACTTTATATATATAGAAAACCCTAAATATTCTACCAAAAAAATGTTAGGTTTGAGCCTCAGGAAAGGAGAAAACAAAAAAAACCTGTTAGGACTAATAAACAAATTCAGTAGAGTGGCAGGATACAAAATCAACATACAAAAACCAGTAGCATTTCTGTCCACTAAGAATAAACTATCTAAAAAAGAAATCAAGAAAACAATCCCATGTATAATAGCATAAAAATTACTTAGGAATAAATTTAACTAAGGAGGTGAATGATCTGTATGCTAAAAACTATAAAATGTTGCTGAAAAAAATGAAGAAGACACAAATGAATGGAAAGATACCCCATATTCATGGATTGAAAGAATTAATATTGTTAAAAGTTCCACGTAATCTATAGATCAAATGCAATCCCTATCAAAATTCCAATGACATTTTTCTTTTCTTTTTTTTTAAATATATAAACAAAAGAGGTTTAATTGACTCACAGTTCTGCATGGCTGGGGATGCCTCAGGAAACTTACAATCATGGTGGAGGGCCAAGGGGAAGCAAGGCATGTCTTACATGGCATCAGGAGAGAGCTCCAGTGACATTTTTCATACAAATGGAAAAAAAATCCTAAAATTGGTATGGAACCACAGAAGACCCTGAATAGCCAAAGCAATCTTAAGCAAAAAGAACAAAGCTGGAGACGTCATACTATCTGACTTCAAAATATATGTATGGTACCATAAAATAGACATATAGACCAATAGAATAGAATAGAGCACCCAGAAATAAATTTGTACATTTATGGTCAATTTATCTTCAGCGAAGATGGCAAGAACATGCAATAGGAAAAGAATAGTCTTTTCAATAAATGGTCTTGGGAAAATTGGATGTCTACATGTAGAAGAATAAAATTAGGCCATTATCTCATGCCACATAAAAATAAATTCAAAATGGATTAGAGACTTAAACTTAAGACCTGAAACTATAAAACTATTAGACAAAAACATAGAGGAAAAGCTTCTTGACATTGGCCTGGGTGATGATTTTTTGGATTTGACTTGAAAACACAGGCAACAAAAGCCAAAATAGACAAATGAGATTGCATCAAACTAAAAAGTGTTTTTGTTTATTTGTTTGTTTGTTTGTTTTTCACAAGAAAGAAAACAAAACAGGGCCAGGCACGGTGGCTCACACCTGTAATCCCAGCACTTTGGTAGGCCGAGGTGGGCGGATCACCTGAGGTTGGGAGTTTGAGACCAGCCTGACCAACATGGAGAAACCCTGTCTCTACTAAAAATACAAAATTAGCCGGGCGTGGTGGCGCATGCCTGTAATCCCAGCTACTCGGGAGGCTGAGGCAGGCGAATAGCTTGAACCTGGGAGGCAGAGGTTGCGGTGAGCCGAGATCGCACCATTGCACTCCAGCCTGAGCAACAAGAGCGAAGACTCCATCTCAAAAAAAAAAAAAAAAAAAAGATAAAATACCAACAGAGTAAAGAGACAACTATGAAATGGGAAAAAATATTTTCAAACCATACATTCTGATAAGAGGTTAATATCCAAAATACATAAGAAACTCAAACAACTCAATAACAAGAAAATAAATCACCCAATTAAAAAATTGACAAAGAACCTGAAATAGGTATTTCTCAAAAGAAGACACACAAATGGCCCACAGGTATATGGAAAAAATGTTCAACATCACTAATCATCAGAGAAATGCAAATCAAAACTATAAATCATCTCACACCTGTTATTATCAAAAAGACAAAAACTAACAAGTGTTGGCAAGGATGTGGAAAAAAAGGAAATCTTGTACACTATTGGTGGGAATATAAAACCCATTATGGGAAGGAATATGGAAGTTCCTCAAAATATTAAAAATAGAACTACCCTATGATCTAGTAATCCCACTTCTGGGTGTGTATACAAATGAAATCACTGTGTCAATGAGATATCTGCACTCCTGTGTTCATTGCAGCATTATTCACAATAGCCAAGATATGAAAGCAACCTAAGTGTTCATCAATGGATAAATGGATTTAAAAAAACCCGTAGTACATATACACACAATAGAATGCTATTCAGCCTTAAGAAAGAAGAAAATTCATTTTCTTTCTTTTTTTTAAACATGGATATGTTCTTTAGTGGTGATTTCTGAGATTTTGGTGCACCCATCACCTGAACAGTATGCACTGTACCCAATGTGTAGTCTTTTATCCCTCACTGCCCCTTTTCCCTGAGTCCCCAAAGTCCACTGTATCATTCTTATGCCTTTGCATCCACATAGATCAGCTCCCAGTTATAAGTGAGAACATACGATGCTTGGTTTTCCATTCCTGAGTTACTTCACTTAGAATAATGGTCTCCAATTCCATCCAGGTTGCTGCGAATGCTCATTATTTCCTTCCTTTTTATCCACTCATATATATATATATATATATATATATATATATATATATATATATGCACACACACACATATATATGTATGTATGTATATATATAACATTTTATATATTATCTATATCTATATATAGATAGATAGATATAACATTTTCTTTATCCACTTTGGGTTGGTTCCATATTTTTGCAATTTTAAATTGTGCTGCTATAAACATGCATATGCAAGTATCTCTTTTGTATAATGACTTCTTTTCCTCTGGGTAGATACTCAGTAGTGGCATTGCTGGATCAAATGGTAGATCTACTTTTAGTTCTTTAAGGAATCTTCGCTCTGCTTTCCATAGTGGAAAGTTTACATTCCAACTAATGGTGTAAAAGTGTTCCCTTTTTACCACATTTGCACCAACATCTATTAATTTTTGATTTTTTTATTACAGCTATTCTTGCAGGAGTAAGGTGGTATTGCATTGTGGGTTTTGATTTGCATTTCCCCGATAATTAGTGATGTTGAGCTTTTTTTCATATGTTTGTTGGTCGTTTGTATATCTTCTTTTGAGAATTGTCTGTTCATGTTCTTAGCCTACTTTTTGATGGGATTGTTTGTTTTTTTCTTGATGATTTCTTTGAGTTCCTTGTAGATTCTGGATATTAGTCCTTTGTCAGATGCATAGCTTGCAAAGATTTTCTCTCACTCTGTGGGTTGTCTGTTTACTCTGCTAATTATTATTATTATCATCATTATTATTATTTTGTTGTGCAGAAGCTTTTTAGTTTAATTAAGTCCCATCTATTTAACTTTGTTTTTGTTGCATTTGCTTTGGATTCTTGATCAATAAGTCTTTGCCTAATACAATGTCTAGAAGGGTTTTTCTGATGTTATCTTCTAGGATTTTTATGGTTTCAGGTCTTATATTTAAGTCTTTGATCCATATTGAGTTGACTTTTGTATAAGGTGAAAGATGAGGATGCAGTTTCATTCTTCTACATGTGGCTTGCCAATTATCCCAGCACCATTTGTTGAATAGGATGTCCTTTCTCTACTTTATGTTTTCATTTGCTTTGTTGAAGATCAGTTGGCTGTAAGTATTTGGCTTTGTTTCTGGGTTCTTTATTCTGTTCCATTGGTCTGTGTGCCTATTTTTATACCAGTACCATGCTGTTTTGGTGACTATAGCCTGATAGTATAGTTTGAAGCTGGGTAATGTGATGCCTCCAGGTTTGTTCTTTTTGCTTAGTCTTGCTTTGGCTATGTGGGCTCTTTTTTGGTTCCATATGAATTTTAGGATTGTTTTTTTCTGTTCTGCGAAGAATGATGGTGGCATTCTCATGGGCATTGCATTAAATTTGTAGATTGCTTTTGGCAGTTTGGTCATTTTCACAGTATTGATTCTACCCATCCATGAGTATGGGATATGTTTCCATTTGTTTGTGTCATCTATTATTTCTTTCAGCAGCGTTTTGTAGTTTTCCTTGTAGAGGTCTTTTGCCTCCTTGGTTAGGTATATTCCTAAGTATTTTAGTTTTTTGTAGCTATTATAGCTATTGTAAAAGGGGTTGAGTCCTTAATTTGATTCTCGGCTTGGTCATTGTTGGTGTAAAGCAGTGCTACTAATTTGTGTACATTAATTTTGTACCTGAAACTTTACTGAATTCATTTATTAGTTCCAGGAGCTTTTTAAATGAGTCTTTAGGGTTTTCTAGGTATATAATCATATGATCAGCAAACAGTGACAGTTTGACTTCCACTTTACTGATTTAAAGTGGAGAGAAATAAAGAAATAAATATCTCCTTTAAAGAAATAAAGAGCATCTCTTGTCTGATTGCTCTGCCTAGAACTTCCAGTACTGTGTTGAATAGAAGTGGTGAAAGTGTGCATCCTTGTCTTGTTCCAGTTCTCAGAGGTAATGCTCTCAATTTTTCCCATTAAGTATAATGTTGGCTATGGGTTTAGAAAATTCATTTTCAACTGCATGAACGAATCTGTAGGATATTATGCTAAATGAAATAAGCCAGACACAGAGTGACAAATGCTGAGTGATCTTGTTGATATGTGGAATCTAAAAAAATCGAACTCAGGAGCAGAGAACACAATGGTGGTTGCCAGGGGCTGGGGGTGGGGACCTGGGGAGATGTTGCTCAAAGAGTACAAAAATTTGAGTTAGGTAGGATGAATACCTGGAGATCTATTGTACAATATGGTTGCTATAGTTAATAATAACGTATTATGTTATTGAAAATTACTGAGAGGAGATATTGAATGTTCTCACCACACACAAAGATAACTATGTGAGGTCATGGATATGTTAATTTACTTAATTGTGGTATAATCATTTCACAACATATACATATATTTAAGATCACATTGTGCACTGTAAATATACACAATTTTTTTTTTTTTTTGAGATTGAGTCTTGCTCTGTCAACAGGCTGGAGTACAGTGGCGCCATCTCCTGGCTCACTGCAACTTCCACCTACCTGGTTCAAGTGATTCTCCTGCCTCAGCCTCCCCAGTAGCTGAGATTACAGGAGTGCACCACCATGCCCAGCTAATTTTTGTATTTTTAGTAGGGACGAGGTTTCTCCATGTTGGCCAGGCTGGTCTCAAACTCCTGACCTCAGGTGAGCCACGTGCCTTGGCCTCCCAAAATGCTGAGATTATAAGCGTGAGCTACCATGCCTGGCCAAATATACACACTTTTCATTTGTCAATTATACCTCAATAAAGCTGAGAAAAAATAAAAGGACAAAAAAGGAGATTCTAATAAATAATATAATATAATAAATTCCTCTAACGTTTCAAAAAAAAAGAAAGAAATTGACATTATTGGTGAAGGTGAAGTCTCTAGCATGGCCGAGACAGGCAGCCTTTTTCCCTTCTCCCTCCCCAAGGTCATCACTACAACAACAACACTGCTGTTTTTACACTTTTACTACAAATTACATGTATCCATAAACAACATGCTGCATTGTGTGTGTTTTTTAAATGGGCTCACACCATACATATCATTCTGCTGCTTGCTCTTTTTTTTTTCTTTTTTCTTTTTTGAGATGAAGTCTCATTCTGTCACCCAGGCTGCAGTGCAGTGGCAAATCGGCTCACTGCAACCTCTGCCTCCCAGGTTCAAGCAATTTTCCTGCCTCAGCCTCCCAAGTAGCTGGGATTACAGGTGCCTGCCACCACGCCTGGCTAATTTTTTGTATTTTTAGTTGAGATGGGGTTTCACCATGTTGGCCAGGCTGGTCTCAAACTCCTGACTTCAAGTGATTCGCCTGCCCCGGCCTCCCAAAGTGCTGGGATTACAGTTGTGAGCCACCATGCCCGGCCTACTGCTTGCTCTTTCATCATTATTTCAAGATTTAGTCCATTCATTTTCATTGCTGTCAAGTATTCTATCCCATAAACACACCTCAATTTATTGATTCATTCCCCTGCCCATGGACATTTGCATTGTTGCCAATTTCTAAAATATTAACAAATAATCCTGTAGTAAACATTGTTGTACCATTATCCATATGCAAGTGTAAAGGATGTAAACCAAAAATAAAATTCTAAGCTTGCTAACCATCTGAATGGACAGGGCATTCCAAAGTTAACCTGAAAAACTAGCTCAGGCCATGATGGGAAGAGGGAGTCAGACAGGCCTCATTATACCTTTCTGTCTTGGAATTCAGACCCAGCTGACCAGTACTGATATCAACACAGACCTTAAGACTGATAGAACAGACTCTTTAAGTCTGATAAGAAACATTTACAATCTATTCTTTCTGAAGCCTGCTATCTGGAGGCTTCATCTGCATAAAACCTTGGTCTCTACAACCCCTATTATAACCCAGACATTCCTTCCTATTGATTCCAGGTCTTTAGATAATAACTCTTTCAACCAATTGCCAATCAGAAAATCTTTGAATCTGCCTATGACCTTGAAGCTTTGAAATTATTGGTAAAGTAATATTAGGAATGTCTTAAGAATTGTCAGCATTTTTTGTTTGCATTTATTAAGCAGTTTCATACTTATCTCTGCTAAACACTACACTGTGTCAAAATTTGACATAAGGGCTAGAAAAGTATGAAACCAGCCCATGACAGAATGATTCTTTGCTTGTGTAATTTTTTTTTTTTTTTTTTTGAGAGAGAGTCTCCCTCTGCTGCCCAGGCTAGAGGGCAGTGGTGCAATCTTGGCTCACTGCAACCTTAGCCTCCCAGGTTCAAGCGTCTCCTGCCTCGGCCTACCGAGTAGCTGGGACTACAGGCACGTGCCACCACACCTGGATAATTGTTGTGTTTTTAGTAGAGACAGGGTTTTGCAATGTTGGCCAGGCTGGTCTCAAACTCCTGACCTCAGGTGACCCACCCACCTCAGGCTCCCAAAGTGCTGGGATTACAGGTGTGAGCCACTGCACCTGCCCTGCTTGTGTAATTTTTGATAAATAAGACATCTAATATCACTGGTTCAATGAAAACAACTAAATCCTATGTTATTGGTAAAATGCCCATATATTTAACCTTAAGTTTTTTACTTAGATAAACAGTGAAATTCACAGGCCATAAAGGTTGTTAAGAGAAAAATAACTTTAAATGATGACTATCACAGTTTTCATAATAATCTAGGTAAACTATTAAAAACAAAATAAGTAATCAGGTAAATGTAATAGAATAAATGCTTGTAAACAAATGTCATATAATATAGAATCTAAGGTTATATTAAAAAATATTCATTAAATTTCTGAGTAATTTCAAATTTAAAAGATTATAGGAAAACCTTTTTCTAAAAAAAGTATACTCTTGTTAAAAGGTAAATAATTTCTGTCTAATTCAAAGGTCATTTAAAGGTTATATATAAAACAAGGTGAAAAGAACCAGAAAAATAACTTTATATCTATATCTTTTTATATCTATAACTTTCTTTATAGTTTACTTTCTTTATAGGTACTTTTGGTAAGAAAGGTTAAAAGAAAAATAACTTTGTATGACAGAGAATTGTATATTGCAAATTTTTGTCTTAAAATAAAATGACTGGTTGTTTAAAAAAGAGGGATGTTGGCCAAGCACAGTGGCTCATGCCTGTAATCCTAGCACTTTGGAGGGCCGAGGCAGGCAGATCAACTGAGGTCAGAAGTTCAAGACCAGCCTGGCCAACATGGCAAAACCCCATGTCTACTAAAAATACAAAAATTAGCCAGGCTTGGTGGTGGGCACCTGTAATCCCAGCTACTCAGGAGGCTGAGGTGTGAGAATCACTTGAATGAGACATGAGAATCACTTGAACCCGGGAGGCGGAGGTTGCAATGAGCCAAGATCGCGTCACTGCATTCCAGCCTGGGTGACAGAGCCAGACTCCATCTCAAAAAAAAAAAAAAAAAAAGAAAAAGAAAGAGGGATGTTTAGGACAAACCAGAAAGCCCAAGCATGTTATGAATGATTGTGTAAGTTGTAATAAGGTTAGTAAAAAAGGAATTTTTTTTTTTTTTTTTTTTTTGAGATGGAGTCTCACTCTGTTGCCTGGGCTGGAGTGCAGTGGTGCGATCTTGGTTTACTGTAAGCTCTGCCTCCTGGGTTCATGCCATTCTCCTGCTTCAGCCTCCCGAGTAGCTGGGACTACAGGCGCCTGCCACCATGCCCAGCTAATTTTTTTGTATTTTTTTTAGTAAAGACGGGGTTTCACCGTGTTAGCCAGGATGGTCTGGATCTCCTGACCTCGTGATCCACCTGCCTTGGCCTCCCAAAGTGTTGGGATTACAGGCATGAGCCAACATGCCTAGCCAAAAAGGAATTTATTTTTAAAATGTTATGATTAAGTTGGCTATAATTAAAAGGGAAATATATGGCCAGGTGTAGTGGCTCATGCCTGTAATCCCAGCACTTTGGGAGGCTGAGGTGGGTGGATCACCTGAGGTCAGGAGTTCGAGACCAACCTGGCAAAACCTGGTGAAACTCCGTCTCTACTAAATATACAAAAATTAGCTGGGCGTGGTGGCAGGCGCCTGTAATCCCAACTACTCAGGAGGCTGAGGCAGGAGAATCACTTGAACCCTGGAGGCGGAGGTTGCAGTGAGCTGAGATCATGCCATTGTGCTCCAGCCTGAGTGACAGAGCAAGACTCCATCACAAAAAAAAAAAAATTGGGAAATATGTCTTTCTAGAAATTGGACTTTGATATCAAAAATACACCAATACAAAACTAAAGGATTGGTTAGAATAAGATTTTATTTAAAATATTGACTTATTCTTAATGCAAGAAGTTTTAAATTTTTAAATTCCATAACCTTTTTCTTTTTGAAAATTCTTCAGATTGATATCTCATAAGTTCAATTTCTGCCGTACTCCACTGCCTCAGCTCTTTCTCTCTTTTGAGAAGGCCTGGGATGGGAACTCTCTCTTTCAACTTTTGTTGGCTCCTATAATTTTTTTTTTTAAATAGTCTAATGTAAGGGAGATAATTTTGGAAACAGGCAAATGAAAAATCTTATGGGATCTGCCTTTGTATGTCTGCTATGTCTATATGCTTGTATGTGTCATGTGGAAGTAAGATTTCACTACCAAACTATAAAAAGAGCTCTAATCAGTTGGCTTAAAATAAGTGTTTATCAGACTAATAACAGCTAGCTCAGATGCCTTTTAGTTCACATGACTTTAGTAATATTTGGTAAGATTAATTTGGTAAATATAATTGCAAACATTTTCTTCAGTAGTTTAAAATCTTAAAGTCACGTTATGTTAAATTAAGTAATCCTCTGTTTTTCTCACCGGTAATTTGGGTTACTAAGAGTTAAAATCATAGAAAAATAAAATGTGTTTTGGGTAAAGTTTATAAAAACACAGGATGTGGTTTTTGTTAAAGAAAATGTAATTTTTTATTTTAGTTTAGAGGATATTTATTTAAGTAAAGGGAAAATTATATACATAAAACTAAATGAATAAAGAGAAATTTTTAAAGGTGAGATATGAGAAACCTTTGACTCTTGGGTGGCCACATGGTCAACCCATCTTTAGGGGCTGCAGCTGGGCTGCATTCATTTACTAAAGGTAAAGGTTACTGTGGAATTTAGAGATGGATCATACTCCTACTCCCAGGAAGTTAGTTCACTGGATGCATAAGGAAATGCAGACTAATAAGGAAAAAACAAAATATTCAACTGGCTATTGTTATCTGTAATAGCCAAAATGAAAGTCAAAGAGAGCTGAATTGGGCCTTAAGGCTGGACCAAGCTCAGATGTGGGTCTCTCTCAGGTCAGGCCACTAGCCCCTTAGCTACCCACAAAAGTTAAGATTAAGCCAGGGCAACAAGAGTTACCTCTGAGACCTGTAGTTATTATACCAAGATGATAGTCAGTGTGGGGGAAGGGCAAAACCAAGTAACTATTAAAATCAGAGGATATAATGTAAAATAATTGTTCCACTTTGTAGATTGGTATTATCAGTTTCCTGAGAAACCTTTACTGTAATGGGTTATAAAAATAACTACTTTAAGGACCATATCTATAATTTCAAATGCTACAGAATGAAAGAGCATGTTTGGGTTGATGCAGGACCCACAGCTCACTATTGAACAACCTCTGATGAGTATATGTGATTCAGACACATAGGAGGTTATTCCTGAGAGAACAACCAGCCCAGTAGACTGGATAAATGCCACTGTAAGGTCTGTTTACCCTGAGAAGTGGACTTCCTAACTTTCCCTATAAAATGCCATGTGGAGCACCCCAGATGAAGCAGCTGGTATGCTTCATATGCAAACCATGTGGGCCTGGCTTTATGGTGATCAGGATATTCTCCCAGTGAATATGCCTTTCCCAGGTCATGGTAAATGCCATGGTTAGGGGGCCCCTTCTACATGGGAACCCCAGGTGACATTACTCCTGCACAACCAAACGACTGATTGAGAAGCCTTACCAAATTTGCTGTCCCTCATGGGTCTTATAGATGCTAATAAAACATTAATTAACAAAAAAAATGGGAAAGGCAAAAGAAACTCAAAAGACTAGTTCTAGAAGGGTGAAAATCTTTAGATGGCCATTAAGAAATGAAATAAATAAAATGAAAATTGATGGAGGTTAAAACAAAGGTCTTTATAACACTTACCAAAGCTTGGGTGGACCAAAGGGAGCCACTACTGGTCTCCCAATGTTACTGGAAAGGGGTCCGGATCCAGACCCCAAGAGGGCATTCTTGGATCCCATGCAAGAAAGAATTCAAGGTGAGTCCATAGTGTAAAGTGAAAGCAAGTTTATTGAGAAAGTAAAGGAATAAAGAATGGCTATGCCATAGTCAGAGCAGACCCGAGGGCTGTTGGTTGCCCATTTTTATGGTTATTTCTTGATGATATGCTATACAAGGGGTGGATTATTCATGCTTCCCCTTTTTAGACCACATAGGGTAACTTCCTGATGTTGCCATGGCATCTGTAAGCTGTCATGGCGCTGGTGGGAGTGTAGCAGTGAAGATGACCAGAGGTCACTCTCGTCACCATCTTGGTTTTGGTGGGTTTTAGCCGGCTTCTTTAAAGCAACCTGTTTTATCAGCAGGGTCTTTATGACCTGTATCTTGTGCTGACCTCCTGTCTCATCCTGTGACTAAGAATGCCTTAATCTCCTACGAATGCAGCCCAGCAGGTCTCAGCCTCATTTTACCCAGCCCCTATTAAAGATGGAGTAGCTCTGGTTCAAACGCCTGTGACACCAACATTCAAGGGCCCCACACTAGTTTTCTGCATGTTCCCCAGATTGGGGAGATTTGAGAAAAATCAAGAGGCAAAGGTTATAATGAGAAAGCTGACATTGCCTGGAGCAATACTGACACAAATTAAGATAAAAAATTGACAAAAGAGTCTGAGTCCGTTGGCTCAACTCCCTGCTGGGAACCCAAGTCCTTTTTCACCAGAAAAGGTAAAATAATTTGGGGGTGGAGAAGAAAAGTCCCTGGTACCAGAACATAAGAATGTGAAGATTTACAGGATTATGAAATTTGAGATGTTTAAACAGGCTTTATGTAATATAGTTGCAACTCCCTTATCTAAATGTCTTATGAAAATGGGTATCGTATCTGACTGGGGGATGTTTCTCCTACCTAGTACTATAAAACTGAAGGCATGTAAATCTACCTGTATTAGTCTGTTTTTACACTACTAATAATGACATACATAAGACTGGGTAATTTATAAAGGAAAGAGGTTTAATGGACTCACAGTTCCACATGGCTCAGGAGGACTCACAATCATGGCGGAAGGTGAAGGAGGAGCAAAATCATGTCTTACATGGCAGCAGGCAAAGAGAGCGTGTGCAAGGGAACTCCACTTTATAAAACCATCAGATCTCATGAGACTTATTCACTATCAGGAGAACAGCACAGGAAAGACCCACCCCTGTGATTCAATTACCTCCCATGATATCCCTCCCACGACACGTAGGAATTATGGGGGCTACAATTCAAGATGAGATTTGGGTGGGGACACAGCCAAACCATATCACTGCCCTTGGAGAAATGTTCATTGGACGTGCTAAATGGGAACTAGTAAGATTGCCTGAGCCCACAGAATATTGGGTAAAAGCTGGAGTACTGGTTGGGACAAATCCTCCACTGGTGGCTCTTTGTGGAGTGTTCACTGGGGCTTATGGCAAAAGCTGTGAGCACCTCCCAATGACAACTACTGAGACTCGAGTAGAGAATTTCCACTTGAGGTACATTTACTGCCTTGATATGGGATGTTAACTGAAACTTCCCGTATGCTAATGGAAATAATGGTGCCCAAAATAATTCCATGATAAAAAAATGGTTTATATAGCATCTTGCTACCTGGGGATGCAAAGTGGAGGTATTCATGAGCAGGGAGCCTCTTTTTCCCCTAGGACTGATCTAACCATGTAAGCAGCTGGTAGATTTTACAGTGCCTGATAAACAGCTCTCATCTGACAAGAGCTGCTTGACTTGTGAATGGCAGTTCCAAGGTGAACAAACAACATCTTGTTTGGAAGCCTGCTGCTCTGGTTAAAGACGAGTCAAGGAAATCTTTTTCTTTTGAGTTATTTATAGTTTAGAGCAATTGGGTAAAGAATATTTTTGTGAGCAAATTTACCTTTCTCTCTACCTGAGTTCTCCAAAATTTGGAAACTGTTCATGAGTATTCTGATTTTATATCAATATCGTTATTTGCATAAGTTTAGTAAGAGTCTTTTTCCTTTTAAAACAAAACAATTGGAGACATTGGTTATTCTACCAGCGCTTTGCCTAGAATAACATATTTTTAGTTAAAGTTCCAGCAAAGCCAACCTTAAAAGAGCCTATATGGCCAATCAATCATTGCTGCATTTTATGTAAATAATCAGGCCAAGTATAATAAGCCTACAACTTATTTTGCACAAAATTGGTCTTACTATAGTTTCTCTTTAGTAGAAAAGGAGGGCTAGAGAAAGATAAATTGTTTCAAAGAAAAATTATAACACCTGATACTAGATTCCAGCCCTGACATTTGTTTTTGAGTGAAGATTGAATCATGAATTACTTCTTGGCTACAGTAATCCTTTGGAGAGTATCAGGATATCATTTTCTAAATGTTTTTAGTTGGCACCCTAATGAAATAGGTTCCTTTTTTTCTGATCTGACACATGGATTCTCTTTTGATTATCAAATTATTAATGTTATTTATCTCTCATAGTTGTACTTCTTCCCAAAAAACCAGAATCATGGGATTCTGAAGACTAGAGATGATTGGACAAAGTCTGCGAATCTCCCTTATTTGGAATCCCCCTGGGGCCCATTTGTGTCTTACTGTAAATGCCCTACTGCTAAAACTCAACCAGCACCCCACCTCTAGCCCCAGGGACTATCGTGGAAGAGGTGTTCCACCAAAACAGGGAATGGGGTCCAATTCAATGCCTGGTCCTCCAAAATCATGAGATTGCAAGGGCTAGTTTTGAGGGATAGAGTTAGTTCAGACCCTCCAAATCAAGGATGGGTACACAGATGCCTAAACAGCAGGTAAAATAAGGGATTCTGCCTCCTGGGTTACTGGATTCATGGCACCTTTTCATTCATCCCAACCATAAACAATTTCCTGCTTCCTGTAGAATTAAAAGAAAATTATTACTAAAAGGATATAAAGATACCTTATGACAACACCTCCTGAGTATAATACACCCAGTTATGAGTTTATGCAGATAGATATATGTTTAAAAAAATTTTTACATCAGCCACCTTAGGACAAATTACTAAAAGATCACAAAAAAGCATTGCAGCACAACAAAAGTCTCTAAATGCCTTAGCTTAGAAGGTTTTTTGTTTTGTTTTTTTTTTTTTTTTTGAGACGGAGTCTTACTCTGTCACCCAAGCTGGAGTGCACTGGTAACGATCTCAGCTCACCGCAAGCTCCACCTCCCAGGTTCACGCCATTCTCCTGTCTCAGCCTCCCGAGTTAGCTCGGACTACAGGTGC
This sequence comes from Homo sapiens, assembly GCF_000001405.40. Taxonomy (NCBI): domain Eukaryota; kingdom Metazoa; phylum Chordata; class Mammalia; order Primates; family Hominidae; genus Homo; species Homo sapiens. The sequence goes on from NC_000016.10 coordinate 58,315,492, forward strand.
CTGCCACCACGCCTGGCTAATTTTTTGTATATTTGGTAGAGACGGGGTTTCACCGTGTTAGCCAGGATGGTCTCGATCTCCTGACCTTGTGATCCACCCGCCTCAGCCTCCCGAAGTGCTGGGATTACAGGCGTGAGCCACTGTGCCTGGCCAGCTTAAAAGATTTTAACAATGCTTATGTTTTGTATAGCTAATTGTTTAACTAAAACCAAGATTACAGAAGCTTTAAGTCTGTAATTAAAACCAAGATTACAGTAGCTCAATGCATAGAAGTTAAAGATAAGTGAATTTTATAACCCTGCCTTTGGCATTTTGTTTGTTGGCTTTTATATTACTTTAAAAAATGTGAGGGTTGGCTGGGCGCGGTGACTCACGCCTATAATCCCAGCACTTTGGGAGGCCGAGGCAGGCGTATCACGAGGTCAGGAGATCCAGACCATCCTGGCTAACAAGGTGAAACCCCGTCTCTACTAAAAATACAAAAAATTAGCCGGGCGTGGTGGTGGATACCTGTAGTCCCAGCTACTCGGGAGGCTGAGGCAGGAGAATGCGTGAACCCAGGGGGCGGAGCTTGCGGTGAGCCGAGATGGCGCCACTGCACTCCAGCTTGGGCGCAGAGAGAGACTCCATCTCAAAAAAAAAAAAAAAAAGTGAGGGTTAATGAATGCCAGTCCATGTCCATTCTTGTCTGGCCTAGAACATTTAAATTGGCTGTTAAGTCTTTTGACTTGAAGTCCCTTGGCCATAGGGATCCCACCAAAGGACAAGATGGACCTGGGGCAGGCAGCCATGTCACCCCGGCTACACTGTGGGACAAAATAAAAGTTTCATGACCATTGATGTTGCCTCTGGCAAATTTTGGCCAGGAGCGGGATAATGTAAACCAAAAATAAAATTCTAAGCCCCCTAACCATCTGAATGGACCCCTCCTTTCAGCTAAGGACACTCCAAAGTTAATCTGAAAAACTAGCTTAGGCCATGATGGGAAGCGGGGGTCAGACAGGCCAACAGGCTTCCTTATACCCTCCTCCCTTCTGGAATTCAGGCCCAGCTGACCAGCATTAATATCAACACAGACCTTAAGACTGACAGAACAGACTCTTTAAGTCTGATAAGAAACACAATCTATTCTCTATGAAGCCTACTACCTGGAGGCTTTATCTGCATGACATTATAAAACCTTGATCTCTACAATCCCTTACTATAACCCAGACATTCCTTTCTATTGATTCCAGGTCTGTAAATAGTAAATTTTTTTTTTTTTTTAGACTTAGTCTCACTCTGTCACCCAGGCTGGAGTGCAGTGGTGAGATCTCAGCTCACTGCAGCCTCTGCCTCCTGGATTCAAACGATTCTCCTGCCTCGGCCTCCTGAGTAGCTGGGATTACAGGCATGCACCACCATGCCCAGCTAATTTTTGTATTTTCAGTAGAGATGGGATTTCACCCTGTTTGGCCAGGTTGACCTTGAACTCCTGGCCTCAAGTGGTCCACCCACCTCAGCCTCCCAAAATGCTGGGATTACAGGCGTGAGCCACCGTGCCTGGTCCTAGATAGTAAGTCTTTCGACTGATTGCCAATTTGAAAATCTTTGAATCCACCTATGACCTGGAAACCCCCAGTTGTCCTGCCTTTCTGGACCAAACCAATATACATCTTATGTGTATTAATTGATGTCTTATATCTCACTAAAATGTGTAAAACCAAGCCTGACCACCTTGGACACATGTTCTCAGGGTCACTCATATTTGGCTCAGAATAAATCTCATCAAATATTCTACAGACTTTGACTCTTTTTGTCAACAAGGATTTTCTTTGTGTTCCACAAGCTAACCTATTACACCAAAGAAACATCTTTGCTAGAGCCTGCTGAGTGAATGCTACAATGAGTTTTCCTGGGAGGAACTTTTCCTTGACATAAATCAATTTGCCATTCTATATCCCAATGTCAATGATGAAAGCCCTGGAGGAAGTGGAAAACGTGTCTAAATATGTTCTATTTGGGCTCTGAGGATTCCCTACAGTAAGAATCTGATCTAGCCACAAACCCCATTTCTGCTCTCTGGGTCTGGCCATTGCCCAGTTCCTCCTGGGACCCCCTTGCTGCCTGGGGACACTTGGAGTTTCCATGAGTTCCAGGCACATATCCAGCCACAGGCCGATGCGCTACAAAGGACAAAAACTGCCATTTTTCCAAGGATCCCCTTGCAAATTAAGTTGGTGTATTTGAAGTCTGCTTTTTCTACTAACAATGGCTGGGCTCAAGGCCACCCTTCCCTGTAGGAAAAAACTCCGCATAGAGAGGACTCTTCTGCCAAAACATAGAATGGGGTGCAATTCAATGCCTGGACCTCCAAAAGGCGATCTATTGTTGAAGAGAAAAGCAAGCTACAAAACAGGAAATAGAGTGTGAGCTCATTTCTGGTTTTTAAAAAACTACATTATAAAAAGATATACACAGAAAATGTCTGTCAGGCTACAGCCTCCCCTCTGAGGGGTGGGTTAAGAATGCAGGGATGGTGGGGAGGAGATAGAGATCTTTTACTTTTGACTCCATTTAATTTTGTGCTTTCTTTCATAGGCATGTGTTACTTTTATACAATAAGGAACATTTGCGGAAGGCAGGCTGTAGTGCTTCTGGCCTTTCTGTGGAGCTCAGAGGAGTGCAGTTAATTTTAAGAACATTGTATTACAAATAATTAGTAACAAACATTATTGTGTTTCAAACAATATATGATATCTTTAACATTTATCAGCCAATAAGCACTTACTGAATAAAAGTTAGAAGGAGGTCTTTTTTTTAGAACCAAGTGTGATGTGTCTAAGCTAACTAAATAACGAAGGGCTCCATGTGTCCCTCGCTGTAAAATAAAGCAACGTTAAGAGACCGGAGACCCATCTGTCAGACTGGCTGTTAAAATATTCTGCCTCATTGCAGAAATAGACATCCTGGATTACCCGTATCATCTTACTGAGATAGACAGGAGGGACAGGAAATTCCAGGCAACAAATACAGTAGCCACCCCCGACCGCACCTTGTCCATGGTTTCAGTTACCCACAGTCAACAATGGTCCAAAACTATTAAATGAAAAATTCCAGAAATAAACAATTTGTAAGTTTGAAATGGTGCATCCTTCTGAGTAGTGACGAAATCTCGCACCACCCTGCTCCACCCCTTCTTCATCACAAGAAAAAGGGCAAGTCCAGGACAATAAGATATTTTCAGAGAGAGACAGTCCACATTCACATAACTTTTATTACAGTATATTGTTATAATTTCTCTATTTTATTTATTTATTTTTCTGAGACAGAATCTCACTCCGTCACCCAGGCTGGAGTGCAGTGGCATGATATCAGCTCACTGCAACCTTCACCTCCCGAGTTCAAGCGATTCTCCTGCCTCAGCCTCCTGAGTAGCTGGGATTACAGGCGTGCGCCACATGCCTGGTTAATTTTTGTGGTTTTAGTAGACATGGGGTTTCACCATGTTGGCCAAGCTGGTCTCGAACTCCTGACCTCAAGTGATCCACCCGCGTTGGCTTCCCAAAGTGCTGGGATTACAGGCGTGAGCCACTGTGCCCAGATAATTGTTCTATTTTATTATTGTTGTTACTCTCTTACTGTGTCTAATTTATAAATTTAACTTTATCAAAGCTATATATATGGAAAAAAAGTCATCTATATGGAGTTTGGTACTATTCATGGTTTCAGGCATCCACTGGGGGACTTGGAGCTTACCTCTGTGTACCTCAACTGACAGTTGCAAGAGATGGGGGAAAGGCAGGAAGAGTGTCCCAGTTCTCTCAGCACGGTGCTTGAGTTTCTTCCCAGTGCAGTTTTCTTCCCCAGCCTCCTTGTCTGCCACCCCGCCTCTGTCCTCACCCTCATGGCATCCTGTGGGTCCTGCCCCTCACTGGTCTCCCTGCCTCCTCCAATCCACCCTCCACCTTGCTGCCAGACATCTGGCTCCAGGCAGCTTTGCCTGGGTCTCCCCTCCCTGCCTGCTGGCAAGAGGCCCCCTAGGCCTGGTCACCAGCTCCTGCCAACCCGTCTAGCGCCATCCCAGTCCCTCTGGACCTCAGCCACTCACCACACCGCATTTTACAATGTCAGCAAGACCCCAGACATGGGCCCACGTGCCTTGCTCCCGGAAGCTCTTCTACCCTGTCTCCACCCTTGTACCCGCCTCTCTGGTGAATTCTCTGGGTGTGTTTTTAAAAAAATCTAGTCCTCAGTCAGGCCTGGTGGCTCACGCTTGTAATCCCAGTACTTTGGGAGGCCAGAGCAGGCAGATCACTTGAGGTCAGGAGTTTGAGACTAGCCTGGCCAACATGGTGAAACCCTGTCTCTACTGAAAATACAAAAATTAGCCAGACGTTGTGGCGCACGTCTGAAGTCCCAGCTACTCAGGAGGCTGAGGCACGAAAAACACTTGAGCCCAGGAGGCAGAGGTTGCAGTGAGCTGACATCGCACCACTGCACTTCAGCCTGGGTGACAGAGCAAGACCCTGTCTAAAAAAAAAAAAAAAATCTAGTCCTCAAGACATGAATTCCACCTTCACCACTTAAAAACAGCTACCATTAATAATCAATATGCAAAACATCTAATTATATTATTATTTAATTTTCACAATGAACAATTATTGCCATTTTACAGATGAGGAAACTGAGGCTCAGAAAAGTTAAGACCCGGGCTTTGAAGCCAGGTCTCTGCCACCCCAAGTCCTGGGCTTTTATCCACTGAATCCCATCAGTGTGATGGGATAGCTTGTGGCTCAGTGGATAAAATTGGTTCTATCCTCTGCACTGGAACAGGAGGTTCCCGAACAGAGGGGCTGTGTGTTTTATTTGCCTTTATATTCCCAAGGTCAAGCACCAGACCTGGCCCAAAAGCACAAGGATGGAGGGAGAGAGGAAAAGCAAGAGGAGGGGCGTCTTTTTCACATTTAGGGGAGGTGTCACTGGGAACTGGCACTCTTGGGCATTCTCTTTTTCATTCACCCAATGTTTATTGAGCAACTACTAGGGGCCGGACATGGCTCTAGACAGGTGCACCAAACAAAGTCCTTCCTGAGGGAGCTCATCTTCTAAAGTGCTGGGAAGAAAAATAAAGCCAGACTAGGGATGGTGTGTGTGTGCTGTTTTGGAGAGGGTGTTCAGGGGAGGAGGTTGCTAGGTGGAGAGTAGCTTGGAATGGACTACAGTGGTGGAGTGGGGACTTCAGTCTGAAAGCTCTGCAGCAATCCGAGGAGATGGTGGAGGCTCAAGCCGGGGGGTAAAAGTGGGTTTTAGTGAGAAGCGGTCAGATTCAAGATCTATTTTGAAAGTAAAACAGACAGGCCAGGAATCCAAAGCTGAACTTGGCCTATTTTTTCACCACAGTACACCTCATGGAGAGAGGAAAAGCTAGTCCCACTTAAAAATGTCTGTGATGAAACCATTAAGATTATTAATTCTATGACATCTTGACTTTGGAGTACACGATTTTTTAATATTCTGTGTGATGATATGGGAAGCCCTTCTGCAAACCAGAGGACAATATTACCTCCAGGCAGCATACTCTGTGCCTGAGCTGCCAGCCTCCCAGCCCCCTTGGTGATGGAACTTCATTTTTACTTAGAAGAATGACTGACAGACAAGCCATGGTTACTCAGACTTGGGTATTTGGTCGACATTTTCTTGAAAATAAAAGGAATGAGGCGTCACTTCAAGGAGAACAACTGAAATATTTGTTGGCAATGATAAAAGTTGCGCTTTCAAATGAAAATTAGCATTTGGGAAACTTGTATCCACCACTGTAAGTGTGGGCACTTTCCAATACTTTACATACTTTTCTGATGAGATTGGTGGTGACATTACCAAACATGAGTTTTAAATTTTGTATAACATTTGGAAAATCTGCATCACTCCACGAACTGATATTTCCCAAATGACCAAAACACAATGTGACAAAACCATGCATGAGTAAAGATCCATCGAAAGAGCAAGTGCAGGCTGGGTACAGCGGCTCATGCCTGCAATCCCAGCACGTTGGGAGGCAGAGGCGGGTGTATAACCTGAGGTCAGGAGTCCGAGACTAACCTGGCCAGCATGCCGAAATCCCGTCTCTACTAAAAATACAAAAATTAGCCAGGCATGGTGGTGCAGGCCTGTAATTCCAGGTACACAGGAGGCTGAGGCAGGAGAGTAGCTTGAGCCCGGGATGTAGAGGTTGCAGTGAGCCAAGATTGTGCCACTGCACTCCAGCCTGGGCAACAAAGTGAGACTCCGTCTCAAAAGACAAAAAAAGAAAGCAAAGCAAAATAATGGATTTTAATATAAGAGAATATGAAAAAGTCATTGATGTGGCTTCAGAGTCCACATGCAGCTAACCTATAAGATAAAGCATCAATTGTCAAGTTTCAGTATGGTCGGGCAGGGCACAGTGGCTCACGCCTATAATCCCAGCACTTTGGGAGGCTGAGATGGGCGGATCACCTGAGGTCAGGAGTTCAAGACCAGCCTGGCCAACATGGTGAAAACCTGCCTCTGCTAAAAATACAAAAATTAGCTGGTCATGGTGGTGTGCATCTGTAATCCCAGCTACTCAGGAGGCTGAGGCAGGAGAATTGGTTGAACCCAGGAGACGGAGGTTGCGGTGAGCTGAGATTGCGCCACTGCACTCCAGCCTGGGAGACAGAGCAAGACTACGTCTCAAAAAAAAAAAAAAAAAAAAAAGTTTGGGTATACTCAAGGCTATCTACAATGATCTAAAAAGGCCATTAAAATATCTGAACTTTTCCAACTACACCTATCTGTATGAGGCCAAACTTTCTTCATATATACATCAGCCTGATAGGGCTGCCCTAACAAAATACCACAGACCAGGTAGCTTAAAGAGCAGAAATTTATTTTCTCACAATTCTAGAGGGTGAAAGTCCAAGATCGGGGTATCCCAAGAGCTGGTTTCTCCTGAGACCTCCCTTGTTGGCTTCTGATGTCTGCACGCTTCTGGTGTCTCTATGTGGTCTTCACTCTATGCCAGGGTCCAAACATCCACCTCTGATAAGGACACCAGTCATAGTAGATTAGGGTCCATCCTAATATTTTCATTTTCAACTTAATTATACCTGTAAAGACCTAATGTCCAAATACAGTCACATTCTGAGGTAGTGGGGACATAATGCAGACTGTAACAATATACTTCAACTAAATAATAACATATTACAAGAGGTTAAATGTAGAGGCCGATATAAGAATTCAGTTGTCTTCTATTAAGCCAGATATTTAGAATATTGATAAAAATGTAAAGTAATGCTACACTTTGCGAAAATTTATTTGCCCAAAATATATTTTCCACAAAAAAAAGTTGTGTTAATATGTAGTTGGTTTATTATTTTTAGAAGAATTAATAAATAATGGTTTTTAAACTTTCTCAGTTTATTTTTTCCTTGAGATAGAGTCTTGCACTGTAGCCCAGGCTGGAGTGCAGTGGCTCACAGCAGCCTCCGCCTCCCAGGCTCAAGCGATCTTTTCACCTCAGCTTCCCAAGTAACTGGGGCTACAGCTCCACAACTCCACACCCAGCTATTTTTTTTTTTTTTTTGGTATATTTTGGAGAGATAGGGTCTCACTATGTTGCCCAGGCTAGCCTCGAACTCCAGTGATCTGTCTGGGATTACAAGTATGAGCCACTGTGCCCAGCCCTTTTTTTTTTTTTCTTAAGACACAGGGTCTCACTCTGTCCCCACCGAGCTACAGCACAGTGGTATAATCATAGGTCATTGCAGCCTCCACCACTGGGCTCAAGCAATCCTCCTGCCTATGCCTCCTCCTCCCAATGAGTTGGGACTACAGTTGTGAGCCTCCATATCTGGCCTCAGTTTTAATTTCTAATAGGTATTTTTTTTGGTAGATATAATCTGTATAAATAAAAGCTCTTTGGAGTTCTCAATAATTTGTATAGAGTAAAGGGGTCCTGAGACCAAGAAGAATCACTGGTTTACAGTGATGATAATTTGTGTTTAGATCTTTTATCCAAATATCCCACTAGGAGACTGACCTCAGAGCATTTGCACTTGCTCTTTGAATATCTTATTTGTCATGCCCTGTATTGTGATAAAGATGTATCTGAGGGGCCCTTATCCATCACCTTCCTTTCTTGACAGTAATTGTTGTTTTCTCAAAGACATACAGCTTCAACCCCTTTCATCTACTCTGAATACTGTCCTGAATCATCTCCTATACAGAAAATCTGGAGTGTCATCGTTCAGGTCTTAATTGAAATGTCACTTCCTGGGAGAGGCCGCCTAAAACCCATAACCCATGCCATAGATCAGAAATAAGTTCTTGGCCAGGCGCAGTGGCTCAAACCTATAATCTCAGCACCTTGGGAGGCTCAGATGGGCAGATCACCTGAGGTCAGGAATTCAAGACCAGCCTGGCCAACATGGTGAAACCCCATCTTTACTAAAAATACAAAAATTAACCAGGCGTGATGGCGGGTGCCTGTAATCCCAGCTACTTGGAAGGCTGAGGCAGGAGAATTGGTTGAACCTGGGAGGCAGAGGTTGCAGTGAGCCAAGATTGCGCCATTGCACTCCAGCCTGGGTGACAGAGCAAGACTCCATCTCAAATAAAAAGAAAGAAAGAGAGAGAGACAGAAAGGAAGGAAGGAAGGAAGGAAGGAAGGAAGGAAGGAAGGAAGGAAGGAAGGAAAGAAGGGAGGGAGGGAGGGAGGGAGGGAGGGAAAGAAAGAAAGAAGAAAGAAAGAGAAAAGAAAGAAAGAAAGAGGTTCTTATGGCACCCTGTGTTCCTCCCTCATAGCACCTACCAGGGGTATTGTAGAGTTGCTTCTGAGAGTATTAGTTCAGCCTCCCCCATTCAAAGTAGATCTATAAAGCTAGTGTCCTTGTCTCTCTTGTTCATTGCAATGTCCTCAGTTTCTAGGACATTTGTTCAAAGAATGAATGAATGAAGACGTGCATTCAACTGCCTGTGGACTAGCAGAAACTACTGGTGGAGTCAGGGGCTCTGCAGCAGTGCACACAGGCATGCAGTGTGGGAGCGTGGCTGGTGCATCGCCTGACTTCTAAGAATGCTTAATGTTTCAAACCACAGCAAACTTCTTTATAGAACCTGTTTTCCAGAGCACGTATATAACAAGATAGTGCTGTGTTGAGGAAGAAATGGGGGGCACCTAGGATCACCAAAATCTTCACTCCACCCCCAACCTCCTACCCCCACTTTTTTGCCCCTGACAGATGAGCCCATTGGAAATAAGCCAGTAAGTCTTCCTGGGACCTCCTTCAGCTCCGTCTTCTCCAGGGAAAAAGCAGGATGCAAATACAGTTTTTGGCCTTGTGTGAATTTGGAAAATGTGCAATTTAGAGAGGCCCCATGTGCATTTCATGGCAGATCCAGAAAATAAGGTTTAATGATGAGAAAAGAAGGAAATGATTGTCAAAATATGACTTCATAAGGTACAGCCCCAGGGGGCCTACTTTGGCAGTAAAGATAATTAAGCTTAGATTTCTAAAGGTCAATTTTAACCAGCTCGTGAGGTAAATGGCAACAGTAACATCATCCTAGCCCTCCGTATCTATGGCAACTGAATTTCTCAGCTGTAATTAAACATAAAGCTACAACTACTGCATTGGTCCCAGCATCAGCTGCAAATAAATATACGAGAACAAAGTAGGCAAACTTGATGCTCCCTTTTGGAATATTCTGGCCATTTACTGGGAAAACAAGCAACAGAAGCTGCTGTTAAACCTGCTGCTAATGAGGCCAGGTTGCTGGCCCACCAACCTGCCTCTGGGACCTTGTGTAAGAGGAAGACTGATCACAAATCAATTGCTTGTCATTCATATATTGGTTGTAAGCTGGAGAGCAAAGGTAGCAAAAAAAGGTGATTATTTGGATATTTGAATTATCTTTTTAAAAGTATTTTTTTCTAATCTCAAAAATGATTAAAAATGACCAGGCACAGTGGCTCACACCTGTAATCCCAATACTTTGGGAGGCCAAGGCAGGCAGATCACTTGAGGTCAGGAATTTGAGACCAGCCTGGCCAACATGATGAAACCCCGTCTCTACTAAAAAATACAAAAATTAGCCAGAAGCAGTGGCATATGCCTGTAATCCCAGCTACCTGGGCGGCTAAGGCAGGAGAACCACTTGAACCCGGACACGGAGGTTGCAGTAAGCTGAGATCACACCACTGCACTCCGGCCTGGGTGACAGAGTGAGACTCCATCTCAAAAAAAAAAAAATTTTAAAAAGAAACCAACACATATTTATTGTAGAAAATTTCTAAAATTCAGACAAATGTCAAGAGGAAAAGAAAAAGTACCTGAAGTCCCAATTAGGTTATTTGTTTCCTGTCTTTTTTCTGTACGTGTATTTCAAACAACTAGGATTAAGCATATAGTTTTGCGTCCTGTGCTTTTTTCCTATTAATAGTATGTTATGATCTTTTTTTCCATATTATTGTTCTTCAAAAGTACAGCTTTTAACAATGGCAGAAAATTTTACCATATAAATCTCCTATAAGTTATCTTTGTACTTTATCTCTTTTACTCTGCATTGTGGGATTAGTCATTTTTACAGCCCGTCAGCATGTCCTACATAGGCAATCTAGCTCCCCAATTTAGGAGGTAGAGTTCTTGGCATCTGTTGCACTGATCTCACTCCACTTCGGAGTCTCAGCTGAAGCCAAAACAAGAGTCCCATTTTAGCATCCTGTTCCATATGTAAAATTGGAGGGAATAACTAAGACAAATTAATAAAAATACAACAGTGGTGGTAGACTTTCACCCACTTGTTTCAGTCTTTGTTGGACTAAATAGAGAAAAGAAAGTAAGGATATTACAGAGGAGGAGAATATAATGACTAAATGTTCTGAACTGTATCCTTTGAAAAGAGTAGACTTCTTTTCAATTAAATGGAAAAAGGTATAACGATGTCCACTGATGAATGGGTAAACAAAATGTGGTATATACATACAATGGAGGCCAGAGTGGTGGTTCACACCTGTAATCCCAGCACTTTGGGAGGCCGAGGCGGGTGGATCACCTGAGCCTGGGAGGCAGAGGTTGCAGTGTGCCGAGCAACCTGGGTGCACTCCAGCCTGGGTGACAGAGCAAGATCCTCTCTCTAAATAAATAAATAATACACACAATGGAATATTATTCTGCCTTTAAAATAAAGAAATCCTGTTATGTGACAACATGGATGAACCTGGAGAACAGGATGCCAAGAGAAATAAGCGAATCACAGAAGGACAAATACATGATTCTACTTATATGGTGTCAAACTCATAGAAAGAAAGAATAAAATGGTGGTTGCCAGAGGCTGGAGGGAGGAGGGAATGGGGAGTTGCTAGTCAGTGGATATAAAATTTCAGTTATTCAAGAGGAAAAAGTTCTAGAGATCCTCTGTATAACAATGTAGCTATAAATAACAGTATTGTGTTGTACACTTTAAAATCTATTAAGAGGGTAGCTCTCATGTTAAGTGTTCTTGACACAATGAGATAAAATAAAAAGGAAAGCCCATTGTATATAAGAAATTGGAAATTGTACCGTCATATTCCTGATCATAATGCAAGAACGCAGGAAATAAGTTAAAAGTAGAAGCATTGGATGTCTTTTGTAGTTGGCAACAAATAAAATAAAATAAAAAGTAGATGCAGAAAGACGTTTGAGAATGTCAAGCCTTTCTATGGAACTGCTCTAGAGCAAAAATACATTTATAAGATATTTGGGAAATAATGCTAATAAAAACACTCCATATAAAAACTCATGGATAACACTAGAGCTGTACTCAGAGGAAAATGCCTACTCTTAAAACACTCTGGAAGTAAGAAAAATAAAATACAGCAGTCAGTTAAGTCTGCCCAAGAAGTAAGGATGAGGAACTTTGTTTTCCCTTTGAGAGCTGCCTGAGGTGAGGTGCTCATTTTGTTAAACTTCCCAGAGTGAAACACTTTAGCAAAACAATAAATATCACAACTCAAAGGCTTATTTGGAGCTCAACAAGTTAGACATAAGGTGTTTTGTTGGTTTTGTTAAAAAGCAGATATACTGAGATATAATTCACATCCCACCATACAATTTACCCACTTAAGGTGCAAAAATGTTTTTTACCATATTCACAGGTTGGTGCATCCATCACTATAACCAGTTTTAGAACATTTTTGTTTTATTTTTATTTTTATTTTTTTGAGACGGAGTTTCACTCTTGTTGCCTGGGCTGGAGTGCAGCGGCACGATCTCAGCTCACCACAACCTCTGCCTCCCCGGGTTCAAGTGATTCTCCTGCCTCAGCCTCCCGAGTAGCTGGGATTACAGGCATGCGCCACCACGCCTGGCTAATTTTGTATTTTTGATAGAGACGGGGTTTCTCGATGTTGGTCAGGCTGGTCTCAAACTCCTGACCTGAGGTGATCCGCCCATCTCAGCTTCCTGAAGTGCTGGGATTACAGGCGTGAGCCACCATGCCTGGCCAGAACATTTTTATTACCACTGAAAAAACTCCATCCCTTGGCCAGGTGGTGGCACACGCCTTTAATCCCAGCACTTTGGGAGGCTGAAGTGGGAGGATCACCTGAGGTAAGGAGTTTGAGACCAGCCTGGCCAATATGATGAAATCCCATCTCTACTAAAAAATACAAAAATTAGCTGGACATGCTGATGCATGCCTGTAGTCCCGGCTACTTGGGAGGCTGAGGTGGGAGGATCGCTTGAGCCCAGGAGGTGGAGGTTGCAGTCAGCCGAGATGGCACCACTGCACTCTAGCCTGGGCGACAGCAAGAGACTCTGTCTCAAAAAAAAAAAAAAGAAAAGAAAAAGAAAAAGAAAAGAAAAGAAAAGAAAAAATCCCATCTTCATTAACAGCCATTCCCCATTTCTCCCCATCCCCACCCCGCCGGCAACCACTAATCTGCTTTCTGCATCTGTGGATTTGCCTATTCTGGAAATTTTATATAAATGGAATCCTGTGGAGAGAGAGAATGGAGAATGACTGCTTAATGGGGTACAGAAATGATGAAAAAGTTCTGGAGCTAGATAGTGGGGATGGTTGCAAAACATTGAGAATGTATTTAACATGCCTAAGTCGTACACTTTAAAATGGTTAACCAGTCTGGGCAACATGGTGAAACCCTGTCTCTACAAAAAATACAAATAAATAAATAAATAATAGCCAGGCATGGTGGTCCCAGCTACTTGGGAGGCTGAGGTGAGAGGATTGCTTGAGTCCACGAGGTTGAAGCTGCAGTGAGCTGAGACTGCTCTACTGCACTCCAGGCTGGGTAATAGAATGAGACTCTGTCTCAAAAAAAAATTATTAAAAAAATCTATAATACAGTGGTCGATTTTATGTTATGGTCGATTTTATGTAATGTGTTTTTTACCATAATAATTTTTAAAATCCAGACTAAGGAAGGCTAGTATTTGTGAAGTCATTAGACAGAACCATATCTAATTTAAGAATTAGTCATGAATATTGAAGTGGATTACTTTTTGTCACATTGTACTAAGAGAAACAACAAACATTGCCAACAAAATATCACCCAAAACAACAAATATTTAAGCTTATTTAACCAAAACATGGAGGTTAGGCATTTTGTTTCTTCAAAAGCAAGGTATAATAGTTTTAACAAATCAAACATATGGAGCTAAAAAAGATGTTTTAGCTATAAATATAAAATTTTAATAGATTGTTACCTAAGTGACTATGTAAAGCTTGGAATGTCACATTATGATGCTGGCTTCACCTTGCTCTGTTTATTTACAGACTAGGAAAGAGAGAAAGATAAGCCTCCAGGTTTATCGAGCTCCTAAAAATTTCTCACTTTGGCAGCCTTAAACTATTGTGCAAGAGCAAGTGGGGTCAGGCTGTGTGACTCATGCCTATAATCCCAAGAAGCTACCAGCTTTCAGGTCCCAAATATAATAAGACTCAAAGAAATGGCATCAAATTCTAGAGCAAAATCAAGCATCTACCATGGTTGTGCTGAATATCCTTCTGTTTCCACATAAGGGAACATTAGAGTCATGGCTTGCGACTTTAAAAATAAAAGTAACCAGGCGTAGTGGCACACACCTGTAGTCCCAGCTACTCTGGAGGCTGAGGTGGGAAGCTTGCTTGAGCCCAGGAGATCAAGGCTGCAGTGAACATGATTGTGCCACTGCACTGTAGCCTGAGTGACAGAGCAAGACCCAGTCTCTATTTTTTAAAAAACCATTTAAGAAAACTGCAACCAAGCATTAATGCAGTGGTTTGTGAACTTGGAGGCACGTTAGAATCATCTAAGGGCTTTTAGAATCTTCCATGTCCTGGTCACACCCAAGACCAATTTTTTAAAAAAATTTTTATTTTATTTTAGGTTCCGGGATACATGTGCAGAACATGCAGGTTTGTTACATAGGTAAACATGTGCCATGGTGGTTTGCTGTACCTATCAACCCATTATGTAAGTATTAAGCCCAGCATGCATTAGCTATTAGTCCTGACGCTTTCCCTCCCCTGCCTCATCGACAGGCCCCAGTGTGTGTTGTTCCCCTCCCTGTGTCCATGTATTCTCATTGTTCATCTCCCACTTATGAGTGAGAATATAGAGGTGTTTGGTTTTCTGTTCCTGTGTTAGTTTGCTGAGGATGATGGCTTCCAGCTTTATCTATGTCACTGCAAAGAACATGATCTCATTGCTTTTTATGGCTACATAGTATTCCATGCTGTATATGTACCACATTTTCTTTATCCAGTCTATCATTGATGGGCATTTGGGTTGGTTCCAAGTCTTTGCTATTGTGAATAGGGCTGCAATAAACATACATGTGCATGTATCTTTATAATATAATGATTTATATTCCTTTGGGTATATACCCAAATATATACCCCGTAATGGGATTGCTGGGTCAAATATTTCTGGTTCTAGATCCTTGAGGAATTGCCACACTGCCATCCACAGTTGTTGAATTAATTTACATTCCCACCAACAGGGTAAAAGCGTTCCTATTTCTCTGCAGTTTCGCCAGCATCTGTTGTTTCTTGACTTTTTAATAATTGCCTTTCTGACTACACCAGACCAATTGACTCAGACATTGGGTGTGAGACCCAGGCATCAGTATGGCTTTAAAGCCCCCCAGGTGAGTCCAATGTGCAGAGGCTGGCTGTCATGGCAAGAGATGCTTGACAATTAAGAAATTGGGAACACCTGGCCGGAGGCAGTGGCTCACGCCTGTAATCCCAGCACTTTGGGAGGCCGAGGCGGGCAGATCACCTGAGGTCGGGAGTTCAAGGCCAGCCTGACCAACATGGAGAAACCCTATCTCTACTAAAAATACAAAATTAGCCAGGCGTCATGGCACATGCCTGTAATCCCAGCTACTCGGGAAGCAGAGGCAGGAGAATCCCTTGAACCTGGGAGGTGGAGGTTGTGGTGAGCTGAGATCATGCCATTGCACTCCAGCCTGGGCAACAAGAGTGAAACTCTGTTTCAAAAAAAAAAAAAAGAAAAGAAATTGGGAACACCTTCTATCTGCCAGCGGTAAAGCTACTCAATTTTGCAGAAATAAACATGTAAGAGAAATCAAAGTCCTGCTCCCAAAAGAACGTTTCAGAAGTTGTTTTGAAAGCTCTGGGCAAGCTACATGGATGAAAGAAATGCTACAAGGGACTTGTGAACCTCGCTTCCATTCAATCACTCATTCATTCATTCATTCATTTATTCATTCACCGATTCACTCGCAAAGTCATTTATCACTGTTATTTATTCCTTCACTCAGTCAGTCATTCACGCAACATTTCTTAGGCTCCCCTCTGTGCCAAGTCCTGGAGAAACTGAAATAGAAGGAAGGATGGTGCCCCCCCTGAGAAAGCTTGTGATCTGGGATGACGGTGAGGGGTAACAGATGGTGGCAATTGAGTTCAGGGTGCTCAGGAAGAAGCCTGTCCTGGGTGTGATGAAGTGTGGGGGGAAGGGGTGTGTCACCCCGCTGAGTGGTGAGGCGGTGGAGGAGGGGGCTCCCTTGAAAACAACTTTCTAGGGAGAGGACACCTGAATAAGACCTGAGAAAGGAGCAGGTGTGAGCCCATCTGCAACAAATCCCCTGTGAGTGTGGCTCTCAGCCTGGCTGCCCCTGGGAGATTCCTTCCTGTCTGGCTCCACCCCCAGAGACTCAGGTTTCACGGGGCTACAGTGGGGCTCGGGCATTCGCATGCTTTTAAAATATCATGATTTTTTTAAATTGAAGTGAAATTCACATAGCATAAAATTTTTAAATTGAAGTGAAATTCACATAGCATAAAATTTTTAAATTGAAGTGAAATTCACATAGCATAAAATTCACCATTTTAAAGTGGACAATGCAGTGGCATTCAGCACATTCACACAACCACCCCCTCTACTTGGTTTCAAAACATTTTTATCATCCCCAAAATAAGACCCTGTGTACCCATTAAACAACCACTGCCCATTCCACCTTCCCCCAATCCCTGGTGACCACAAATCTGCTTTCTCTCGTTATGGATTTATTTATTTATTTTATTTTATTTATTTGTTTATTTATTTATTTATTTTTGAGACAGAGTCTTACTCTGTCTCCCAAGCTGGAGTGCAGTGGTGCGATCTCGGCTCACTGCAGGCTCCGCCTCCTGGGTTCACGCCATTCTCCTGCCTCAGCCTCCCGAGTAGCTGGGATTACAGGCATCCAACACCACGCCCGGCTAATTTTTTGTATTTTTAGTAGAGATGGGGTTTCACCGTGTTAGCCAGGATGGTCTTGATCTCCTGACCTCGTGATCCACCCGCCTTGGCCTCCCAAAGTACTAGGATTACAGGCGTGAGCCACCGCGCCTTGTCCTCTCTTTATGGATTTAACTACTCTGGATATTTCATAGAAAAGGAATCATACAAAATGTGACCTTTTCCATAGCTTCTTTCACTTGGCTTAATGCTCCACGGTTCCACCGTGTTGCAGCATGAGTCAGCCTTCGTTCCTTTTTACAGCTGAATAGTATTGGGTGCACCACAATTTTTTATTCATTCATTTGTTGATGGACATTGGGGTTATTTCCGCCTTTTGTGGCTATTGTGAGTAGTGCTACTATGAACGTGAGTGTACACATGTTTGTTTGGTATCTGTTTTCCATTATCACTTGAAGTATATACTGGGAATCTATAGTTTTCTTGGTTTTGTTTGTTTGTTTGTTTTTGAGACAGAGTCTCGCTCTGTTGCCCAGGCTGGAGTGCAGTGGTGCGATCTCCACTCATTGCAACCTCCACCTCCCCGGTGCCAGTGATTCTCCTGCCTTAGCCTCCTGAGCAGCTGAGCCTGCAGGCACACACCACCATGCCCGGCTATTTTTGTAGTTTTAGTAGAGACAGGTATCTTGCCATGTTGTGCAGACTGGTCTCGAACTCCTGACCTCAAGTGATCTGCCTGACTCGGCCTCCCAGAGTGCTGGGATTACAGGCGTGAACCACAGCACCCGGCTGCATCTGTGTTTTTTAAAGCTCCCCTAATGATTCTAAAATGCAGCCAAGGCTGTGAAGCACTCAGTCCAAGCAATGTCCCCACCCTGTGGCTCTGGTTTGAGAAATTAGGTTCCTGGGTCATGGCTCTGGAGAGTCTGATTTAGTGGACTCAGGGGTCTGTCTCTCCTGGAATCTCTCTCTTCCCTGATTGACAGGTCAGCCTACCTATCAGCCCACAGGAGAGCCTTGGTCAATGTCCCTTTGTGAAGGCCAAGAATAGCCCCTTTCCCTCCAGAGAGAGGTCCCTCCCTCCCAGCTCAGGGCCCCTGGCGCCCCTGCCTGGTTCCACTCCCCCATTCTTCCTACTTGGGTCAGCCTCTGCTCCTGATCCGCGGGCCAGACTTGGGCACCCAAATCCCCCAAGAACAAATGACCCTGTTTAGAGACAGGGCAGCCTGAATGGATCTTTAAGACCTAGTGCCATCTAACCCTATAAGGACACAGTCTGGCTAAAGATGCCTCCACCATTCTTGTGGCGCGACAGGATATCTTGGTCCAAAGCATTGGTATTCTGGTTATAAGCCACGACACAGTTGTCACCAAGAACCTTTTATATTTGTGTGACTAACGGGCCTATCCTGTAGATTTTCCTCCAAGCAAAGGAAGCTGCTTCAAAAGTGATCCCTTGGGCGGGCATGGTGGCTCATGCCTGTAACCCCAACACTTTGGGAGGCCGAGGTGGGCAGATCACTGAGGTCAGGAGTTTGAGACCAGCCTGGCCAACATGACAAAACCCCGTCTCTACTAAAAATACAAAAATTAGCCAGGCGTTATGGCACATGCTACTCAGGAGGCTGAGGAAGGAGAATCGCTTGAACCTGGGAGGCGGAGGTTGCAGTGAGCAGAGATCATGCCGCTGCACTCCAGCCTGGGTGACAGAGCAAGACTCCGTCTCAAAAAAAAAAAAAAAAAAAAAAAAGGAAAAAAAAAAGAGAAACGATCCCTTAACCTCCAGAAACAGAGCTATGCCAACAATTTTCAAATAGCCCTTCTCAGCCTCAGAAAAATTAGAGCCCACAGAGCACTGGTTATTTAGATAAACCAAAATGGTATAGACTCTGGCACCAGTGTCAAATTCAAGGACATCGAGGGGCCTCTATGAGTGTACAAACTTACCTGGTGTGACCTCTCCAGGAGTGAGGTAGCCACTTCCCTCACTTAAGAACTAGAAAACCGGGACGAAGCAGACTTGTTTGCCTGAGTAGGAAAGGTCAAAGTGGCTATAAAAAGCTTGCACAATAAAAGGCAAAACTTCTGGAAATACTCTTGTGACAACCAAGTCCCATTCTACAAGTCAGGGAACAAAGCCAGTTTAATATATTTAATCCGGGCAGGCATGGTGGCTCATGTCTGTAGTCCCAGCACTTTGGGAGGCCAAGGCAGAAGGATCGCATGAGCTCAGGAGTTCAAGACCAGCCTGGGAAAAATAGTGAGAACCCCATCTCTACAAAAGGAATTTTTAAAATAGCCAGGCGTAGGCCAGGCATGGTGGCTCACACCTGTAATCCCAGCAATTTGGAGGCTGAGGCAGACAGATCACTTGAGGCCAGGAGTTCGAGACCAGCCTGGCCAACACAGTGAAACCCCATTTCCACTAAAATTACAAAAAATTAGCCAGGTGCGGTGGTGCATGCCTGTAGTCCTAGCTACTCGGGAGGTCGAGGCAGGAGAATCACTTGAACCTGGGAGGCAGAGGTTGCAGTGAGCCAAAGGTTGTGGTGCACTAAGACCGTGCCACTGCACTCCAGCCTGGGTGACAGAGACTCCGTCTTAAAAAAAAAAAAAAAAGCCAGGCATGATGGTATGTGCCTGTGGTCCCAGTTACTCAGGAGACTGAGGTGGGAGGATCACTTGAGGCCAGGAGGTCGAGGCTGCAGTGAGCTGAGATTGCACCACTGCACTCCAGCCTAGACCACAGAGCAAGACCCTGTCTCAAAAAAAAATACACTTAATCTAAATATTGAAATACTTATACCAATATTTATTTCTCCTATGGGCCAAACTCTGAACTTAATGTGTTAACACATATTCACCCATTTAATTCTCACAACAACCATGTGGGTAGAATGTTAAAGATGAGGCAGCTGAGGCCTAGAGAGGTTAAATGACATGCCCAAGGCCACACAGCTGGTAAGCAGGGGAGCTGGGATGCAAATCCAGATACGTCTGACTTCAAAGTGTGTGCGTTCTCAATTACAAATATCTTGAAAAAACATCTGTTGGTCTTTGGGAGGCTGAGGCGGGCAGATCACTTGAGGTTAGGTGTTTGAGACCAGCCTGGCCAACATGGCAAGACCCCATCTCTACTAAAAATACAAAAATTAGCCCGGCATGGTGGTGCACACTTGAAGTCCCAGCTACTTGGGACGCTAAGTCAGAGAATCGCTTGAACCTGGGAGGCGGCGGTTGCAGTGAGGTGAGATAGCGCCACTGCACTCCAGCTTGGGCAACAGAACGAGACCCTGTCTCAAAAAAAAAAAAAAAAAAAGAAAAGAAAAAGAAAAATCATCCGTTGGAAAATAATGACCTACCGATCTGCATAAATGCTGCAATCGCTCAGAGTGGTAAGGATGTAAGAGATAGTCACTGGGCATGTTTTAAAAATGGAAAGAACATGCTGTAAGCTAACTACTAGATTGGCAGTCTCCGAGGTGAGGGACGTGGTGAACATCCTTGTGTTCACAACACCGAGTCTGGCCCTGGGTAGAAGCAGTGCTGGGTAGAAACTGGCCACTATCGACATCTTATTCCCATATGAGGGGGCTAGTTACTCCAGTGGCCCTCAAAGCAACATGTTTTGTAAAAGAAGTTATGTGTTGGATTGCTCTTTAAAATTGAATAAACCATAGACCGGGTGCGTTGGCTCACGTCTGTAATCCCAGCACTCTAGGAGGCCGAGGCGGGCAGATCACTTGAGGTCAGGAGTTGGAGACCGGCCTTGCCAACATGGCGAAACTCCATCTCTACTAAAAATACGAAAATTAGCCGGGCGTGGTGGCTCGCGCCTGTAGTCCCAGCTACTCAGGAAGCTAAGTCAGCGAATCGCTTGAATCCGGGAGGGGAGGTTGCAGTGAGCCGACCTCGCACTACTGCACTCCAGCCTGGGTGACAGAGTGACACTCCATCTAGAAAAAAAAGAATTTAATAAACCATAAATCAATAAAATGTCTTTTTTTTTTTTGAGACGGAGTCTTACTCTGTTGCCCAGGCTGGAGTGCAGTGGCGCGATCTCGGCTCACTGCAAGCTCCTCCTCCCAGGTTCACGCCATTCTCCTACTTCAGCCTCCCGAGTAGCTGGGACTACAGGCGCCCGCCACCATGCCCGGCTAATGTTTTTGTATTTTTAGTAGAGACAGGGTTTCACCGCGTTAGCCAGGATGGTCTCGATCTCCAATAAAATGTCTTTTTAGAGCTTCTATTTCACAAGACGATGAGCTTAAAAATATATTATTTAAAACGTTGTTTTATATATTATTTAAAATATTATTTATAATATTATGATAGAATATTTATTTTATTAAACATTAATATTTAATTTAATATTTTAATTTTTATTATAAGAAAAATATTATTATTTAAAGTATCATTCACTGAACAACACACCTCACTCCAGAGGTACAGAGAATTCCAGGACAGTTGCAGTAGACGTGGGAACATTTTTTTTCTCAACTGGGTGAATGTGAAGCTCTCATTCGTTTCCTGTGGTGACCACATAAACGTTGTCACCTATGCATCGCCCAAGAAAGTTAAATATTTCCGTCCTCCCCCAAGCAGCCCAGTCAACCAAATGCCACTGGTGCTTCCGTGCGATGATCATTTCTGCCGGCAGGGGGCAATCTTGCTCGCCGCATTCTATATTGACGCTTCCTCCAGCTGTCTGAACGTGGCGCTCAACAAAATTAAGGTAAAAGGTTTCTGTGCTGACGATTCCTTGGCGGAGAAACTATTTGCAAACAGCAAGAGAAACGTGCTCAAAAGCCAAAGCGCTTTCCCTGGTTTCTGATCGCTGTTTATAGGAGTAACTGCTGTAGAAAAGAAAGAAAGAAAAAACTGCCTGTTTTTGTCAACTTGTTGCAAATGTTAAAACTTTAATTAACATGTTAGCTGTTTTGTTTCGGTGCCTTTTCTTCATTGATGTCAGGTGGCTTTTTCATCGGCCGCATTTCCAATGAGGCAAAGTGGCAAACTCATCCTTTCTGTGAAATGAACTGTCACAGCCGATGGGCCGTGCAGGAGGTGCCACCCTTGCTGGGTGACCGTGTTTGGAGCGTTATTTCCTCATCTCTGAAACTTGGGCTTCTAGCCATTCTCTGGCTTCCCTTGCAGCCTCTTACAGACCTGAGTGAACCCAGGAGACTAAACAAGGCCCTTTTCAGCCTTAGCACCGGTTTTGCCTTGGAGCTCAAAGGTAAGATTTCACGCAATGGAAAGTCTCTGTTGCTTTAAAAGCAAACCAACCAGGCCGGGCGCAGTGGCTCACACCTGTAATCCCAGCACTTTGGGAGGCCAAGGCGGGCGGATCACTTGAGGCAAGGAGTTCTAGACCAGCCTGGCCAACATGGTACCCTGTCTCTACTAAAAAAAAAAAAAAAAAAAAAAAAAATTAGCCAGGTGTGGTGGTGCACACCTGTAGTCCTGTAGTCCTAGTTCCTTGGGAGGCTGAGGCAGGAGAATCACTTGAACCTGGGAGGCGGAGGTTGCAGTGAGCCAAGATTATGCTATTGCACTCCAGCCTGGGAGACAGAGTGAGACCAGGTCTCAAAAAAAAAAAAAAAAAAAAGTAAACCAACCAATCCTCTAAAACTGCTATGTTACAGAGGCCCAGAGGTGTCAGGTGGCACCGAGAGGCAGCTGGAATTTAAGCTCCAAGTCTCTTGACTCGAAAAATAAATCAAGTTGACAAAGATAAAGCTCTTGATATAGATGGCATTTAAGCCTTGTTAATCCATTTGAAGATGTTCTCAAAAATTTGTGTTGGTAAGCTTGAATTCTAAATGGAAGTCCAAGAAATCCAAGCTTCAGAGTGGAAAACTGTAATCATAATTATTTACTAATTTTTAAAGAGACAGTGTCTTGCTTTGTTGCCTAGGCTGTAGTGCAGCGGTGCAATCTTGGCTCACTGCAGCCTTGAACTCCTACCTCAAGCAGTCCTCCCACCTCAGCCTCCCGAGGAGTGAGGACTACAGGTGTGTGCCACCACACCCAGCTACTTTTATTTTTATTTTTTGTAGAGATGGGGTCTCAAACTCCTCGGCTCAAGCAATCCTCCCACCTCGTCCTCCCAAAGTGCTGGGATTATAGGCATGAGCCACAGTGCCCAGCCCACAACTATTTTTGAAAGATGACCGACACACGACCCTAAACTCTTTTGTTTGGGAAGATGAAAACAGGCCTCACTACTTATAGCACAGATGAGGTTTCAGGAGCACACCTGGCAATGTAATTGCACAACATCCACGAAGTTACAGAACAGTTTTGAGCCAGAGGAAATGCCTGGATGGAGAAGGATTTCCATGTGACCAGACAATGGACATCTGCTTGTCTCATACAGACTTTTCTCCTGGGGGAGAATTCTGTCCTTCCCTAATGGGCAGGGTGGGGCCACTCCCCACGGTGGAAAGAAAAAAATTATTTTCATATGTTTTTGGGGAACAGGTGGTATTTGGTTACATGAGTAAGTTCTTTAGTAGTGATTTGTGAGATTTTGGCACACCCACCACCCCAGCAGTATACACTGAACCCAGTTTGTAGTCTTTTATCCCTCACCTCCTTCCCACCCTTCCCCAACTACCCAGAGTACCCAAAGTCCATTGTATCATTCTTATGCCTTTGCGTCCTCACAGCTTAGCTCCCAGTTTTGAATGAGAACATACAATGTTTAGTTTTCCATTTCTGAGTTACTTCATTTAGAAGATTACCCTGTGGGCCGGCACGGTGGCTCATACCTGTAATCCCAGCACTTTCGGAGGCCGAGGTGGGCATATCACCTGAGATCAGGAGTTTGAGACCAGCCTGGCCAACATGATGAAATCCTGTCTCTACTAAAAATAAAAAAATAAAAAATTAAAAAATTAAAAAACTTAGCCAGATGTGGTGGCAGGTACCTGTAATCCCAGCTACTTGGGAGGCTGAGGCAGGAGAATCGCTTGAACCTGGGAGGCAGCGGAGGTTGCAGTGAGCCAAGATCGTGCAATTGCACTCCAGCCAGGGCCACAAGAGTGAAACGCCATCTCAAGAAAAAGAAAAAGAAAAAGGAAAGAATAATAGTCTGTGGGCTGGGCATGGTGTCTCATGCCTGTAATCCTAGCACTTTGGGAGGCCGAAGTGGGAGGATCACTTGAGGTCAACAGTTCAAGACCAGCCTGGCCAACATGGCGAAACCCCCTCTCCACTAAAAATACAAAAATTAGCTAGGCCTGGTGGCATACACCTGTAATCCCAGCTACTTGGGAGGCTGAGGCACAAGAATAGCTTGAACCTGGGAGGCGGAGGTTGCAGTGAGCAGAGATTGCATCACTGCACTCCAGCCTGGAGACTGTCTCAAAAAATAAAAAAGAATAATAGCCTGCAGAGGGCTCCTTCTCTCCTTTCCTTCCCTTTCCTCAAATCTGGATTGCACTCCACATTGTTGCCACCGGGAAAACCACAGTCACTGTTTCTGCTCTAGCCCTGACAACAGGTGGTCAAGGCCACAATGGATAATTTTGGTATTGGAAAGGACAGAGCTCGGATGGTCCAGTTCCCTCAGTTTGCAGAAGCGGGGGTTGGTGAGTTGCCTGTGCCACCTTTGGTAGCACAGCTGTGGCTAGAGGCAGCTGATCTGGTATTTAGTTAGGAGTTTTTCCCATTGCATCCCAAGGGATCAAGATTGGAGGGACCATGCACATCGGAAATTGCCTTGGAACTTCTTATGACCAAGTCCCCAGAGAGTTCTTTTTTTGGCTGCTCACAGAACTTACTTCCTGTGATCTGAAAGCCAAAAGAATTTTGAGATTTTAGAATATTCTGTTGTTTTCATGGCCCTACTCTGTTTAATAAAAGAGCTTTTCAACCTCCCAGCTTGATTCAGTTTTTGAAAATGTAGAATTTAGGCCAGGCGCAGTGGCTCACGCCTGTAATCCCAGCACTTTAGGAGGCCGAGGCAGGCGGATCACCTGCGGTCAGGAGTTCAAGACTGGCCTGGCCAACATGGTGAAACCTTGTCTCTACTAAAAATACAAAAATTAGCTGAGTGTGGTGGCATGTGCCTGTAATCTCAGCTACTCAAGAGGTTGAGGCAGGAGAATCGCTTGAACCTAGGGGACAGAGGTTGCAGTAAGCCAAGATCGTACCGCTGCACTCCAGCCTGGGTGACAGAGCAAGACTCTGTCTCAGAAAAAAAAAAAAAAAAAAGAATGAAAAGAAAAAGAAAATGTAGAATTTAAGTTAGACATTGTTTCAAACTCAGAAGGCTCTTCCTCTCTTCTTCTCAAAACCTCCCCATTTTTCCAGCCCCAGTTAAATGTTTCCCCCACAACATCCCTACGAGATCTCCCTCAATTAACCCAAGTAAGGTGACTGTCTTCCTTCCACACAGTGCTGGAACTTCTCTCATTCAAAATCTTTCTTCCTCTCTCTCATATTAAAAATGGTATTAAAGGCTGGGCACGGTGGCTCACGCCTGTAATCCCAGCACTTTGGGAGGCCGAGGCAGGTGGATCACGAGGTCAGGAGATCAAGACCATCCTGGCTAACACGGTGAAACCCCATCTCTACTAAAAATGCAAAAAATTAGCCGGGCGTGGTGGTGGGCGCCTGTAGTCCCAGCTACTCAGGAGGCTGAGGCAGGAGAATGGTGTGAACCCGGGAGGCGGAGCTTGCAGTGAGCCGAGATCGCGCCACTGCATTCCAGCCTGGGCGACAGACAGACTCATCTCAAAAAAAAAAAAAAAATTGTATTAAAACTACCTTTCCCAGCCCACAGCCCAAATCCACTCGTTTCTTCAGTCGATATATGAGTGTCTTTCCCCCTCATGCATGTATCATTGACGTCTCTATCTTTGCCGTTCTGATACGTAAAAAAATTAATGCTATTTTTTTCTTTCAGTAAGAGTTTATCAGCCTTTTTTTTTTCAGTCAGACATCATAAGCCATTTTTGCTTCTTTTTCTGGGGCTGCTTATTCTTGCACTTTGTCCATTTTTCTATTGATTTGTTGACCTTATTAATTAACAGGAACTGGTTATGTATTAAATAAATTCTTTAAAATAGATCATGCCATTTAAAAAAATTTATTTATTTATTTAATTTTTGAGACAGGGTCTCACCCTGTCACCCAGGCTGGGGTGCAGTGGTGCAATCACGGCTCACTGCAACCTCCACCTCCTGGACTCAAGCGATCCTCCCACCTCAGCCTCCTGAATAGCTGGGGCTACAGGCTTGCACCACCATACCCAGCTAACTTTTCTTATTTTTCATAGAGATGGGGTTTTGCCATGTTGCCCAGGCTATTCTGAGACTTCTGGACTCAGGCGATCTGCCTACCCTGGCCCCCGAAAGTTCTGGGATTACAGGCGTGAGCCACTGTGCCCAGCCTAAAAAAAATATTTAATTAACGCCAAGTAAAGGGGCTCATCCCTATAATCTCAGAAGTTTGAGACCCTGTCTCTAAAATAAAAATGAAAAAATTTTAAAAATTAGCCGAGTGCATTAGCATGCACCTGTAGTCAAAGATACTCAGGAGGCTGGGGTGGGAGGATTGCTTGAGCCCAGGGGTTTGAGGCTGCAATGAGCTCAAACTCACTGCAGTGAGTATGGCTACCAGCCTGGGTGACAGAGTGAGACCCTGTCTCTAAATATATATAAATACATAGTTTATACCATAAATCTGTGATATAAGTTTTTCCCGTGCATATGTTTTAACCTTTCTATAGTAAAATTTATCAGTCTTTTTCTTTAAGGCTCCTCGATTTTCAATCTAGCTTGGAAAAATATTCCTGACTTCAAGATTTTAAAAACACTCTTTTTTTCTAACATTTTTTCAAGTACTTTTAATGGTTTTACGGTATTGAAATTTTTGCTCCATTTGGAACATATTTGGGTGTGAAGAGTACACTGGAATTCAACATAAAAATTTTCCAACCCACTTATTAAATAATCTACCTTTTCCCTACTGATTTGAAATGCCATGTTATCAAAAAACAAATCATCTTTTGGGTTTTTGTGAGCCCTCTAGTCTGTCCCATTGATTTTCGTGGCCACTCAGGTGCCAGTGTTTAGCTCTCTTTATTACTTCTTGGCTTTCTTATGGTATTTGTTACTTTCTGCACTACATGATATAAATTCACAGCAATGTCAAAATTTGTCATAATTCTCAATTTTAGGTCCTTTTCACCCCAGACAGCACCCCCCCTTCATTCCCCCTGCCCTGTCCCCATGGAACTTTTTTTCTTTTTCTTTCTTTTCTTTCTTTCTTTTTTTTTTTTTTTTTGAGACACTCTCACTCTGATGCCCAGACTGGAGTGCAGTGTTGTGATCTTGGCTCACTGCAACCTCCACCTCCCGGATTCAAGCGATTCTCATGCCTCAGCCTCCAGAGTAGATGGGATTACAGGCACCCGCCCTCACAACTGGCTAATTTTTGTGTTTTTGGTAGAGACAGGGTTTCCCCATGATGGCCAGGCTGGTCTCGAACTCCTGGCCTCAAGTGATCCACCTGCTTCGGCCTCCTAAAGTGCTGGGATTATAGGCGTAAGCCATCGGCCCCAGCCTTCTCTTCTCTCTTAAACTTATTCTCTCTAACACTCATATGAAGCCTAGTGTCATGCAGTCTTTTCTGGTTACTCACTTTTTTATATACATATCTTATTTTCCCACCAAGATTGTCTCTCCCGGAAGGCTAAGCTAATCTTTCATGTACCTACACCATCCACAGCAGTATCTGGTACACTGCTAGGCAAATAGAGAAATTCTGAGGATGCTGTTAAAAAGCATTGTCTCAAAATTGATAAGAATTAACACGATAAGTATTAACTTCTAAAATAAATTAAGTAACATTTATTTTAGAAGTTGTCTCTCTCAAAAATCAGTCCTTTTTCAACAACCAGACAATTTTTTTTATTTGCAAATTTTGTTCAAGGTTATTTTACATTTTTAAATTTATTTCATTTTTAGTTGTAAAATTTACATGACATGAAATTTACCATTTTAACCATCTTAAGTGTATAGTTCAGTAGCATTAAGCACATTCACAGAATTGGGCAGTCATCACCACCATCCATCTCCAGAACTTTTTAATCTTGCAAAACTGAAATTCTGCATTTATTAAACACTAACTCCTCATTCCCACTCTCCCCAGCCCTCCTGGCAGCCACCATCCTACTTTTTGTCTCTGTGAATTTGACTACTCTAGGTACCTTATATTAGTGGAATCATACACTATTTGCCTTTTTGTGATTGGCTTATTTCACTTACCATAACATCCTGAAGGTTTATCCACGTTGTAGTATGTGTCAGAATTTCCTTCTATTTTAAGGCTGAATAATGTTCCATTGTGCTTATAAACCACATTCGGTTTATCCATTCATTCAACTAGGGTCGTGTCTACCTTTCGGCTATTTGTGATTACTACAGCTATGAACATTGGTTTACAAATGTCTGTTCCAGTCCCAATCTGTTTCAGCTCTTTTGGGTATATACCCGGAAGTGGAATTGCTGGGTCATATGGTAAATCTATGTTTAATTTTTTGAGGAACTGCCATCTTGTTTTCCACAGCAGCTGCATCATTTCACACTCCCACCAGCAGCCCACAAAGCTTCCAATTTCTCCACATCCTCATCAACACTTATATTCTGTGTTGGGTTTTTGCTTGTTTGTCTGTTTACTTTTCTTTCTATAATAGACCTCCTAATGGGTATGAGGTGGTATCTCATTGTGGTTTTGATTTGCATTCCCCTAATGGTTAATGACACCAAGCATCTTTTCATGTGCTAAACGGGTATGTGTCTATGTCTTCTTTAGAGAAATATTGATTCAAGTCCTTTGTCCATTTTTAAATCTGGTTACTTGGTTTTTTTGTGGTTGAGTTACAGTGGTTTTTAAAAAATGTTCTGGATATTAGCATCTTTTAAGATATATGATTTGCAGACATTTTCTCCCATTTCATTAATTTCCTTTTCACTCAGTTGATAGCATCCTTTGATGCACAAAAGTTTTAAATTTTTATTTTAGCCCAATTTACCTGTTTCTTCTTTGTTGCCTGTGCTGTTGGTATCACACCCAAGAAGACCCTGACAGTCTGACAGTGTGATGCGGTCCCTTAAAATGAGCTGTCACCCTAAAATATTAGAAATTCTAATAAGAGAGCCTGGGCCAGCCAGTTATATAGGTTTTTCCAGAAAGTACAAGTTGTTCCAGAAAATGTGAAAGTGTGTGTCCCAACTCTCCTGGTCAATAGATTTGGCTTACAGGATCCGTGTAACATGTTTTCGTTACTGAGTGCAACTCTGTCCTTCTCAGAATATCTTGTCAGAGCAGAAGGGGGCAGATGAGGTCCTACAGACACAATTAATAACACAAAAATGTTGGGCAAGGTCATCTTGGAAAAGGTTGTTACTCTTGGAATTTTAATAGGCCCAACTGTATTATAAATTGTATCTGAAAGACACAACAACTATGTAGAGTACAATTTACTCTTCAAAATACAATGGAGGATTGAGTGAACATGCAACTGTAACCACAGGACAGGAAGGGAGGCCTGAAATATGCTCTGATGGCAACTCTGTGCTTATCTTGGTATCAGAATGATCACATGCTTTAGGCCGGGCAGGCGCGGTGGCTCACGCCTGTAATCCCAGCACTTTGGGAAGCCAAGGTGGGCTGATCACTTGAGGTCAGGATTTCAATACCAGCCTGGCCAACGTGGTGAAACCCCGTCTCTACTCAAAATACAAAAGTTAGCCAGGTGTGGTGGCGTGCACCTGTAGTCCCAGCTACTTAGGAGACTGAGGCACGAGAATCGCTTGAACCCGGGCACGAGAATCCCTTGAACCGGGAGGTGGAGGTTGCAGTGAGCCGGGATCACGCCACTGCACTCCAGCCTGGGTGACAGAGTGAGACTCCATCTAAAAAAAAAAACCAAAAAACAAACAAACAAACAAAGAATGCTTATAAGCTTCAAGTTCGATATCCAGAACATTCTGCTTAACCCCTAGGGTATTTATTTTTGTCACCTGTTTCTGGTATTCATAAGGTATCTTTGTCTACTGTATATGATTTAAAGAAGTTTCTCTTATATTTTCCCCAAATTTGAAAGCAGCAACTTTCCGTTCTGTGGACCTGTGTGAAAATGTCAAGTTCACACGAATATGAGACTTAAAATACAGATACATTCTCAAGTCATCAAAAATATGTAAAGGGTCAAAACTACATTTTTAAATTATATTCTGATTTGGAGTTTTCAAACCTTCAAAAATCACAAGTCATTTTTTTAAAAAGTCCTGAGCCTTTACACTAAAATGTAATTTGACCTTTTTCAAACATGAATTTTACTATATATAGAACAGAGATTCATAAAGAAATTTATGTGCGTTATACCTAGTGATTCATATTAATGGCGAGTTTTGAGAAAAGAGTAGTAACATTAATAATATTTCGGAGTCAGGTTAGAGATCAAGATTACAATAATTTTTTTCCTTTTTTTGATGTTGCAGCCTGTCCAAATCAAAACAAATATATTTTCCACCTATAGATGGCAATATTTGTACAATGAGTTTATCTTAATTAAAGGAAGATTATTAGAAATAATCTTGATGTAAAGATCTTCAAAGCTTTTTATAATGGAAAACTTCCAGCATACCCAAAGGTAGACAGAGTAGTATAATGAACCACCATGCTCCCACGATCCACGTTAACAGTTACCATGGCCAGTCTTGTTTCATTAACCTACATCCCCTTCCCCTCCATCTGGATTAATTTGAAGCAAATCCCAGACTACTGCAAAATTAAAATAGAAAAATAAAGTTATGATACCACCTGCAAAACACCTTCAAGGAATTCTGTTGGTACCCATAGAATCCTAAAAATAAATAAATGGCCAAATAAGAAACAAACAAAAGCAACCCTGCTGCAATGAAGATAAAAAACACTGAATGCCGGCTGGGCGCAATGAAGATAAGAAACACTGAATGCCGGCTGGACATGGTGGCTCAGGCCTGTAATCCTAGCACTTTGGGAGGCCGAGACGGGCGGATCACGAGGTCAGGAGATGGAAACCATCCTGGCTAACCCAGTGAACCCCGTCTCTACTAAAAATACAAAAAAAATTAGCCAGGCGCAGTGGCTGGCACCTGTAGTCCCAGCTGCTCGGGAGGCTGAGGCAGGAGAATGGCGTGAACCCAGGAGGCGGAGCTTGCAGTGAGCCGAGATCGCGCCACTGCACTCCAGCCTGGGCGACAGAGCGAGACTCCGTCTCAAACAAACAAACGAACAAACAAAACACCGAATGCCATAACATTTTATGATAAAACTTTATGTCTATCACACACTGTAAGAAGGTTTGTATAAGTACAATGTATACAGGTAAAATAAAAAGGTAATACTTTAACTTTTTAAAAGCAATTACTAGGCCTGTCGCGGTGGGCAAGCCTGTAAACCCAACACTGGAAAGTTGAGGTGGGAGGATCACTTGAGGTCAGGAGTTCAAGATCAGCCTGGCCAACTTGGCAAAACCCCGTCTCTACTAAAAATACAAAAATAAAAGCAATTACTAACTTACAGAAATAACAAAACACCAAATGACAGAATATGTGACATGCACATCCTTCTTTGGGGTTTTAAAAGAAATGACAAGGTCCAATTATAAATTTAAAAATTAATAATAAAAATTTTTAAGTGAGAAGACCAAGTTAGAAGCCCCTGCAGAGTGAGTGATTAGATATAGAAAGGAAATCCAAGGAAGCAAGGAGAATGGAAAATTACTGACTTGTTAGAACAAAGCAGTGACAGCTGCTGGCTCTAAAATTAGGAACGGAGACAAGGAATTTTCAGAGCACCACCAAACAAATCACAAAGGCACAATTCACCCAGCACCTTTCAGAAAGATTTTTAACTCCTAAAAGAATACAAGGCAAGCGACCGCCAGGTTGATCATTCAGGGGCTGTGTGCTTCCCTAAACCTTGCTGCTTACTGAGTCCAGGGTCGTTTCTCTACAGAGGGCTGCCCTTGAATGACAGCTCGGATGAAAACCAAGGGCAGACAGGATGCACCTCTTTAAAGTCTTTTATGTTTTCTATGCTTTTCTGAGATTTTGCTGATTTCACAGACAGTCTAGAAGTCTAGCACACACTACTTACATTTTCATCATACTCTTTGAGCTTTTCCAATCCTAACTCTGGGAATAAATTGATTACCCATAGACCTTTAGTTGCCCAGGTACCACACCTTCAGGCACCTGGGTGGCAGATTCTTTAACGCATCTGAAGAAGAAACTTAGCCAATTATACTTTTAAAAATCCCTATGTGATAATCTGTAAACACAGCAGTCGTGCCCTCAGGATGAACAAAGGGCAACTTCAACAGCCCAAGATCTGGCTTCTGTTTGGGCCTCTGTCCTGGAGTGACTGAGGACCTCAGACAGGACACTCAGGCCTTTAGTGTCCTCTCCTAAGAGGGGGTAGCCGTACTTGCCCTAAGTCACAGGGAGACCAAGGAAACAAAACATCATAAAAACACTCTGAGGCTGGGCATGGTAGCTCATGCTGTAATCCAA
Source organism: Homo sapiens (assembly GCF_000001405.40). NCBI lineage: Eukaryota > Metazoa > Chordata > Mammalia > Primates > Hominidae > Homo > Homo sapiens. Next base: position 58,347,763 of record NC_000016.10, read on the forward strand.
GCACTTTGGGAGAACAAGGAGGCAGGAGGGCTGGAGCCCAGGAGTTCGAGACCAGCCTGGGCAACATAAGGAGACTCTGTCTCTAACAAAAAATTTAAAAATTAGCTGGGCATGATGGCACGTGCCTGTGGTCCCAGCTACTCAGGAGGCTGAGGTGGGAGGATCACTTGAGCCTGGGAGGTGGAGTGAACCATGATCACACCATTGCATTTCAGCCTCGGTGCCAGAAGGAGACCCTGTCTCAAGAAAAAAAGGACTGATTGGTTAACATCAGGTCACTTCTGGTTACTTTTTTGGAAGGATTGAAGCAGAGGAAACCTTCTTATCGTTCTAACTCAGATAGACTGGAATCCCATGTTTTCAGGGGAAACTGGTCTGTTTGGAATCTCCCTGCTTCCTTAATGTTTCAGTTTAATTATTGGCATTTAGCATGAGTGATTCCATTTTGGTTTGGTCTTGTCTGTTGGGGTCATGGTGTAGGAGCTCAGCCCAAAACAGTGGCCTCCCAGGATTTTTGTTTAACAATACAGAGAAGTTAACTACATCACTAGGTATCTAACTTAAACTCAGGGATTCATTTAGTTGCTAACTAGCTTATTAGATTCCGTGACTTCTCTTGATTACTTCTAAATTAGACTGTTAAATAACATCTAACATGCCTAGTTTCACCTCCTCTTCTGGGAAATCAGGGAAATACTAGTACTTGGAATTTTGAAGATTTCTATTGCAAGACGTTGGCTACCAAGTAGAGAGAATTATCTGGGCACTATATATTTTGGATTAATTTTTACATGGTGGTACTAATATGGAGATATTTGCTGCAAAGAGATAAATTTGTGGATTATATTCATCTTCCAGACCACTTGAGAGAGGAGAGTTTCAATCTTGCATGATAACTAAAAGAAGGAATTCTAACCAAAAAGTTCTCTCCAAAAAAACCAGAATACTGGTACAATTTGTGGTTCTATCACAAAATGCCACAAATTTAAAGTAAGATGTAGGAAAAGGTTATAAAACTTTCACCTAAGCTGAAGTCTTGGAATCACTAAACAGGGAAAAGGACCGTTCAGAAATCTTTTTGTTGTTTGTAGACTGAAGCAGTTAGAACCTCCCTAGGTCTCTTTTCGGGACAAGCAGACGCTTTTCAGTTTCATTATGTTCCCTATGATTCCTTGATTGGAAAATCGTGGTCAGTGTGAAGCAGAGAAACATCACTACTGTGTAGATCAGGATTTCTCAACTGTGATACTCTGGACGTTTTCACTGGGTAATTCCTTGCTGAAGAGGACTGCTGAGTGTGCAGCAAGATGTTCAGCAGCACCGTCCCCCAGTTATGATGGCCAAAAATGTCTCCAAACATTACCAGGTGTCCCCTGGGGGCAAACTGTCCTCACTGAAGGACAGCTAGTGTACAGATTCAGCCACTGAAGCAGAACTGTAATCACGTTGAAACTGAGCTGGTTACATCCACATAGGACTCAGGATACCATCTGGTACAGTCATTATGAAGATTAATGAAGAGGCTGTCTACCATGGCTCATTTGGGAAATTCCAAAAAGTACAATAGGACTGATCATCCTACAGCAGTTAAATAATCAGACTATAATATAATCAGAGAATTTATAAACTGTAAGCAAGCAATTTCAGTTCAGTAGAGTTTCTTAAAATCATTCTTTTAGTGTAAATGAGAACTACAAAACTATGGATTTTGTATGATTGCACTCATAGGAGGTACTCAGAATAGTCAAATTCATACAGACAAAAAGTAGAATGGTGGTTACTAGGGACTGAGGGGAAGGGAAATGGGAAGATGTTTAATGGGTACACAGTTTCCATTCTGCAAGCTGAAAAGCGTCCTGGAGATTGTTTACACAGCAACCTGAAACAATCAGAACTTAGCACTACTGAGTTATACATCTAGAATGATTAAGGTATTAATTTTATGTTACAAATTGATTTTTCCACTTTTGTTTTTTTTTTTTTTTTTTGGTGGAAGGAGTGGAGTGAAGGGAGTGGAGGGAGTGAACATTCTCCACACGTTTGAACATCCTCATTAGCTCCAAGTTGACAAACCCAGAGAAGTGCTCTGATTGGCCTGGCCTTGGACTGGTCCATGCCTGGACTAATGAAAGGTGAATAGGATGGGGCTATCATTATTTTCCCAGGATGTAGGAGAGAAGAAAGAGCAGATACCCATTCCCGATCCAATTTAACTCTAGCCAGGAGTCTGGAGTCTGCAATTGCCAGCTCCCATTCAAACCACATTGCTGGTGTGGACAGAGAAGCATGTTTCATGCAAAAATCAGTTCTAAATGGACTACAGTGTTAAATGTAAGACCAGGAACTGCTAGAAGAAACTACTAGAAGAACTTCTTCATGATATTGAACTGGGCGAGGCTTTTTAAAAAAATAAAACCTCAAAAGCACAGGCAACCAAAACAGACAAATGAGATTACCTCAAACTAAAAAGCTTCTGCACAGCAAAGAAAACCATAAAATGAAGAGACAACCTACAGATTGGGAGAAAGTACTTGCAAACTATACATCTGACAAGGGGTTCATATCCAGAATATATAAGGAACTCAAAGCAAAAATCCCCAAATAATGTGATTTTTAAAATGGACAAAAGACCTGAATAGACATTTCTCCAAAAAGACATACAAATGGTCAACAGGTATATGAAAAAATGCTCAACATCACTAATCATCAGAGAAGTGCAAATCAAAACCATGGTGAAATATCAATTCATCCCAGTTAAATGGCTGTTATAAAAAAGACAAAAAATAGCAAATGCTGGCGAGGATGCAGAGAAAAGGGAATGCTTATACACCATTGGTCGGAATGTAGATTAGTATGGCCGTTATGGAAAAAAGTATGGAGGTTCCTCAAAAAAATTAAAAATAGAACTACCGTATGATCCAGCAATCCCATTACTGGGAATTTATCCAAAGGAAAGGAAATCAGTGCAATGAAGAGACATCTGCACCCCCATGTTTATTGCAGAACTATTCACAATGACCGTGATATGGAATCAACCTGGGTGTACATCAAGAGATGAATGGATAAAATAAATGTGCTAGATATACACAATGGAATACTATTCAGCCACAAAACAGAAGGAAATCCTGTCATTTGCAGCAATATAAATTAACCCGGAGGACATTATGTTAACTGAAATAAGCCAGGCACAAAAAGACAGACACTGCATGATCTCACTCATATGTGGAATCTTAAATAGTTGATTTAATAGAAGTAGAGAGTAGAATAGTGCTTACCAGAGGCTGGAGAGAGTAGAGAGAAGGAGGGGTACCCAAAGAAGTTGGTCAGTGGGTACAAAATCACAGTTAGACAGGAAGAATAAGTTCTGGTGTTCTCTTACACAGTAGGGTGACTACAGCAAAAAACAATGTAGTGTATATTTCAAGATAGCTAAAAGATAATATTTTGAATGTTGTCATCACAAAGAAATGATAAATGTTGAAAGTGATGGATATGGCAATTAGCCTGATTTGATCATTGTGCAAATGTACACATGCACAGAAACATCAAATGATACCCCATAAATATATACAATTATGCATCAATTATAAATAAACCATTAATTTTCAAGAAAGAGGAGGGAGAAAGAGGTTCAGGGCAGACAAAACAATGACTTAATCATACAATACCAACCACCATAAACATAATCTAGTCGTTTTCTGTCCTCCTTGCCTCCTGTATCACTGTCACCAAGTTGAAATGAGCTGGCTACATACACACAGGGGTTGGGATACCATCTGGTACCGCCCCGAAGATTACCGAAGAGTTGCAGTCTTCTGCAAAGGGAAACATATGATTTATAAAAACTAAGCCTGTATTGAATAAGAGCCTGCATTGCATAACCTGGGAAGAGGCTGTGGTTGACTCAGTTAGCTTTATTCATTGCCTTATCAATTAAGGCATTAGACATTAGGATGCCATGAACAGAGCCCCACCACCATGAGCTTTGGAAACTGAGTTCACAGCCCAGCTCCACCACCTTGCAGGCCATTTCACGCCTGGGCACCTCCAAGTGCCTGAGAAAATTTTAACCCAGGTGGCAAAGTAGAGCCCCTGTGTTAGGCAGGCTTTGGAGGACCGAAGACGATTTATTGGGGTTTAATGGGAAGGCTTATCATGAAGCCTTATGAAGCTTAACATAAAGGCTTATCATGAAGCCTTATGAAGCTTATCAGGTGATTTATTAGGGGTTTATCATGAAGGCATCTGCAACAGAAAGATCAGATACACCCAGCCAGGTCCTGCCTACCAGACTGCACAGAAACGGCCACAGCTGGGCCTGATGGAGACCCATGTAGTAGTAAGAGTGAAGCCTGGCTCTGAGAACAGAATATTTTGCCTCCCTCTTCCCTCCCCCTGCCCTTGTTTGGGTCAGTCCCCACCACTTTCCCATCCAACCTCCTTCTCCACTCTGCACCTTTCTCTACCTCATTGCTTCTGTTTATTCATGGCAATCTGTGCCTGATGGGCTCCTGCCATGCATCTTTCTATCTTCTGCTTTTGCCACTAACCCTGTCTCCCCTTGTATTTTTGAGTTAAAATTCTCTGCAGAGAATCTAATATGCCCAGCTAATCACCATCAACCCTGATTGGGTGGAACGGTTTCAGTGGGGCCTTTCACAGCCTGCTGATTCTTCAGGGGTGGGATGATCTGGCGTCAGCTCTCATCCCTGGTTGGGGCATCAGTGGTCCAGGAGTGGAGTTTCATGGCGTGGAAAGTGACTGATCCCTCTGCACAGGACTAGGGCAGAGCTGTTTTCGAGGAGAGGAGCACCGAGATTATGACAGGTACCATCTTGACCTAGTTCAATGCCCACCTGTACAGTAGGCATTCAGCATGTGTTTCCTCTTATCTTTTTTATTTTATTTCATTTTATTTTGTTTATTTTTGAGATGCAGTTTTGCACCTGTTGCCCAGGCTGGAGTACGGTGGCAGGGTCTCAGTTCACTGCAACCTCCACCCCCAGGTTCAAGCAATTCTCCTGCCTTAGCCTTCTGAGTAGCTAGGATTACAAATTTCCTTGTCCTAATAGGCCTGGGAGCGCTACCGGAGACCGGGGCTTATTTCATCCCTTATCTTCAACCGTAAAAGACGGACAGTCCCAGAGTGGCCATTTCAGAGACCTACCCCCTGGGAACGCATTGTCTTTCTCAGGGCTGTTCCTTGCTGAGAAAAAGAATTCAGTGATATTTCTCCTATTTGCTTTTGAAAGAAGAGAAATATGGCTCCATTCTGCGTGGCTCTCAGGAAGCCAGACCTAATGGTTATCTTCCTTTTTCCCTGAACACTGCTGTTATCCTGTTCTTTTCTCAAGGTGCCCAGATTTCATATTGTTTAAACAATTTGTGCAGTTAACGCAATCATCACAGGGTCCTGAGGCGACATACATCCTCAGCTTATGAAGATGACAGGATTAAGAGATTAAAGTAAAGACAGGCAGAGGAAATGACAAGAGTATTGATTGGGGAAGTGATAAATGTCCATGAAATCTTCACAATTTATGTTCAGAGACTGCAGTAAAGACAGGCATAAGAAATTATAAAAGTATTAATTTGGGGAACTAATAAATGTTCATGAAATCTTCACAATTTACATTCTTCTGCCATACTTCAGCCAGTCCCTCCGTTCAGGGTCCCTGACTTCCCACAACAGTAACCATCATTCTACTCTCTGCCTCCATGAGATGAATTTTTTAGCACCCACATATGAGTGAGAACACGCAATATCTGTCTTTCTGTGCCTGGCTTATTTCACTTAGCATAACAACCTCCAGTTTCATCCATGCTGCTGCAAATGGCTGAACAGTATTCTTGTGTGTGTGTGTGTGTGTGTGTGTGTGTGTGTGTGTGCATGTATGTATCACATTTTGTCTATCCATTCATCCACTGATGAACTCTGAGGTTGATTCCATATCTTGGCTATTGTCAATAGTGCTGCAATAAACATGAGGGTGCAGGTATCCCTTTGATATACTGATTTCCTTTCCTTTGGGTAAATGCCCAGTAGTGGGATTGCTGGATTTTATGGTAGTTCGATTTTTTGTTTCTTAAGAAGTTTTCATAGTGTCTTCTGTAATGGCTGTACTAATTTACATTCCTATGAACAGTGTATAAGAGTTCCCTTTCCTCTGCATTCTCACCAGCATTTGCTATTTTTCGTCTTCTTGATAATAGCCATTCTAACTGGGGTGAGCTGTTATCTCATCGTGGTTTTGATTTGCATTTCTCTGATTATTAGTGATGTGGAGCATTTTTGCATAGATATGTTGGCCATTCATATGTCTTCTTTTGAGAAATGTCTATTTGAAATGTCTTTGTCCAGTTTTTAATGGGATTATTTTGTTTTGTTTTTGTTTTTATTGTTGATTGTTTGAGTTCCTTCTATATTCTGGATATTAGTTCCTTGTTGGATGAATATTTTGCAAACATTTTCTCCCATTCTACAGGTTGTCTCTTCACTCTGTTGATTGTTTTCTTTGCTGTGCAGAAGCTTTTTAGTTTAATATAGTCCTATTTGTCTATTTTTGATTTTGTTGCCTGTCCTTTTGAAGTCTTTGCCGTAAAACCTTTGTCTAGGCTCTAGACCAATGTTCTAATGCATTTTCTGTATGTTTTCTTCTTGTGGTTTTATAGTTTTGAGTCTTATGTTTAAGTTTTTAATCCCTTCTTAGTTGATTTTTATATCTAGTGAGAGACAGGGATCTAGTTTCATTCTTGTGCATATAGATATCCAGTTTTCCCAGCATTCCCCATGTATTAAAGAGACTGTGCTTTCCCCAGTGTATGTTCTTGACACCTTTGTTGAAAATCAGTTGTCTGTAAATAGGTGGGTTTATTTCTGGGTATTCTATTGTGTTCCTTTGGGCTATGTGTCTGCTTTTATTCCAATATTAGGCTGTTTTGTTTACTATAGCTTTGTGCTATATTTTGAAGTCAGGTAGTGTGATGCCTCCAGCTTTGTTCTTTTTACTCAGGATTGCTTTGAATATTCAAGGTCAAGTTCTTTTGTGGTTCCAGAAAAATTTACAATTTTCTTTCTATATCTGTGAAGAATGTTATTGGTATTTTATAGGGATTGCATTGAATCTATAGATTGCTTTGTGTAGTATAGTTATTTTAATAATATAAATTCTTCTTATTCATGGGCATGTGATGTCTTTCCATTTGTTTGTGTTCTCTTCAATTTCTTTCATCAGTGTTTTGTAGTTGTCATTGTAGGGGTCTTTCACCTCCTTGGTTAAATTTATTCCTAGGTATTTTATTTACTTTTCTGTAGCTATTGTAGATGGGGGATAGCTTCTCAATTTCTTTTTCAGCTAGTTCATTATTGGTGTTAAGAAATGCTGCTGATTTTTTTTTTTTTTTTTGAGACGGAATCTCACTCTGTCGCCCAGTCTGGAGTGCAATGGTACAATCTTGGCTCACTGCAACCTCCACCTCCTGGGTTCAAGCAATTCTTCCGCCTCAGCCTCTTGAGTAGCTGGGATTATAGGCACCCACCATCATGCCTGGCTAATTTTTGTATTTTTGTAGAGACAGAGTTTCATCATGTTGGCCAGGCTGGTCTTGAACTCCTGACCTCAGGTGATCCACCCGCCTTGGCCTCCCAAAGTGCTGGGATTACAGGCATGAGCCACCATGCGCAGCCAGAAATGCTACTGATTGTTATAAGTTGATTTTGTATCCTGCAACTTTACTAAATTTGTTTATCAATTCTGAGTTTTTTGATGGGTTTTTCTATATATAAGAGTACTTTCTGCAAAGAAGGACATTTTGACTTCCTTTTTTCCAAATGGATGCACTTCATTCTTTCTCTTGCCTGATTGCTCTGGCAAGGACTTCCAGTGCCATGTTGAATAATATGGTGGAACTGGGCATCCTTGTCTTGTTCCAGTTCATAGAGAAAGGCTGTCAGCTTTTCTCCTTTCAGTAGGATGTTAGGTACGGGTTTATCATATGTGGCCTTCATTATGTTGAAGTATGTTTCTTTTATGCCTAATTTGTTAAGAGTTTTCATCATGAGGGGATGTTGAATTTTATCAAATGCATTCTCTGCATCTAGTGAGATGATCATATGGTTTTTGTCCTTCGTTCTGTTGACATGGTATATCATATTTATTGATTGGCACATGTTAAACCATTCTTGCATCCCTGAATAAATATGACTTGATCACTATACTATCTTTTTGATGTGCTGTTGGACTCAGTTTGCTAGTATTTCGTTGAGGATTTTTGCATCTGTATTCATCAGAGATAGTGGCTTGTAGTTTTCTTATTTTGTTGTGTCCGTACCTGGTTTTGGTATCAGGGTAATGCTGGCCTTATAGAATGAGTCAGGAATAATTTCCTCCCATTCAATTTTTAAAAATTGTTTGAAAAGTATTAGTATTAGTTCTCTATAAGTTTGGTAGTATTCAGCAGTAGAGCAATCTTGTCCTGTGCTTTGCTTTGTTTAGGAGACTTTTCATTATTGATTCGATCTCATTTCTCATTATTGGTCTGTTCAGGTTTTCTACTTCTTCCTTATTCAATCTTGGTAAGTTGTATGTGTCCAGGAATTTATCCACTTCCTCCCAAAACAATTTGCTTTTCCAATTTGTTAGCATATAGTTGTTCATAATAGTCTCTAATGATCTTTCTTATTTCTGTGGTAATCCGTTGCAATGTCTCCTTTTTCATTCCTGATTTTGTTTCTTTGGGCCTTCTCTCTTATTTTTCTTGGTTAGTCTAGCTAGCAGTTTATCCATTTTGTTTATCCTTTCAAAAAACCAGCTTTACATTTCATTGGTTGATTGTATTGCTTGATATTGTATTGCTTGATATTGTCTTGATATTGTTTAGTTCTGCTCTGTTCTTCATTATTTCTTTCCTTCTTCTAATTTTGGATTTGGTTTGTTTTTGTTTTTCCACTTCCTTGAGGTGCATCCTCAGATTGCTTATTTGAAATATTTCTACTTTTGTTGATGTAGGCATTTACTACTATAAACTTCCCTCTTAGGACTGTTTTTCTGTATCCCATAGGTATGTTGTGTTTCCATTTTCATTTATTTCAATTTCTTTTTCTTCTTAATTTCTTCATTAACCCAGTGGTCATTCAGGAGCATGTTGTTTAATTTCCACGTATTCGTGCAGTTTCCAGAGTTCCTCTTGGTATTGATTTCTAGTTTTATTCCAAGTGTGGTCTGAGTAGATACATGACAAGATTTTGATTTTTAAAAGTTTGTTGAGGCCAGGCACTGTGGCTCACACCTGTAATCCCAGAACTTTGGGAAGCTGAGGCGGGTGGATCACTTGAGGTCAGGAGTTCGAAACCAGCCTGGCCAACATGGTGAAACCCCATCTCTACTAAAAAATACAAAAATTAGCCAGAAATCACTTGAACCCTGGAGGCGGAGGTTGCGGTGAGCCAAGATCATGCCACTGTACTCCAGCCTGGGTGACAGAGCAAGATTCCATTTCAGAAAAACAAAACAAAACAAAAAACACACTATTTTTTGTTGATTTTTTTTCTAGATGATATGTCCAACACGAGAGTGGGGTTGAAGTTCCCAGCTACTATTGTATTAGAGTCTATCTCTCCCTTTATTTTATTTTATTTTATTTCATTTTATTTAGTTTATTTTTTAGTAGAGATGGGGTTTCACCATGTAGGCCAGGCTGGTCTCGAACTCCTCAGCCTCCTCAAGTGATTTGTCCACCTCACTTCAGCCTCCCAAAGTGCTGGGATCACAGGCGAGAGCCACCATGCCCGGCTTCTCTCTCCCTTTAGATCGAATAACATTTGCTTTATATATCTGGCTGCTCCAGTGTTAGGTGCATATATATTTAGAATTATTATATCCTCTTGTTAAATTGATCTCTTTGTCATTATATAATAATGTTGTCTCTTTTTACAGTTTTTTTAATTTTTAAATTCTATTTTTTAAATTTCATTTTTAAAATTTCAATAGTTTTTGGTGGAACAGGTGGAGTTTGGTTACATGAAAAAGTTCTTTAGTGGTGATTTCTGAGATTTTGTTGCACCCGTCACCTGAGCAGTGTACACTGTACCCAATATGTAGTCTTTTATCTCTCACCCTCTTCACACTCTCCCCCCTGGGTCCCCAAAATCCATTATATCATTCTTAGGCCTTTGCATCCTCATAGCTTAGCTCCCACTAATTGTTCCTTTTTATGGCTGAGTAGTATTCCGTGGTATATATAAACCACATTTTCTTTATCCACTTGTTGGTTGATGAGCATTTAGGCTGGTTCCATATTTTTGCAATTGTGCCGCCATAAACATGTGTGTGCAAGTGTCTTTTTCATAAAATGACTTATTTTCCTCTTGGTAGATACCTGGTAGTAGAATTGCTGGATCAAATGGTAGTTCTACTTTTAGTTCTTTAAAGAATCTCCATACTGCTTTCCATAGTGGTTGTACTAGTTTACATTTCTACCAGCAGTGTAAAAGTGTTCCCTTTTCACCACATCCACAAACATCTATTTTTTATATATATTTTAATTATGGCCATTCTTGCAGGAGTCAGGCGGTATCTCATTGTGGTTTTGATTTGCATTTCACTGATAATTAGTGATGTTGAGTATTTTTTCATGTTTGTTGTCCATTTGTATATCTTCTTTTGAGAATTGTCTATTCATGTCCTTTGCTCACTTTTTGATGGGATTATTTGTTCTTTTCTTGCTGATTTGTTTGAGTTCCTTGTAGATCCTGGACAATATCCAGGATCTTGATTTGCCCTTTTGAGGCTATTTCCTGGATATTGTTGGATGCAAATTTGTGGATATTTTCTCCCACTCTGTAAGTTGTCTGTTTACTCTGCTGATTATTTCTTTTGCTGTGTAGGAGCTTTTTAGTTTAATTAGGTTCCATCTATTTATCTTTGTTTTGTTGCATTTGCTTTTCGTTTCTTGGTCATGAACTCTTTGCCTAAGCCAATGTCTGGAAGAATTTCACCAATGTTATCTTCTAGAATTTTTATGGTTTCAGGTCTAAGATTTAAGTCTTTGATCCATCTTGAGTGGATTTTTATATGAGGTAAGAGATGAGGATTCAGCTTCATTCTTCTACATGTGGCTTGCCATTTAGCCCAGCACCATTTGTTGAATAGGGTGTCCTTTCCCCACTTTATGTTTTTGTTTGCTTTGTCAAAGATCAGTTGGCTGTAAGTATTTGGCATTATTTCTGGGTTCTCTGTTATATTCCATTGGTCTACATGCCTATTTTTATACATGCTGTTTTGGTGACTATAGCCTTGTAGTATAGTTTGAAGCTGGGTAATGTGATGCCTCCAGATTTGCTCTTTTTGCTTAGTCATGCTTTATCTATGCAGGCTCTTTTTTGGTTCCATATGAATTTTAGGATTTTTTTTCTAGTTCTGTAAAGAATGATGATGGTATTTTGATGGGAATTGCATTGAATTTGTAGATTGCTTTTGGCAGTAAGGTCATTTTCACAATATTGATTCTACTCATCCATGAGCATGGGATGTGTTTCCATTTGTTTGTGTTGTCTATGATTTCTTTCAGCAGTGTTTTATTGTTTTCCTTGTATAGATTTTTCACCCCCTTGCTTAGGTATATTCATAAGTATTTTAATTTTTTGCAGCTATTGTAAAAGGGGTTGAGTTCTTGATTTGATTCTCAGCTTGGTCATTGTTGGTGGATACCAGTGCTACTGCTTTGTGTACATTGATTTTGTACCCTGAAACTTTACTGAATTCATTTATCAGATCTAGAAGCTTTTTGGATGAGCCTTTAGGATTTTCTAAGTATACGATCATTTTATCAGTGAACAGTAACAGTTTGACTTCCTCTTTACCAATTCGGATGCCCTTTATTTCTTTCTCCTGTCTAATTGGTTTGGATCTTTTTGCAGTTATTGACTTAAAGTCTGTTTTATCTGAGGTAAGTATAGATACTATTACTTGCTTTTGGTTTCTGTCTTTGAGGAATATCTTTTTCCATCCTTTCACTTTCAGTCTATATGTGTCTATATGGGTGAAGTCACTTTCAATCTATATGTGTCTATATGGGTGAAGCTAGTTTCTTGTAAGCAGCATAGACTTAGGTCATTCTTTTTTTAATCCATTCAGCAGTCTGTATTTTTTAAGTGGGGTATTTAACCCATTTATATTCAAGGTTATTACTGATAGATGAGAACTTATGCCTGTCATTTTGTTAATTGTTTTCTGGTTGTTTTGTATATGCTTTGTTTCTTTCTTCCTCTGTTATTGTTTATCATTGTGATTTTGTAATTTTCTGTAGTGGTAACATTTGACTCTTTTCTCTTTCTCATTTGTATATCTGCTCTACCTGTGAGTTTTACATGTTCATGTGTTTTTATGGTGGTAGATATTGTCCTTCACTTCCAGATGTAGGACTCCCTTAAACATTTCTTGTAGGACTGGTCTAGTGATAATAAATTCCCTCAACATTTGCTTATCTGGGAAAAACAGCTTTGCTTGCCACAGTAATCTTGGTTGACAGATTGGTTGTTGTTTTCCTTTAGCACTTTGATAGCTTTCTATAGGTTTGGGAAGTTCTCTGTTATTATTCCTTTGAATAAACTTTCTATGCCATCTCTTTCTCAACCTCCTTTTTAAGGCCAATAACCCTTAGATTTACCCTTTTGAGGCTATATTCTAGATTCTGTAGGTGTGCTTCACTGTTTTTTATTCTTTTTTCTTTGTCTCCTCTGACTGTATTTTCAAATAACCTATCTTCAAGCTCAATAATTCTTCCTTCTGCTTGATCAATTATGCTATTGAAAGAGTCTGATGAATTCTTCAGTATGCCAATTGCATTGTTCAGCTCAATAATTTCTGCTTAATTCTTTTTAATTATTTCAATCTCTTTGGTAAATTTATCTGATAGAATTCTGAGTTTCTTCTCAGTGTTATCTTTAATTTCGTTGAGTTTCCTCAAAATAACTATGTTGATTTCTCTGTCAGAAAGGTCACATTTCTCTCTTTCTCCAGAATTGGTCTCTGGTGGCTTATTTAGTTCATTTGGTGAGGTCATGTTTTCCTGGATCATCTTGATAGTTGTAGATGTGTGTCTGTGTCTGAGCATTGAAGAGTTAGGTATTTATTATAGTCTTCACAGTTTGGGCTTGTTCATACCCATCCTTCTTGAGAGGGATTTCCATATGTTCAAAAGGTCTTGGATGTTGTGATCTAAGCTGGATATGCTTTGGGGGGCACCCAAAGCCCAGTAACACTGTAGTTCCTGCAGATTTGTAGAGGCACTGCCTTGATGGTCTTGGACAAGATCTAGGAGAATTCTCTGGATTACCAAACAGAGATTCTTATTCTCTTCCCTTACTTTCTCCCAAACAGAGTCTCTCTCTCTCTTCTTAGCCACCTGGAGCTGGAGGTGGAGTGACACAAGCACCTCCATGGCCACCAACACTGTGACTGTGCTGGGTCAGCCCTAAAGCCAGCACAGCACTGGGTCTTGCCCAAGGAAATACTCCCTGGCTACTGTTTATGTTTGCTCAAGGCTCTGGGGCTCTAAAATCAGCAGGTGGCAAAGCCAGTCCTATGATCCTCCCTTCAGGGCAATGAGTTCCCCCGGGCCCCAGGTGGATTGAGAGGTGCTGTCCAGGAACCAGGGACTAGAGTCAAAAACCTTAGAAGTCTACCTGGTGTTCTACTGCATTGCAGCTGAGCTGGCACTCAAACTACAAGACATAGCCCTTCCCACTCTTCTCTCCCCTTTCCAAAAGCAGAGAAGCCTCATCCCATGGCCACCACTACCACAGGCCTGTGGGGGAGTACGGCCAGACTACTGCTGATGTTCCCTTAAGGCCCAAGCACTCTTCAGTCAGCTTGTGGTGAATACTGCCTGGGCTGGGACTCACCCTTCAGGGCAGTGGGCTTCTCTCTGGCCCAGTAAAGGTCCAGAAATGTCGTCCAAGAGCCAAGTCCTGGAATCAGGGACTCCAAGAACCTGCTTGGTGCTCCAACCCAGTGTGGCTGAGCTGGTACTTAAAGTGCAAGACAAAGTCCCCTTTATTTTTTCCTCTGCTTTTCTCAAGCAGAAGTATTGCCCCATAGCCACCATGGGAATGTGCTGAGTCTCACTTGAAGCCAGCAAGTCTCAAAGTCTTACCCAAGGCCCTTGACATAGTATGTGGGTATCACAGTGGTTACTCAAGTCCCAAGGGCTCTTCAGTTAGCAGGTGATGAATGCTGCCATGACTGGGTCCTTCCCTTCAAGACAGTGGGTTCCCTTTTGGCCCAGGGTATATCTTGAAATATCATCTGGAAGCTAGGCCCTGGAATTGGGGCCTCCCAACTCTGGTGCCCTATCCTCTCATGGCTGAGCTGGTATCCAAGATAGATGCAAGAGAAAATCCTCCCCGCTCTTCCCTCTCCTCTCCTCAGGCAGAAGGGAGGATCTCTTTTGGAGAGCTGTGTAGCCTGGGGCTAGGGGAAAGGTGGTGCCAGCACCCCCTTAGCTGCCCCAGCTGGTGTGTCAGTAGGTTGTGTGCCCCCCTCCTGTACCCAGTCTACTGGTTGTGGGCCAAGTTTAGCACTAGGACTACCTAAAAGTTGCAGTTCTTGTGGCCTAGACTGCCTTTCAACTTTATTTAGAGCTCTTGAGTACTTTAGCCCACAGTGGTGAGGTTTGTAGGAACTCAAGTTCTGACCACTGGGATCAGCTATTCCCTTCTGGCTAGGGCTGGTTTAAATGCTCCCTCCCTGGGTGGGCATCAGCCGAGTTTGGTCTGGCTTTCCTTTCTGCCATAACAGGACAGCACTGAGTTTAGTGCCTTACAATTGCTGTGCTGTCCCTCCCCCAGCACATAGTAACACTGACCACACCACATTGCTGCTACTACCAGGAGTTAAGGAGAGGTGGTGTCAGAGATTTAAGACTATTTTTTTTCTACCTCTTCAGTGCCTCACTCAGTGACACAAAGTTAAAATCAGGTACCATGAGCACTCATCTGATTTTGGTTCTTATGAAGGTTTTTTTTTTTTTGTTTCTTGTATATAGGTAGTTGTTAAATTGATGTCCTTGTGGGAAGGACGATCAGTGGAGCCTTCTATTTCACCATCTTGCTCCATCTCTGCCTCTCTTAGCACTTTGAATATATCATTCCAGTCTCTCCTGGCCTGTAAGGTTTCTGCTGAGAAATCAACTGTTAGTGTAATAGGAATTTCCTTTATATGTGATGTGATGCTTTTCTCTTGCTGTTTTTTGAAATCTCGTTTTGTCTTTGACGTTTGACAGTTTGACAATAATATGTCTTGGAGAAACCCTTTTTGGGTTGTATCTATTTGGTGATCTTTAAGCTTCCTATATCTAGATGTCTATATGTCTTGCAAGACTTGGGAAATTTTCAGCTTTTATTTAGTTAAATAGGCTTTCTATGACTTTGCCTATCTTTTCTTCCTGTGGAATTCCTAAAAATTAAATATTTGGTCACATTGTGGTGTGCCATGTATCATGTAGGCTTTTTTCATTGTTTTTTATTCTTATTTATTTATTTCTTTTTGCTTGGTTGGGTTATTTCAAAAGGGCTGTCTTTGAAATCAGAAAGTCTTATGTTTGATCTTGTCTATTGTTGAAGTTTTACAATTGTATTTTTTAAATTATTCAATAAATTCTTCAGCCCAGCATTTCTGTTGTCTCTTTTTTTAAATTACATCTATCTCTTTTTTGAATTTCTAATTCAGATCATAAATTGTTTTTCTGATTTCTTTGCATTGTTTATCTGTGTCCTCTCATATCTCACTGAGTTTCTTTAATATCATTATCTTGAATTCTTTTTCAGGCACTTCATAAACTTCCTTTTTTGAGGGATCCATTACTGGAGAGTTATTGCTTTCCTTTGCAGTGGTCATGTTTTCTTGCCTTTTCATGTTTCTTATGTCCTTATGTTGATGTCTATGCATCTGGTGTAATAGCTGTTTCATCCAATTTTATGAATTGGCTGTCATAGGAAGACTTTTTCCTATAGATTTAACTATAGCATTGGTTGGGTAGAGTGCTTTGGCTGTGATTCTGGGTGGACACAGTGGTATAGTTGCCATGTGGTTTTGTAAACTATAATCAGCATCAGTGGTGTCTGTGAGTTCTTCAGTGGCTTAGACCATGGTTGTTAGTAGAGGCTGTGGTGAGACTTTGCTAGGAATAGAAACAGTCAGCAGGCCAGTTCTCAGGTGCCAGTTGTGGTGGTGGTGGGTAAGGGTGGGCCTGTCCTCAGGCCCCTAGATGGCATGCACAGATACCTGTGGAGTGGGCAGGGTGGGTCGATCCACAAGCTGCCAGACAACATGTGTGGATGCCAGTGGCAGGTGGAACATACCTGTCTTCAGGTTCCCTGATGGTGTGTGCATACGCCGGTAGTGGTGGGTGGAGCAGATCTATCCCCAGGCCTCAGACAATGCACACTAGTACCAGCAGCAACAGGTGGGGTGGGCTTCTTCTCAGGACCCTGGATGTTGCACATCAGCAGTGGCAGGTGGCAGGGGTCAATCCCTGCATGGATGCTGGTGGCAGGAGGGGCATGCTGTCTTTAGGTCTCCCCAGTGATGCACAGGGGCACTGGTGGCATCCAGTGGACAATGTGCACAGGCCCCCAGTGGTGAGCAGGTGGGGCGGATTCCACATACACTTTTTTTTTTTTTTTTTGAGATGGAGTCTTCTTGTGTTGCCCAGGCTGGAGTGCAGTGGCACAATCTCGGCTCACTGCAAACTCCGCCTCCCAGGTTCAAGCGATTCTTCTGCCTCAGCCTCCCGAGTAGCTGGTATACAGGCGCACACCACCACACCTGGCTAATTTTTATGTTTTTGGTAGAGACAGGGTTTCACCATGTTGGCCAGGCTGGTCTGGCAACTCCTAACCTCAAGTGATCTGCCTGCCTCAGCCTCCCAAAGTGCTGGGATTACAGGCATGAGCCACCACGCTTGGCCCACATGCACTTTTTGGAAAACAAAAATGGAATTTTGATATACATCTTTGTCTTCAACTTGTGTTTTTGTTGTTGGTTTTTTTTTTTTTTTTTTTTTTTTGAGATGGAGTCTCCCTCTATTGCCCAGGCTGGAGTGCAGTGACACAATCTCAGCTCACTGCAACCTCTGCCTCCTGGGTTCAAGCAATTCTCCTCCCTCAGCCTCCTGAGTAGCTGGGACTACAGGTGCATGCCATCACAGCTGGCTAGTTTTTTTGTATTTTTAGTAGAGATGGGGTTTCACCATATTGGCCAGGCTGGTCTCAAACTCCTGACCTCATGATCCGCCCACCTCAGCCTCCCAAAGTGCTGGGATTACAGGCATGAGCCACCACGCCCGGCCAACTTGTGTTTTTTTACTTAAGAGTATACCAATCACTTTAGCTGTTCAGGCCAGTGTATATAAATTTACCTTGTTCTTTAAATTAATGCATAACTGAGAAAAAGGATTTGGGGAGGCAGTGTCTAGGATGAAGAACAGGACCTCTTTTGATGTTTTTCCAGATATATAAGTGAAAATTGAAAGTATTTTTAATTACCTTTGGTCATTGGGGTATAGTTCTTTGAATGCCACATCAAGCTCAGATGGGCATTGGGCACCCTAAGATTTATTCAGATTACATTAGAAAGATCCCCAAGGCAGAAGGGTGGAGGATAGATTCATGGAAATGAGACAGATGGTGAGTTCAATTAAGAGACTCTTTATGGAGATAGCTCAATATTTCAGGTGAAACATAATCAATACTCAGAAAGGAGATTATGGGGTCCCCAGATGTTTAGGAATTAGAAGCAACAAGACATGGTGACTGGTTGGATGTGGAGGACACAGTAGAAAACATCTAAAGAGACTTTTAGGTTTTATTGTGGGTAATAGGGAGATGGCACCATTCATGGACACAAGAATAAAGGAAGGTAATAAATTCACTTCTGGGACTTGGTAGAGTTTACGTGGCCCCAGCCATCCATATAGGGGTATAGGGGTGATTGGAATGTTGGTGTGAATTCAGGAGGCATCAACCTGGGAGTCACCACCACGAAGGTCATATTGGAAGCCATGGCAGCTGATGAGATCATCTAGGGATGTGTGTAGACTTGAAAGAGAAAGGGGAGTAAGTATACTATATCCTCATCAAAAGAGAAGAAAAAATGTGACCAGCAAGAGAGACCAAAAACTAGCAAAAGGTAAGAGAAGTACCAAGGTAGAATGCCATAGTGGAATGCAAGAGGAGAGAAAATATCAGGAAGAATAGAGAGCCAAATAGCATCAAATTCTGCAGAGAAACCAAGTCAGGTAATATCTGAAAAGGGTGTAGGAGGTCGTGGGTAAGTTCAGTGACATGGAGGGAGCAGAAGCCAGAGTACAGGCTCAGGGGATGGAGAAGTGAGGGTGGCGTAAGAGGTGGACACAGCAAGGGCACACTATATGTTTGAGAAATTTAATTCAAGATGAAAAAGGAGAGGAGTTAAGCAATGGTTAAGGCCACACAGCGTCATAGGGATATTTTTGAACTCATACCATAGTTTTATATAGAGATGAAAAAAACCCAGAGCTCAGAGAGTCCTCTTCAGCTTTATAAAATCAAACTTGTCAAGTTAATGGACTTATTTAAGTGAGTCAGACCCCATTAGAGCATATGTCACTTGACTGTTATAGGTACACAGCCATGACTCAGAAATGCTGACACAAAGCCATGTGGTACGATATATTACTAAGCAGTGCTTATGCATTGTCACACAGTGATTAGAAAGATTGCATTGTGGTATATGGCTGGCAGAACAGCTCAGAACTATATAAGTGACGTTTCTCTTTGTGGAAATTTTGGGAACTTGTATTTGATTACAAAATGCCTTGAGATTATAAATCCAATCGGCAGATATAGAAAACTTACAGCATAGCTTTCTTCATATCACAGCCTCTGTAAGAAAAATGTATTAATTTAATTTCATATAACTTTTTTTATTGGTTCAAGTGATTAATTCTTCTAAGCAGATGCTAGTGTGATGTAGTGATTAAGAGCACAAGCAATGAACTTCAATAGACTTGTGTTTTGAATACAAGGTCAACCACTTATGAGCTATGAGATCTTGGGTAATGTCTTAGTCTATTTCGTGCTGCTGTAACAGAGTAACCACAGACTGGGTAATTTATAAAGAACATAAATTTATTTTCTCACTGTTCTGGAAACTGGGAAGTCCAAGATCAAGGTGCTGGTATCCAGTGAGGGCCTTCTTGCTGTATCATCCCATGGCAGAAGGTGGAAAGGCAAAAGAGAACCCAGGCACACAGGAAGAGGGCTGAACTTGCTTTTATAACAAACCCACTCTTCTGGGTTAATCTATAGATAAGGGCAGAGTCTTCATGACCTAATCTCTTCTTAAAGTTTCTACCTCTTAACACTGTTGCATTGGGGATTAAGCTTCCAAGACATGAACTTTGTAGGACACTTTCAAAGCATAGCAGGTAAATTCCTAATTTGTAAAATGAGGAAAATAATAGTTCCCACCACAGAGAGTTGTTATGCAGGTGAAAGTGAGGTCATGCATATGCAGTGCTTGGCACAGTATATGACACCTAGTAGAGGCTCAGTGAGCATGAGATGAATTTCAATTCACTGGGGCCAACAGGGAGACCCTGCTAGGAAGGGAACCTCAGGCACAAAGGGCTAAAGGCAATAATAACTGTGGCTGAGCTTGGAGAGGAGAGGATGTGGGTGAAAACTGACAGAAAATGAGATAGGCAGAGCAGTAACAAGGTATATGGATCTTCTGTTGGGGAAAAAAAATCCTATAGCAAAGCTTCAAATAGTATTGTTATTTTATATATGCATATATATATATATATTCTATATCTACACATACGTATACACTACGTGTTACCACCAGAGTCTTTTCTGTGCTTTGCTAAACCTATTATTACAGGGATATTTCCTGAGCCACTGTATCTTTTTTTTTTTTTTTTTTTTTTTTTTTTTGGAGATGGGGTCTCACCCTGTCACCCAGGCTGGAGTGCAGTCCTGCAATCTCAGCTCACTGCAACCTCCTCCTCCTGGGCTCAAGTGATTCTCCTGCCTCAGCCTCCTAAGTAGCTGGATTACAGGCACCCACCACCACGCCTGGCTCATTTTTGTATTTTTAGTAGAGACAGGGTTTCGCCATGTTGGCCGGGCTGGTCTAAAACTCCTGACCTCAGATGATCTGTCCCCCTCGGCCTCCCAAAGTGCTGGGATTACAGGTGTGAGCCACCACACTAACCTGTTTCTGTTTCTCCACTCCAGTGTCCATCTCAGCTGCAACTGTACTTTGTGTCAACCAGTATTCAAGGGAGGACTCTGATTGGTTCAGTTAATCCTTTCAAGCCAAGCCCATGAGTTGTGCTCTGCTTGGAACAGGGGTTTGCCCATCCAATCAGCTGTATCCAGGGCTAGAGGGAAAGTGGAATCCCATGCTTCAGAACCTGCCCTTTCGTATAACAGGAGCTGAGACCATAAAATCTGCCATGGATGAGACCACACTGAGTAAGCAGCATCCTGAGTTATATCTATCTGTTGGAGGGATGGAGGAGAAAAGGCAGGCAGGTGTAAGACATGAGTGGCCAACTGTCCCAGTTTGCCTGGGACTAGGTTTAAATTTTTAATAGTAGTGAAACGTATATGTCATAACATTTATCATTCTAATGGCTTTCAAGCATGCTGGTCTGTGGTGTCATTGTGCAAACATCACCACCATCAATCTCTAGAACTTTTCATCTTTCCAAACTAAAACTTCACACATTATACACTAATTCCCCATTTCCCCTCTCCCCAGCCCCTGGCAACCATCTCCTCTCTGCCTCTATAAATCTGACTACTCTAAGTACCTCCTATAGGTGGAATCATATAGCATTTGTCCTTTTGTGACTGGCTTATTTCATGTAGCATAATGTCCTCGGGGTTCCTCTATGTTGTAGCATGTGTCAGAATTTCTTTCCTTTTGCAAGCTGAACAATATTCCACATTTTGTTTGCTCATTTATTCATCAATGGACCCTTGAGTTAGTTCTGCCTTTTAGGCTGTTGTGGGTGGGACCGGCTCAATTTTAACACTAAAAGTCTTGTGTCCCAAGAAACTTCTCAGTCCTGGGCAAACTGGGACAGTTGGTCATCCCAGACATAGACCCAGCTAGCATCCCCAAAACCAGGACACCAGCACAAGCAGCCAAGGGCATCATCACCAGGGAAACTCCACCTGCACAGGGCATGATTTTGGTGTCCCAGGAAAGGTGACTCTTCCCACACAGCCTCTGAGAACTAAGCAGGCTAAAGAGAGGCAGTTATCAGAGATCCTTAATGGAGCAGCCAATTCTCAGTGACAGAATTCATTATCCAAATGGGACACTGAACATAATACCCTCTCACACACACACATCCTCACAGTCCACGGGATTTGGTTTTGCCTAAGCCTGGCCTTATTCTTAAATACCAAAGTGCATCAATGATCTAACTCCTACAAAGCTGGGAGGGTTTTCCATTCACAATAGACCTTATAAAAATCATGCATTTTTCAGTAAATCAGAGATCTGCTTCTTCTCTCCTGTTTTTTTGTTTTTTTTTGAGACAAGGTCTCACTCTATTGCCCAGGCTGGAGTGCAGTGGCGTGATCACAGCTCACTGCAGCCTCAACTTCCCAGGCTCAAGCAATCCTTCCATCTTAGCCTCCCGAGTTTTTTGTACTACAGGTTTGCACCACACACCCAGCTCATTTTTTTTTTAAATCGAGATGGGGTTTCACCATGTTTCCCAGGCTGGTCTCGAATTCCTGGGCTCAAGTTATTCACCCGCCTCCCCCTCCCAAAGTGCTGGGATTATAGGCATGAACCACCGTGCCCAGTCCTCCTGTTTTTTGGGCACTATTTCTTAAATGCGCTAGCTGCCAAATGTACCACTTTTCTGTATATTTTTTTCACACTGCATTGCTTACAAGAAAACAGAATGCTCAGTTCCTGGCATTAAACACTTTTTTTTTTTTTTTTTGGTATTAGCGTCAGTACAATTGACAAGGCGTCTGTTTTTCATGGTCTGTAACGAGGTTTGTTGTGTGGTAAGAATGAGAACAGTAGGTTTTGGGGAGGTGTAATGTTCTATTTGCATTGCTTTCCCAACTGCTAGTGCTGACAGATTTGAGCATCTTTCAGGTCTGAAATATTTTACATCTTTCATGGCATTGGAGATGGGTAGAGGGAAAAAGTGTCTTTTTTCTAAAATACATGCTTAATCTGTTTAGCATGGGATCAAACCATACTTTCTGTACTTTAAGTCTCACATTCTAAATTTCAACTGCATTATATTGTCTTGCGTTTATGGAGATAGTGTGGGATGCAGGATTTTTTAAAGCGTATTTTTATAGACTCTTTAGTTAATTTTTCTATTTTCATTAAGTAAAAACCTTTATCTCCTAAAAAGAGGTTTCACCAACAAATATTAGGTGAACAGGATAAGCTGTAAGGAAGTTGAAAGAACTCAGTGATAGTGATGTGATATTGATCGTCATAAATAAAGTAAACAGGCAACCGGGCCTGTTTCTCAGGATCAGACAGCTGTAAGTAGCTTCACTTCAAGGGATCAGAATTGTCAGGGGGCATTCCTGATTCCTGCTGAAGTGTGAGTCTGCTTTACCTACAGCACACCCTCCAGCTCAACACATTAACGCAATAACAACACCTACGTGGCTGGGACTGTTAATGATTTAAAAATTTAAATTATGTGTAATGATATTTCACAAATTAATGATTTAAAAATTTAAATTATGTGTAATGACATTTCAGAAGATAAAAGCTCCCCTGGGGCTCAACCATGGCGATTTGTAGTGGAGTCACAGAGCCATCTATACATCCAGTAGCAGAATGTTGGGGAACCGTGCTTTGTCACTTCGTGGGGTACAGTGACATCCCTTCCCACCCCAAACTTATTAATCAGGAGATTCAGGTGGACTTCTGAGGTGGGGGCATATTGCTGGCACTAGCCTGGGTTCTTTTCCCTCTCCTACCATTAAAGCCCTGATGTCCTCCACCGAAAGGGGTGTAGGATCATTGTGGTACATAAACTGATGGTTTGTAAGCTCTCATCTTTGCATTCACTACAAAAAATTATTTAAATTTCACATTTGCTTTACAGTTTTTTCGAGTTTCAAATGTAAAAACGATACATGCACAGGTTTTAAATGTTAAACCGTGCAAAAAAAAAATATACGGTGGAAAGTAAGTCTCCCTCCTCCCTTGACCCTCAGGTTCTTAGTTCTCCTCCCTAGAGGAAGCCACTGTTACCATTTTTATTAATAGATTTCTAGAAATATTCTATGCTAATACAAGCACAGTTATAAATATATAGCCCCTGTTTTTACAGAAGTGGTAGTATGCTACACACATTGTTCTGTACCTTGATTTTTTAAATTAAACTTTTAAAGGTATTTGTTGGTTCATATTGCAAATATAAGAAATACAGACACTTGGCTGGGTGCAGTGGCTCACGCCTGTAATCCCAGCACTTTGGGAGAACGAGGCGGGTGGATCACGAGGTCAGGAGATCAAGACCATCCTGGCTAACACGGTGAAACCCCATCTCTACTAAAAATACAAAAAATTAGCCAGGCGTGGCAGTGGGCGCCTGTAGTCCCAGCTACTCGGGAGGCTGAGGCAGGAGAATGGCGTGAACCTGGGAGGCGGAGCTTGCAGTGAGCCGAGATTGTGCCACTGCACTCCAGCATGGGCGACAGAGCGAAACTCCATCTCAAAAAAAAAAAAAAGAAAGAAAGAAATATAGACACTCCTAGACTTATGACGGGGTTACATCGCAGTAGACCCATCATAAGTTGAGAATATAATAAGTCAGAAATGCATTTAATACGCCTAACCTACTAAACATCATGGCTTAGCCTAGCCTACCTTAAACATGCTTAGAGCAGTTACATTGGCCTACATTTGGGCAAAATCATCTGGCAAGACAAGACCCTGTAGAATATTGGTTGGTTACCCTCATGGTGGCACAGCTGACTGGGAGCTGCGGCTCACTCCCCCTTGCCCAGCATCAAAAGAGAGTATCATACTGCATATCACTAGCCCGAGAAAGGATCAAGATGCAAAATTTGAAGTACGGTTTCTACTAAATAGGTATCACTTTCACAGCATGGTAAAGTTGGAAAAATAGTATCAAGCCTTTGTAACTCAGGGACTCACTGTAATATAGGGAGACCTGGGTACTCTTTATCCAGTTTCCCCCAATGGTAACATCTTGCAAAACTGTTGTGCAATATCACAACCAGGATATTGACATTGATATAATCCATTGACCTTATTCAGATTTCCCCACTTTTACTGGTACTCTTCTATACATGTACTTATCTTTATACAATTTTATCACATGTGTAGGTTTGGGATCCACCACCACAGTCAAAGTTCAGAACAGTTCCACCCCAATAGGGATCTCTTGTGTCTTTTGGTATTGGCTTTTTTTTCTCCCAACACAATTTCCTGGAGATTCATCCAAGTTGTTGCATAATAAATGCACAACTATTAGTCATGCAATAGCTTATTACTTTTTATTGATGAATAGTATTCCATGATATGAATGTACTACAGTTTGTTTAGCCATCAACCTGTTGAAGGACATCTAGGTTGTTTGCGGATTTGGATTATTATGAATAAAGTTTCCAGGAGCATTCATGTACAAGTTTTTGCATGAACATAAGTTCTCATTTCTCTGGAATTAATGCCCAAGAGTACAATTACTAGGTCATATGGTAATTGCATATTTAATTTTATAAGAAATTACCAATCTGTTTTCCAGAGTGATTGTACCATTTTGTGTTCCCATCAGCAATCCAGTTTCTTTGCATCCTCACCAGCATTTAGTGTTGTCACTGTTTCTCCTACAAATAAGGACAGTTTTATTTCTTCTCAAACTGTATGCTTTCTATTTCTTTTTCTTACTTATCACAGTGCTTTTTCTCACTTAATATATTACTTGGGGATCATATCAGATCAGCCACTTAGATCAACCTCATGTTTTTAATGGCTTTGTAGTGTTCCATAGTAAAATCACCAAAATTTATTTTGCTAGTGTCCTATTGATAGGCTTTTAGTTGATTTCAATCTTTTGCTATTAGGAACAATGCTTCAATGGATATCCTTATACATCTCTTTTCACACATGTGCAGGGTGTTACAGAAAAAAATTCTAGAAATAGAATTCCTGCATCAAAGAGTATATTCATTTAACATTTTGACAGTGCTGAATTGCCCTCCAAAGAGTTTGACTCAATTTATAATCCTATCCAATATATTGCCTTCTCAAACTTTAAATATCATTGCTAGCCTGAAAGGTGAAAAAAGAATATATTCTGGTTATACTTGCTAAATTTTGAGATAAGTTTAAACTTTGCTTAAAATGAAACCAAATTTATAGAACTAAAAAGTGGCTTTGTAAAAATAGAAAAGTGCTATATTATCTTTTTATGTACCAAAGTTAGATACTATTACTATTTTTTATTCAACCAAATTCTTCAGGCTGTGTTTTTAAAACAAAATTGGGCTCATTTCACATTTCTTTTAAGTATCTAGGGGATGCTTCAGTTGAGACATTTTAGCAAACAGTCCCCAAATGCTAGTACTGCTCCTGTCTTCAAGGAGCTTGCAGTATAGCAACAGGGTTGAAACAACTTCATTGTATTGCGGTAAGTACTAGGATAACTATCTAGAGCAGATGCTGTATCTACAGTATAGAGAGAAGAGGAATTTAGTTGAAGCTGGAGGTTAGAGAATGCTTTGAGGAGGAGAGAACATCTGAGCTGAGGAGTGAAGGCACTCCAGGCAGAGGGAACTGCATGAATGAACTTGAGTGAGAATGCCAGAAATTCAGCATTTCCAGAGGGGCAGGCAGAGGATTAGGC
Source organism: Homo sapiens (assembly GCF_000001405.40). NCBI lineage: Eukaryota > Metazoa > Chordata > Mammalia > Primates > Hominidae > Homo > Homo sapiens. Next base: position 58,373,686 of record NC_000016.10, read on the forward strand.
CAAAGCTGCAGGCAGGAGCCCAGTTAGAAGCAAAGATTTAGGCTCTCTCCTGCAGGCTGCAGGGACCATTGATGGTTTTAAGGAGAAAATAGTCAGTTTTGCATTTTAATTGCTTACTGTTTGTGTGTTGTGCAGACCTGGATATATAGGCATTCAGAAAAATATGCCTTTTTGGTGTGCCTGAAGTAGTTCATGATAATAAAAACTGAATGTTCTTATACATAAAAGCTTTTTCTAATCATGTCATTGCCATTTGTATTCATTTCCTATTATTGCAATAACAAATTATCACCCACTTAGTGGTTTACAACTATATAAATTTATTATCTTACAGTTCTAGGGGGCAAAAGTCTGAGATGGGTCTCACTGGGCTAAAATCACGGTGTCAGCAGAGCTGCGTGATTCTGGATAATCCATTTCCTTGCTGTTTCCACCTTCCAGAGGCCACCTACATTCCTTGGGTCATGGCCCTTCCTCTATCTTCAAAGCCAGCAATGCTGCATTTCCAAACCCCTGACTTCTGCTCTTGCCTCCCTCTTTCACTTAGAAGAATCAATGTGAGTCCATTGGGCTAACACAAATGACCCGGCATAATCTCTTCAGCTCAAACTCAACTGATTAGCAACTTTAATTCCATCTGTAACCTTAATTATCCTTTGATGGGTAACATAATAGATTCCCAGGTTCCAGGAACTATGACTTGGACATCTTTGGGGAGAACAATTATTCTGCCTGTCACACCATCATTTATTTATTCAACATTTTTAAAAATGTAATGGTGGTAAAAAGATGCATAACATAAAATTTACCATTTTAACCATTTTAAGAGTAGAGTTCAGTGGCATTAAGTACATTCACATTGTTGTACAACTATCAGCAACATCCATCTCTAGGACTTTTTAATCTTCCCAAGCTGAAACTCTATACTCCTTAAAAAATAATTCCTCATTCTCCCCTCCACCTCCCATCCCCTAGCCACCATCATTCCACATTCTATCTCTGAATTTGACTACTCTAGATGACTCATTCAACACCTATTGAATAACTACTATGGGCTAAGCACCCTGTCACAAACTGGAGAATCAAAGATGAAAAAAGACATGGTCCCTGGTCTCAAAAGATTTCATCAAGACTCGGGGGGAATGGCCGGGTGCAGTGGCTCACACTTGTAATCCCAGAACTTTGGGAGGCAAAGGCAGGCAGATCACTTGAGGCCAGGAGTTCAAGACCAGCCTGGCCAACATGATGAAACCCCGTCTCTACCAAAAATACAAAAATTAGCCAGACATGGTGATACACGCTTGTAATCCCAGCTATTCAGGAGGTTGGAAAATCTCTCAACTTGATCTTTTAGCTCATTTTCAGCTGAGTCTATTCTGCTATGTACCCTACCTATTAAGTTGTGGAGGGTTTATTTTATGGTGGTGATAATATTTTTAATATTTTTAATTTCCAAAAAGAGTGGTTTATTTATTAGCGGTTTCTTCTCTCTGATAATATTAATTATAATTATTTTAAAGTCTTTTGATTGCTTTATGAATTCTGTTTTTTGGGTACTCATTTTTCTATTTGTTGAGTTTGATGCTTTTGTGTGTGTGTTGTGTTTCCCAACTGTTGATAATTCTTAGGTATCTATTAATACTTATCCTTGGAAGTTGTAATTGAATATCTGTCTATATCAGTCCATCTATCATTTATCTATTTTGTAGTTCAAAAGTAAATATTGGGTCTCCTAATGACAGACCACTAAATTAGGAAAGGATAATATGTTTGCCTTCTAAGTAAGAGGAGCTCTCAGGGTCATTGTAACTTACCTGAAATACCTCCCTCCTTCTTTGGCCCCAGTTTCAGAAGTCCCATTTCAGAGAGCTCTACTCAAGGCTTTATCCTGGTGGTGGGGGTGGGGAAGGTAATGACAGCTTCTGAGTCAGCATATGTGGGAGAAGATCTTTTTCTTTTATTTTTCTTAACTTTGTATTAAAATGTAGCATATATTGGAAAGTTCCTCAAGTTAACATATTCTTATAACCAGCACCAAGATCAAGAAACAGAACAACTAGGGGCCTTGCATCCCCTTCCAGTCACTGCACCTCCAAGGGTAATCATTGCCTTAACATCTATTACTGTAGATTTATTAAATATTATTTGATTAAAATATTATCTCTTAAAATATTATCAATGGAATCATATTCTTTCATATCTGACTTCTTTCATGTAGCATGTTTGTGAGATTAATCCACCTTGTTCTGTGTGGTTGTGGTTTCTTCATGCTTGTTGATGTATAGCATTTCACTTTATGAACAAACATTTATCTATTCCTTTTCCTGTTGATGTACATTTGGGTAGTTTTCAGCTTGAGGCTATTGTTAGCAGTACTTACTCATATATTTTGATGAACATATGTATGGACTTCTTTTGGAACGGGAGTTGTTGGGTCATAGGGTAGCTACATGTTGGCTTTAGAAGATAGGGCCAACAGTTTTCTACAGTGATTGGGCCATTTTACACTTCTGTGAGGGGGTTCCACTTGATTCACAGCCTTGCCAACGCTTTTCTGTCCTTTTCATTTTAGCCATTCTTGTGGGTGGTATTGCATTTGGGTTTTAATTTAAATTTTCTTCATGACTAATGAAGTTGGAGGCATTTTTAGGAGTTAAATTTTCTATGCTCTTTTTTTCTCAGCTTTTTATTATGAAAATCTTAAAACACAGAAAAGTTGAAAGGCTGGCATAATGAAAATGCATATACTTAGTACCTAGAGTTAAACAATTGTTAGCCTTTTGCTATATTTGCTTCTTGTGCATGTGTGTGTGTGTATATATATACACATATACATACATATATATAATTGTTTTGCTGATCCATTGTAAAGGAAGTTGCAGTCATAATTACACTTGACTCATAATTACACCATTATCTCCTAGAAATAGATATTTTCTACATAACCATAAAACCATGATCATATATAACATAATTAACAATAATTTCCTAAAAATACTATGTAACAGTCTGTGTGCAAGTCTCCTCAGTTGTCCCCAAAGTACCGGTAATCTACTTTTTTGAACCAGAAGCTAATCAAGGCCAAATCCTTGCATTTGATTGTTATAGCACTTTAAACAGATCCCTGATTTTCCCCACCTCCCACCCACGACATTGATTTTTTGGAGAGCCAAATTCTGTTCCAGTTGTCTATATAAAATTTTTTAAAACCCCAAAACCTTAGTGGCTTAAAACAATTATTTTATTATATTTTACAATTTTGTCGATCATAATCAGGCAGGGCCCAGTCAAGTGATTCTTCTTTTTCACATGACATTGACAGGGTCACTTGGTGGTATCCACTTGTCATATGGACTGGTCTGGAGGCTCCAAGATGGCTTCTGCACACTCATGTCCAAGACCTTGGTTGGGATGGCAGGAAGGCTGTGATCAGCTGGGACTGTCCACCAGAGCATGTCCATGTAGCCTCTCTGGCTAGCATGGCCCCAGAATGGTCAGTTTCCTTACATCCTGTCTCCTGGCTCTGAGGACAAGTGTTTTGGAGACCAGAACAGGAGCCACACTACCTTTTATGACCCAGTATCAGGGGTCACACAGCATCACTTCCATCAGGCTCTGTTGTTTGAAGCAGTCACAAAGCCCACCCAGATGCAGAGAATTTGCAGCTACGTTTTTAAAGCTGCAATGATCTGTTCTTCAGTCACAAATAATTTGCCTTTTTCTCACATGCAAAACACACACCTTTTTCCAAGATTCCTCCAGACTCTCATTCCATTAGGACACCAGGCTCAGGCTGTTTGAGATCAGCCCTTCTTTATTGTGGGCTCCCCATGAGGCTGCTGTAGAAGTCTTAGAAGTATTATTGTCTAGCTGACATGGGCTAAGAGGCACGCCCTTTGGATTCTTCAGGAATTTCGGATATAACTAAGAGGACACACAAAAAGCACCATTTTAAGTCTTTCTGAGGCCATTAACAAGGGTCTTACAGTTACGTACTGGATTTCCTGAGACTATTTTCCTAGTATTATTCTTGTAGAATGTTCCCCATTCTGATTTTGTCTGCTTGTTTCCTCTTGGTGTCATTTAACTTTTTTCAAATCCCCTTCCCTCACCTCCATATTTCCTGCAAAATTGGGTCTAGAGGCTTGATTTGATTAAGGTTGAATATTTTGGCAAGAATACTTTGTAGGTGATTTTGAATACATTATACTGCATGATATCTATAGGTATATCATGGCAGGTTGTCCTACTATTAATACGTTAGGTTCCATCACTTGCATATGGTGGTGACCCCCAGGCCTCTCCATTGTAAAAATGTACATTTTCTTCCTTGTGACTTTCATGGAATTTGTGGGGTGATGCCAGGAAAAATACGAAATGTTTCAAAAATTCATGTCATCCTTGTGCAGGGACCATGCTAATCATCTTGGCATCCTTCCAATTTTAGTCTGTGCTATGGAAGCATGTCCTGCCCTGGCTCTCGAGAATTTGTAACTGTAATCGGTTCTTTGCCTGATGCATGTGGCAAGTCAGTATGCTAAGACATTGAGTTGCAGCAGAGAAAGAGGTTTAATCATAGGGCCACCAAATAATAAAGATAGGAGAAAATCTCAAATCTGTCTCCATGAGGAGTTTGGGGCTAGGGATGTTAAGGGTTTTGGAATGGGCCAAAGTGTGGAGATGGTCGATTGGTCAGCGAGTCCAGGGTGATGTCATGGGGCAGGGAGATAAAGAAACTGTATCTGTACATTGATTTGGTTCTTCTGTGGGATCTTTGAAGTGGTTGGCATCAGCTACTCCACTAGAATTAAGGATCTGTTTAAGTCATTCTTAAACAAAACCCTTATGATTCTAACATCAGAAATTTCATCTGTAGAAACAATGGGGATACAAATGGTCAACATCTAGTGCTCCATGAATTCTGGCTACAAGGAAATGAGTCAAATTGCAGCCTGACTAATGCTTAATTATAACTATATTTCTGTCCAGAACTCTTGTTAACCCTGTGAGGACAGCTTCAAATACAGCTCTTCTATCTCTTGTGCCAGCACCTGCTCCTGCTCCAGATGTCTGTTGACTTAGGCTTAAAATATCCCTGAACTTCCCTCACTCCTTGGTGGTCATTTTGCCTACCTTTGGTTAAGCCATGTTCGTCTTTGCTCCAGATTTGCTGTCAATCAGATCTCACCTGCTCTCTATCCTCCAGAAATTCCTGTATCCTTCTGGTCTTCTGGTGGCCCTCTTTATTTTGTTCATGTGTTTTTGTGGGTTTCATGTGTACATAGGAAATACTCACAGAGAGACAGAATGTGTTGTGTAAGGAGACTTGAGGCAGGAAGTAGGGAGGTAGTGTATGTGCTTGTGTTCAGTCAGACATCTCTGGCCAACCTTTGCTTTTGAGAAACTATATCCCAGGGCAGAAATGAGGAAGTGTCACATGTATCAAATCATTACGTTGTATCCCATAAATATATACCATTATTGTCAATTAAAAATTTTTAAAAGGGCCAGGTATGGTGGCTCATGCCTGTAATCCCAGCACTTTGGGAGGCTGAGACAGGTGGATCATTTGAGGTCAGGAGTTCAAGACCAGCCTGGCCAACATGGTGAAACCTGTCTCTACTAAAAATACAAAAAAAAAATTAGCTGGGTGTGGTGACATGCGCCTGTAGTCCCAGCTACTTGGGAGCCTGAGGCAGGAGAATCGCTTGAACCCAGGTGGTGGAAGTTGCAGTGAGCAGAGTGCACCACTGCACTCCAGCCTTGGTGATGGAGTGAGACTTCATCTCAAAAAAAAAATTTTTAATTTAAATTAAATAAAAGATAAATATCAGAGGATGAAGATAGAAACCAGGTTGTTATGGATTATATTATGCTCTCCCTAAATTCATAGTTTGAAGCCCTAATTCCCAATGACTATATTTGGAGATAGCATCCTTAAAAAGGTAATTAAGGTTAAATGACATCATAAGGGTGGAGCCCTAACCCAACGTGACTGGTGTCTTAAAAGAAGAGAAAGAGACTCCATGGATGAGTATGCACAGAGGAAAGCCTATGTGAGGACAGAGCAAGAAGGTGGCCATCTGCAAGCCAACGTGGGAGGCCTCACCAGAAACAAACCCTGTGGACACCTTGATATTGGACTTCCAGCCTCCAGAACTGTGGGAAAACTAATTTCTGTTATTAAGCCACTCAGTCTGTGATACGTTGTTATGACTCCAGCAGACTAATACACATAACATGAAAGACGTGACCCCCAGGAAGTGACTTATCCAGGAATTCAGAATTTATTCTGTAACCAGTGGGAAGCCATTTGGGTCATAAGCAGGGGAGTAACAGGATCAGAACTTGGAAGTAGGAAGATCATTCTCAGAGTTGTCCAAAGGAACTCCAGAGCGAGGAGACAGTAGAGGCAGGGACACCAATTAGAAGGCATTTTAAGCATATGGGTGAGAAATGATGGCGGTTGAACAAAGGCAGTTGGGGCAGATAATATAATAACAAGGAGGTAGAATCAGCAGAATTTGTTGACTGGTTGGATGTGGGGAGGTAAGAGAGTAAGAAATACCAAATTCTTCCCAGGCTCCTGAATTGCAGCTAGTAATTGAAATGAACATTTATTTGTTCATTGCAGGTAGTAACTGCAATGAACATTTATTTGTTTTCTACCCAGCTTCCTTCTTCCTAAAAGTTTCCAGATTGTCACTCAACACAATCTCCCAACCTCTCTTGTCGTACAGCCCATGTGCTTTGGAGAAACTGAACTCTGCCTTTGCTTTAGAGGTGGGCCTGGACTGACTTACACTAATTAGCACATTCCATGGCTGTCACTGTAGTTTTTGGTTCAGGAGTAAAAATGTGATCTAAATCTGCCAATCAGTGAATGCCAGAACTGTTTATTGGAATACTGGGACTGAAGTGCCCTTTCCCACTTGACAAGAACAGGGAGGTGGATAGACCTGACTTAATTGGCAACCATCTTGTGACCCAAGACCCCAGGAAAATGAGCCATAGACTGGAGCTGACCTTAAGCAGACCAAAGCAAGGATAGACCCCCAGTGGTATCCTCGGGCTATTGGATCAACCAACCATGAAGTCCTTGACTCTCCTGTTATAAAGCCTAGAAACCCCCTTCTTCTTTAAGCCAGTTCAAATTGGATTTTTATGTTACTTGCCATATAAAGATACAGGTTAGTTACTGCTTTAGCACAGTAGGCAGCGCATCAGTCTCATAAAGATACAGGTCATTGGGTAGATGGTGGAGCCATTAACCAGGAAATGCAAAGCAAAAAGAAGGACTGGTTTGAAAGGAGAGATGCTTTGTCCTGAACTTGCACAATCCCACATCTTTGCTTGATGTTGATCCTTGGGCCTGGAAAGTCCTACTCATACTCTAAGGCCCTATTCTGATGATCCTTCCTCTAAAACATTGTAATCCCCTCTTATATCCAGCTGAGAATTCACCATGCCTTCTGAACCTCCATACATTTTGGACATGGCTCTATCGTTGCTTTTTTTTTAAGTCTTGCTCTGTTGCCCAAGCTGAAGTGCAGTGGTGTGGCATGTTCACAGCTCATTGCAGCCTCAACCTTCTGGGTTCAAGTAGTCCTCCCACCTCAACCTCCTGAGCAGCTGCTACTACAGGCATGCATCACCACACTCAGATAATTTTTTTTAAAAGTTATTTTTATAGATGGGATCTTGCTATGTTGCCCAGGTTGGTCCCAAACTCCTGGGCTCAAGTGATCCTTCTGCCTCAGCCTCCCAAAGTTCTGGGATTACAGGCATGAGCCACTACACCCGCCTATTGCTGCTTTTATCACCTCATGTTACCATGTTCTCCCCTGGGTGCTGACTGACCTCCCTAACAGTCCAGGACATATCATACTCATCTATATGTACAGGTTTGCAGCCCCAATGCATCTAATAGGCACCTAAACATCTTGATGAGTAAATAAATGCTGTTTCCCCCATTTTCTCCTCAAACTAATGAATCTGCTCACCACACAATTCATTTGGACTGAGAGAAACCCACTATCAGACCAGCAAATAAATTACTTATCAAGTTATCAGAAAAATCTGAAAATATAGGAATGGTAGGAAAGGGTAATTTTGTAGGATTGAAAACACAGAAAAGCAAAACTTGGATGAACAAGTACCTCTATAATAATGATGCAATATGTTTACATATGTTGGCTTTAGTAGCCACAGCCAACAGTTTTCCACAGTGGTTGGACCATTTTACACTTCTGTGAGGAGGTTCCACTTGATTCACAGCCTTGCCAACGCTTTTCTGTCCTTTTCATTTTAGCCATTCTGGTGGGTGGTATTGAATTTGGGTTTTAATTTACATTGTCTTCATGACTACTGAAGTGGGAAACATTTTTATGAGTTGATTTTCTCTGATCTTTTTTTCTCAGCTTTTTATTATGAAAATCTTCACCCACAGAAAAGTTGAAAGGCTGGCATAGTGAACATGTGTATACTTAGTACCTAGATTCAAACAGTTGTTAGCTTTTTGCTATATTTGCTTCGTGTATGTGTGTGTGTGTATAATTGTTTTGCTGATCCATTGTAAAGTAAGTTGCAATCATAATGACACTTGACCTATACACCAGTATCTCCTACAAATAGACATTTTTCTACGTGACCGTAAAACCATGATCATATCTAACACAATTGATATGGTTTGGCTCTATGTCCCCACCCAAATCTCATCTTGAATTGTAATCCCTATGGGTCAAGGAAGGGAGGTGATTGGATCATGGGGGCAGTTTTCCCCCATGCTGCTCTCATGATAGTGAGTGAGTTCTCACAAGATTTGATGGTGTGAAAAGTGACAGTTTTTTCCTTCTCTCTTCTCCCTCTTGCTGCCTTGTGAAGAAGGTGGCTGCTTCCCCCTCTGTCATGATTGTAAGTTTCCTGAGGCCTCCCCAGCCACGCAGAACTGTGAGTCAATTAAACCTCTTTACTTCATAAATTATCCAGTCTCAGGGAAGTTATTTATAGCAGTGCAAAAACAGGCTAATACATAATTCACAGTAATTTCCTAAAAATACTATGTAATGGTCTGTGTGCAAGTCTCCTCAGTTGTCCCCAAAGTACCTGTAATCTACTTTTTTGAACCAGAAGCCAATCAAGGCCAAATCCTTGCATTTGATTGTTACAGCACTTTAAACAGACACCCCCCCCCCCCCCGCCATTTTCCCCATCCCCCACCCATGACATTGACTGTTTGGAGAGCCAAATTCTGTTCTAGAAGTCTATATAAAGATTTAAGAAAAAAAACACCCCAAAACTTTATTGGCCTAAAACGATTATTTTATTATATTTTACAATTTTGTCGATCGTGAATTCAGGCAGAGCCCAGTTAAGCAATTCTTCTTTTTCACATGACATTGACAGGGTCACTTGGTGGTATCTACTTGTCATTTGGACTGGTCTGGAGGCTCCAAGATGGCTTCTGTACACTCATGTCTGAGACCTTGGTTGGGATGGCAGGAAGGCTGTGATTAGCTGGGACTGCCCACCAGAGCATGTCTATGTAGCCTCCCTGGCTAGCATGGCCTCAGAGTGGTCAGTTTCCTTACATCCTGACTCCTGGCTCTGAGGAGGAGTGTTTTGGGGAACAGGACAGGAGCTGCATTACCTTTATGACCCAGTATCAGGAGTCACACAGCGTCACTTCCATCAGGCTCTGTTGTCGCTCCCATTATGCTCTGTGACAAAGCCCACCCAGATTCAGAGAATTTGCAGCTATGTTTTTGATTTTTGGGTTTTTTTTGTGGTTTTTCTGTCACCCAGGCTGGAACACAGTGGCACAATCACAGCTCACTGCAGCCTCAACATTCTGGGGTCAGGCGATCCTCCCACCTCAGCCTCCCAAGTAGCTGGGACTACAGGCACACACACCACCATACCTGGCTAATTTTTGGATGTTTTGTAGAGACAGGATCTCACCATGTTGCCCAGGCTGGTCTCGAACTCCAGGGCTCAAGCGATCCTCCCACCTCTGCCTCACAAAGTGCTAGGATTATTAGGCATGAGCCACCATATCCGGCCTGTTTTTAAAACTGCCATGGTCTGCCCTCTGGCCACAGATAATTTGCCTTTCTCTCACATGCAAAACGTGCACCCCTTTCCAAGACTCTGCCGAGGTCTTATCCCATTGTGACATCAGACCGGGCTCTTTGAGATCTGCCCTTCTTGGGCTCCCTGTGAAGCTGCTGTACAACTACACCCTCAGGAGTCCTCGAAGCATTGCTGTCTAGCTGAGAGGTGCTAGGAGTCATGCCCTTTAGATTCTTAGCCCTTTGTGTAACTAAGAGAGCACCATCCTAAATCTTTCTGAGGTCATTAACAAGGGTTGTAACAGTTATGGATTCCCTGAGATAATATTTTACTAGCATTGCCCTTGTAAAATACTCTACATTCTGATTTTGTCTGCTTGTTTCCTCTTGATGACATTGAACTTCTTCTCAAATCCCCCTCCCTTACCTTCATATTCCATGTAAAATTAGGTTTTGATGCTTAATTGGATTCAGGTTAAATATTTAGGTACAAATACTTCATAGGTGATTCAGTGTACATACTGCATGATATCTATAGGTACATCATGTCAGGTTGTCCTGTTATTAACAGGTTAGGTTTCTTTGCTTGCATAGAGTGGTGACCCCAGATCTCTCCACTGTAAAAATGTACATTTTCACCTTTGGGATCTTTGTGATTTGCGTGGGATTTGTGGGGTGGTGCTATGAAAAATGCAAAATGCCTCACAGATTCATGTCATTCTAGTACAGGGGCTGTGCTAATCATCGCAGTATCCTTCCCACTTTAGTTTGTACTGTGGAAGCAAGTCCTGACCTGGCTCTTGTGAATACAGCTCTTTCATATCTTGTGCCAGCACCTGCTCCTGCTGCAGGTATCTGTTGACTAAGCTGGGAATATCCCTAACCTGCTCTCACTTCCTTGGTAGTCATTTGCCTGCCTTTGGTTAAGCTGTGATCGTCTTTGCCCCAGGTTTGCTGTCAATCGGATCCGTCTGCTTTCTATCCTCCAGCAATTCCTGTATCCTTCTGGTCTTCTGGTGGCCCTCTTTATTGTGTTCCTGTTTTTGTGGGTTTCATATGTACATACTGAGAGACAGAATGTATTGTGTAAGGAGATTTGAGGCAGGAAGTAGGGAGGTAGTGTGTGTGCTTGTGTTCAGTCAGACCCCTCTAGCCAACCTTTGCTCTTGGGAAACTATGTCTCAAGGCAACGATGAAGAAATATCACATGTATCAAGTTATCACATTGCACTATACATATATATGTATATGTATGTATATATATCATTATTATTTGCCAATTAAAATTTCAAAAATAAACTTTAAAAAAGTTTCAGAACATGAAGATAGAGACCAGATGGTTATGGACTGTGTTTTGTGTCCCCTCAATACTTATAGTTTGAAGCCCTAACCTTTAATGTGACTAAATTTGGATACGGAGTCCTTTAAAATGGTAATTAAGGTTAAATGAGATCCTAAGGGTAGAGCTCCAATCCAATATGACTAGTGTTTTAGAAGAAGAGAAGACTCCAAGGATGCATGCACACAGAGGAACAGCCATGTGAGCATGCAGCGAGACGACAGCCATCTGCATGCAAGGAGAGAGGCCTCAGAGAAACTAGCCCTGCCTGATGAAGTTGAATTAACAGGTACCTCTCTTATAATGATGCAATCGCTACTTCTTTGCAAGTTAAGAGGGACACACACACACACACACACACACACACACGCACATACACACACATGCAATATCTCTCAATATATAAGATGGGTTAACAATTCCTGTTAGTGCTGCTGAAGACTGTGGGAAGAATCTAAAATTGGTGCTACCCACACACAAGGTCGCATCATGCCCATCAATTTATTTTGATCTCATGGAAGGCGTTTTGGAGCAGTGCTCAAGAAATAGCTCAACTAAAAGGACATTTAAATTATGTAAAAATGAACTCCAATGATTTAGATCTATTAATCTTACATAGTAAGATTTCAAACGTGGTACTGTAATTTCAAAACTCACAAAAAACTGTAATAATTTGATCTCATAGGAGATAAATTCTACCTGATTTTTCGCAGGAAAAAGTTGGAGAACAATACTTTATCACCTTCAAGTATATTTGGTAACTGGAACTGAAGGGGAGACAAGTGTAGCCAAGCCTAGACCAAGGATGCCCATCAATAATGACAGCTATTTAACAAATGTTCCTTGAGTGCTTGCTATGTGCCAGGTATTCTCTGAGGTGCTGAGGATGCAGCACTAAACAAACATATGAATAAATGATGATAAGAAGGACATTGATTGAGCTCTTATTGTGGGCTAGGCCCTGAGCTCAGTGCTGTGTATACAGTTGACCCTTGAATAACACTGGTTGATTTGAACTGCATGAGTCCCCACTTATACGTGAAGCTTTTTTCAATAAAAGTTATACCATGGGCCAGGCATGGTGGCTCACGCCTGTAATCCCAGCACTTTGGGAGGCCAAGGCGGGCAGATCATGAGGTCAGGAGTTCGAGACCAGCCTTACCAATATGGTAAAACCCCATCTCTACTAAAAATACAAAGGTTAGGCCGGACACGGTGGCTCATGCCTGTAATCCCAGCACTTTGGGAGGCCGAGGTGGGCAGATCACGAGGTCAGGAGATCGAGACTACGGTGAAACCCTGTCTGTGCTAAAAATACAAAAAATTAGCCAGCTGTGGTGGCAGGCGCCTGTAGTCCCAGCTACTCCGGAGGCTGAGGCAGGAGAATGGTGTGAACCGGGGAGGTGGAGCTTGCAGTGAGCCGAGATTGTGCCACTGCACCCCAGCCTCGGCAACAGAGCGAGACTCCATTTCAAAAAAAAAAAAATTGTACCGTGTGTGTCTGACTCTCCTGCCTCCCCTTGCAGGTCCTCCACTTCTTCCACCTTGGCTACCCCTGAGATAGCAAGACCAATCCTTCCTCTTCTTCCTCCTTCTCAGTCTACACAACAAGAAGACGACAAGGATGAAGGCCTTTATCATGACTCACTTCCATTCAATGAATAGTAAATGTATTTTCTCTTCCTTATGGTTTTCTTAACATTTTCTTTTATTTGGCTTACTTTATTGTAAGAATACGGTATATAATACATATAGCATGCAAAAAATCTGTTAATCAACTGTTTAATAAGGCTTCTGTATATAATACATATAACATGCAAAATATCTGTTAATCAACTGTTATCAATAAGCCTTCTGGTCAACAGCAGGCTAGTAGTAGCTAAGTTTTTGGGAAGTCAAAAGCTATATGTAAGCCAGGTGCAGTGACTCACACCTATAATCCCAGCACTTTGGGAGGCTGAGGTAGGAGGATTGCTTGAGGCCAGGCGTTCAAGACCAGCCTGGGCAACATAGCAAGATCCCACCTCTATAAAAATTTTAAAAATAATTTTTTAAATTTAAAATGTTATATGTAGATTTTTAACTGTGTAGGGGTCAGTGCCCTGACCTTCTCATTGTTCAAGGGCCAACTGTGTATTAGCTTATTTGTCCCACCTGCACCACAACTCTGTGAGCTACTATCATTATCTCCATTTTACAGATACAGAAGCTTCTGAGAGGTAACTGACCCAAAGTTACAAAGCCAATTAAAGTGGTAAAAATTGGACCCTACTCAGGCCTGTTGGCTTCCTGAAGTAACACAGCAATTGAGTAGAAACGGCTGCTGGAAATGCTTCATAGGTAGGGAACTAAGCCATTTAAAATTTTATTTGCTTAAGCATTCCTTTTTTATAGTTGATATAAAGGTAAAATTCAGTACAGTTCTACCAAAACTCAAAATCTGCATTACTGGAGCCCAGTCAATGAACTTTCACCATGATATTAATGACTTAAGCTCGTGCATGGATCTACAGAATTATACTGTGATTAACATGCACCTTGGCAAACAATTTTTTTTTTTTTTGAGACAGAGTCTCCCTCTATGGCCCAGGCTGGAGTGCAGTGACGTGACCTCAGCTCACTGCAACCTCCGCCTGCCGGGTTCAAGCAATTCTCCTGCCTCAGCCTCCCAAGTAGCTGGGACTACAGGTGCGCACCACCATGCTCAGCTAATTTTTTGTATTTTTAGTAGAGAGGGGTTTCACCAGGCTGGCCAGGCTGATCTCAAACTCCTGACCTTGTGATCTACCTGCCTCAGCCTCCCAAAGTGCTGGAATTACAGACGTGAGCCACCGCGCCCGGCAAATTATTTTTTAGCCACTTTAACTTAGTATTTTCAGTGTTTTACTGCTACATTTTGTAACCACTCTAATATTTACATATCATCTGTACTATTATTTACTTAAAACTTTTACTTAATGTTTTAAAGGAAATTTAATATCACTGCTCTAAATAAAGAGACACTAAATCACTCAATAAATATTTACAAAGTGCCTAATACATACTAGGCAGCGGGGATATAGCAGTGAAAAAGAGACTAAAAAATATCCCCACCCTCATGGAGCTAATGTTTTAGTAGGGGTGACAGACAATAAACAAGATAAAAGGACGGGCAAGGTGGCTCACACCTGTAATGCCAGCACTTTGGGAGGCCGAGGTGGGCAGATCACTTGAGGTCAGGAGTTCGAGACCAGCCTGGCCAACATGGTGAAACCCCGTCTCTACTAAAAATACAAGTTAGCGGGGCTTGGTGGCTGATGCCTGTAATCCCAGCTACTCGGGAAGCTGAGGCAGGAGAATCACTTGAACCCTGGAGGTGGAGGTTGCAGTGAGCAGAGATTGTGCCATTGCACTCCAGCCTGGGCAACAAGAGAGAAACTCCTTCTCAAAAGAAAAATAATAAAGTAAAATAAACAAGATAAGTAAAATATATAGTTAGAGACTGATCAGTACTGAAGGGAAAACGGGGTGTCTTAGTCCATTCTGTGCTGCTGTAACAGAATAGCTGAGACTGGGTAATTTCTAAAGAACAGAAATTTATTCTCTTATAATTCTGGAGGCTGGGAAGTCCAAGATCAAGGCACCAGCGTCTGATGAGGGCCTTCTTGCTGTCCTCACATGGTGGAAGTCAGAAGGGCCAATGGGACAAATTCTGTGTCCTCACATGGCATGTGTAGAGAGAGAACCCACTCCTCCAATCCCTTTCTATAATGGCATTAATCCATTCTTGAGGGTAGAGCCCTCATGATCTAAACACCTCCCATTAGGACTCACATCCCAACATTATTGTATTGGGGATTAAGTTTCCAATGCATGAATTTTGGGGGATACAGTCAAACCATAGCAGGGGATATCAAGTGTGTGAGTCATTAAAATTGTTGTTAAATAGTTAAAATTTTAGATAGGGCGGCCAGGGAAGACCTCATCGAGACAGTGACTTTTAAGTAAAGACCTGAAAGGGACAAGCCATGTGGAAATCCAAGAGAAACACAATTCAGGTAGTGGAACAAACAAGGCAAAGCACTGAGGACCGAGTGTGTCTGGGATGCTTAAGGAACAATAGGGAGGTCATGGGCAGAAGCAAGAAGACTAGAGAGCTAATGCAAAAATCCAAGCAAGAGATGATGGTGGCTTAAACCAGAATGATGAGAAATGGTCAGATTCTAGAAATATGAATGTTAAGTCAACATTTGCTGATGGGCCATTTAGCTGATGGGCCATTACAAAGTGTAAGGGTTAGGGGAGGAGATCAAGGAAAACCCCCAAATTTTGACCTGACCAAGCAACTGGAAGGATGGCGCCCAATACATTTCTTTTTTCTTTCTTTTTCTTTCAATGAACCATGTGTACAGTTTTTCATATTTCTTCTTTTTCTCCCCACCCCCAGATTTGCATTTCTGTCACTTGCACCACAACCTCCCCACTCAATGAAAGAAATTTAGAAAGCACTGGTATTCAAAAGAACAGACGTAAAACTGCTTGAGGTTTTGCTCATCTAAAGCCTGTGTGTTCTTTGGAGGCTATGACTTTTGAGGGCAAGTCATAAAAGCTAAAGAGGCCCCTGCCCTGTTCACCAAAACACTTGTTCTAAGTTCTAAAACACTGTAGTTCTATGATTCTGAAATCTTGAAAGGATTACAATGAAAAAAATACTCTGTTTTCAAGAATCCAGCAGACACTTTTCAGAATACTAAATTTTGTATATTGTAAATATACCAAATATACTGTGAATATTATCAGTATAATGCAATTCTGTTCAGCATAATACTGGTACATTGATTGGTTGGCTGGGTGCCAAGGAACACAGCTTTCTCAGGGAACAGAAATACTCCTGGTTCTTAGGATTTAAGCTATTAACACATATCTATGCTTGAAAACCACATGCCACTTTTGTTAAATGAATTGATGCAGTTCAGCATCATAAGCTCAAACATTCACTAATTTCACCTTTTTCTGATTTATTCACTTGTTTATTAGTTCAAGGAGAGGACAGTTTAAATAGAACAATATATACACAATGATAGTTTCATGATGAGCCAAGACATTAAGTAAGACAAACAAGGCAATCTGATTTTATGTTAAACATTGGCCTGTTACTGTATTATTAAAATAATAGTGGTATTTGAGTTTGGAGCCAGTATTGTGGTCTCTGTACAAAAATAATGCCTTTCTTTGGCATCAATAAATCAGTATGCATCTATCTTAATTATATCAGCATAAAAAATAGCTTACTCTCCTTGGCAGTAAATAACATTGCCTTCAATTAGCCAAATTATATTTCTGTCTCAAACTACATCCAGTACCATATATTCCATGTCATCAGAGAAATTCTAAATTATCACTGCAGATTGTGTTTATTTTTACATTGGACTGTATCACAAACTGAACATTTAAAATATGAAAAAGGAAAAAACCTTCATATAACTGCCTCTCAGTGTGCCTCCTCTCTAAAGCTTCTAGGCTGCTTTCTCCACTGGGCTGCAGACCTTCCTGTCTAGTAGCTCTTGGACACCATGTGTCCCAAACTGAACTCATCCCTTCCCTCCAGCTGCCCCTATTCCTGTGTTCTGTGTATCTATTCATGACATGTCCATCCACCTGGTCAGCCACGTTCAAAACTTGAATCTTTTGACTACTCACTATACTTCACTTCCTATATCCAATTGGTTGCCAAATACTGCCCACTGAACAGCTTCCAAGCATCTAATCTCTCTCTTCTTTATCTACTGCTGGAATTCTCTTCCTGAAGCCCAGATTTATGTTATTATTTGCCTTACATTTTCCTCCCATTTTCTATGGAATGGCCTAACTCCTTAGAATGGTACCAAGATTTTCCACAGTTTGGCCATTCCTTTCCACCCCACTGCACCTTGTTTTCATTGTCCTCAGAATTTCATTTATAAAGGTGACTGGGTGATGACAATCAATGAGTTAGTGGCCAATGCCTTTGAAAATTTTATTATAGTTCTCAAGAGAAGGGGCTGTGCCTACGGCCACACGAGAAAGTATTAGGGTCAATGAGGAGGTAGAGAGAGCGAGGAGAAAGCCCAGAGCCTTTATTGCCGTGGGAAGGAATGGGCGAAGCAGGGAAGGGAAGTCTGAACAAGCTTAGGATTGAATAATTTGAATAATGTTGGCAAGCTCTGGGATATAGAGGTGAATTTTAGTTGTCTGGTACTTGGCCATGGGGTGGTTTATTACAGTGACTTGGGGCAGGGAAAATATTGGTGTGTGAGATGGATAAAGATGGTGTGGGGATATAGGCTTGGGTTGGTTGGTTTGTAAATGAAAGGGGTGTTCACAAGCAAGTTGTTTGCTATCTCTAGGAATTAGCTAACTCTGAAAGGGGCAATTCCTCCCCAGGTCCCCAAGGCCCCAAGATGTCAAAGCATCATAAAATACAGAAAACAGAAACTAAAATCCATGGTTAATACACACCTCCCTTCACACACACCCTTTACTCCCGGCTCCAGTAGCCCCAGAAATGCTCTAGACGAAGTAAGTTCTGTAGTGCATCTCTCAACAATATGCCGCCACCCATAGCCCTGGCTGAGGAGAGCCACCAAACCTGGTACTATGCGACCATGGTCCTTCCCCTGGTCACTGGATAGTGATCGCACCCAACACAGGCACCCCCATCTACAGGGTGGCTGGAGATCTATGACCATTGTGGCGTACCTGGACCAATCAATAAACTGGACCAATTGGATTTCCATTTTTAGGGATTTAAATTCAGAGCCACAAAAGGAGATTGTCAGTTGATGATGAGCTAAGACACCCTGAAGTATACTCACAACCTTAGCAAGCCATGTGCAGTCTAGTGCTCCACCCCTCTACCCACCCCGTCCAACCCCCACCAAAATACTAACAAAATACAACACACTAGTTCATCATCTAGACCATAATAACTCGCTGGGGATAGTGCTGGAAGTTTTTGTTTGTTTAACATTTCTTTCAAATACTAAGATTAACGGAGTTGCATAGTGAAAAAAACTGTAGGAAAGGGTCGGACTTAGGCCTGGAGTGAAGGGCACAAGATGCTTTTATTTTAAACCCCTAAAAGTGTTGCAAAGTGTTTTTAATTTCATATAAATAGTTAAGGATCACATGAACACAATCCAGTACAAATGGGTCCAGGAGCTTCAACGAGCGTTCCAGCTTCTTCGTAACGTTCCCACACCGTGCAGCAAGCGGAGGGAAGAGAACTTCCGGCGCCCCCACCTACCGCTCCCCAGCCGTGTCCCGCTGCTCTAAATCTGCAGACTTGATCGATTGCTTCTGCCTGGGCGGTACCGCCCGAATTGACTGCTCCTGTCTGATGCGTCCCCGGGCGCGGGAAACGAGTTTCAATCCACTTTCCTGACCCCAACCATCCTGCCCAGTCTCCGCTTCCCCGTCTTGTACACCCCTAACTCCTGAGGCTCCTCCGAATCACGCGAGTGGAAGCGGAGAAGCTCAAGTGGCCGCCATGTCAGAGGCTTATTTCCGAGTGGAGTCGGGTGCGCTGGGGCCTGAGGAGAACTTTCTTTCTTTGGACGACATCCTGATGTCCCACGAGAAGCTGCCGGTGCGCACGGAGACCGCCATGCCTCGCCTTGGCGCTTTCTTCCTGGAGCGGAGCGCAGGCGCCGAGACTGACAACGCGGTCCCACAGGTGAGCCTTTGGGTGCGGGGTCCTGCCCGGAAAGACTGCAGCTCCCGGCGGGCCCCTCGGCCCTGGGACGCCGCATCGGGGCGCGCTGCCCTTTGGGATTTGTAGTTTTCGAGGAGCCAGGGCCGAAGGCGCTAACGACTTCTCGGAAACTCCGCGGGGGTCCCTTCGCGCTCGGGGTGGTCTCCAGACTTCTTGTTCGCCATCTGTGGTGAAACTACATTTATCCTAGGTCGCCAGGCAGCCTCCAACATTGATTTCTTTTTTGAAACTGTCCAAATTAGTGTCTTCCCCCTACCCCATGCAACGTGTGTTGAATGCTTAAAGATTGGCTCCAGCTGAATACTTAAGAATTAGAGTTCTGATCATGTTTGCCTTAAAACAGCTTTGGGTTCTGTAAGAGCATGTGATAAGTAGGAACCCCAAGTTGCTAAATTCATTCCTCCATAATGATGACAGGATCAGTAAGCCCTACTGAGGCTTACTTAGTGGCAGCATGGTTGGGTGTGGGGAGTAAGCTTTTCCCTTTAATCCTTCAGCAACCAGAAAGGCTGGGTCACTTGGCCAGGGCTTCAGTTAGTGGTGAGCTGGGATTCGGAACCCAAGGCCATATGGCTTCAAATATAAAATTGTCCCAGGAACATGGCTTGTAATGATTAATTTGGATATCCTGTTTCACCTAAGTTTTGTATAGAACGATGTTTATTGTTTGGTCTGTTTGTTTCAAGTTAATTTTTATCAAAGTAATACATAACCAACGTTTTAAAAGTCAAATAGGCCGGATGCGGTGGCTCACGCCTGTAATCCCAGCACTTTGGGAGGCTGAGGCGGGCGGATCACGAGGTCAAGAGATCCAGACCATCCTGGCCAACATGGTGAAACCCCATCTCTACTAGAAAGCTGGGTGTGGTGGCCGGCGCCTGTAATCTCAGCTACTCTGGAGGCTGAGGCAGGAGAATTTCTTGAACCCAGGAGGCAGAGGTTGCAGTGAGCCGAGACTGTGCCACTGCACTCCAGCCTGGCGACAGAGTGAGACTCCATCTCAAAAAAAAAAAAAAAAAAAGTCAAATAGTACCAAAAGATTTATAAGAAAAAAAATAGCAGGTCCTGCCTTCCTTTTCCCACTTCCCCCTCCAAGTCCACAGGGCTCATGTACCTTTTTTAGTGGTGTCTTCAAGATTCATCTTCATATTTCTAAATAATATTCTTAAACTTACCTTGTTGGGTTGTTTTTTTTAATGTAGACATTATCTGTTGACTTCATCCTAGCAGATGAGGATTTCGTTCCCATACACACTGGTAAACATGGCGCTATGCTGCCCATACTTAATTCATATTTCCTTAGTTTTTAGTTAATGCCCTTTTTCTATTCTAGGATTCCACCTAGGATACCACACTGCATTTAGTAGACATGTTTCCTTAGCCTTCTCTTGGTTGTGACAATTAATCAGACCTCCTTGTTCTAATGACCTCGACGGTTTTGTGGAGTGGTGGTCAGGTATTTTGTAAAATGTTCCTCAGTTGGAAATCTTTGGTTTGGGGGTAGTTTTGTTTTTGGTTTTGTTTTTTTGTTTGTTTTTTTGACACGGAGTTACCCTGTCATCTAGGCCAGAGTGCAGTGGCATAATCTCAGCTCACTGCAGCCTCCTCCACCTCCTGGGTTCAAGCAATTCTGCCTCAGCCTCCCAAGTAGCTGAGATTACAGGCGCCCACCACCACACCCAGCCAATTTTTGTATTTTTAGTAGAGATGAGGTTTCACCAGGTTGGCCAGGCTGGTCTGGAACTCCTGACTTCAAGTGATCCACCCAACTCAGCCTCCCAAAGTACTGGGATTACAGGCGTAAGCCACCTCGCCCAGCCTTCTTTGTTTTTGTTTTTTATTCTTTTTTTCTCAGCATTAGACTTGATTATCAGCTTTAGGGAGGAAGACCACAGAGGTAAAGTGCCATTTTCATCACATATTAAGGGTGCCTACTATCAACAGGACTTTGTACTGTTCATTTGAACCTTGGCAGAGGTAATGTTCATTAGGTTTCTCCACCTTTTCATACTGTACTCTTTGGATGGAAGTCATTATCACTGTCACACTGAAGGAGTAGGGAGTTATGTTCCACTTCTTTGAGTGCAGAGTGTCTACATTAAATCTTTAGAATCCTTCTGCATGGGAGATTTGTGTAGGAAGGTTTGTATGACATTTAATTTCATTTATAGGATTATTCAGACTTGATTTCTTCTTGTGTTAGTTTTGGTATATTTGGTTTTTAACTAAAACTTTGACCATTTTATCTAATTTTTTTTTTTTTTTTTTGAGACAGGGTTTTGCTCTGTTGCCCAGGCTGGAGTGCAGTGGTGTGATATGGCTCACTGCAGCCTTGACCTCCCAGGCTCCAGAGATCCTCCCACCTCAGCCACCTATGTGGCTGGTATTGCAGGTACATGCCACCATGTCCAGCTAATTTTTGTATTTTTTTTTTGTCTAAATTTTCTTTTTTTTTTTTTTCTATTTGTACATTTGAAATTCTTCTGTAATATTTGTATATATATATATATATTTTTTTTTTAATTGATCATTCTTGGGTGTTTCTCGCAAAGGGGGATTTGGCAGGGTCACAGGACAATAGTGGAGGGAAGGTCAAGCAGATAAACAAGTGAACAAAGGTCTCTGGTTTTCCTAGGCAGAGGACCCTGCGGCCTTCCGCAGTGTTTGTGTCCCTGGGTACTTGAGATTAGGGAGTGGTGATGACTCTTAACGAGCATGCTGCCTTCAAGCATCTGTTTAACAAAGCACATCTTGCACCACCCTTAATCCATTCAACCCCTGAGTGGACACAGCATATGTTTCAGAGAGCACAGGGTTGGGGGTAAGGTCACAGATCAACAGGATCCCAAGGCAGAAGAATTTTTCTTAGTACAGAACAAAATGAAAAGTCTCCCACGTCTACTTGTTTCTACACAGACACAGCAACCATCCGATTTCTCAATCTTTTCCCCACCTTTCCCCCCTTTCTATTCCACAAAGCCGCCATTGTCATCCTGGCCCGTTCTCAATGAGCTGTTGAGTACACCTCCCAGACGGGGTGGTGGCCGGGCAGAGGGGCTCCTCACTTCCCAGTAGGGGCGGCCGGGCAGAGGTGCCCCTCACCTCCCGGACGGGGCGGCTGGCTGGGCGGGGGGCTGGCCCCCCCACCTCCCTCCCGGACAGGGCGGCTGGCTGGGCAGAGGGGCTCCTCACTTTCCAGTAGGGGCGGCCGGGCAGAGGCGCCCCTCACCTCCCGGACGGGGCGGCTGGCCGGGCGGGGGGCTGACTCCCCCACCTCCCTCCCGGACGGGGCGGCTGGCTGGGTGGGGGGCTGACCCCCCCACCTCCCTCTTGGACGGGGCGGCTGGCCGGGCAGAGGGGCTCCTCACTTACCAGTAGGGGCGGCCGGGCAGAGGCGCCCCTCACCTCCCAGACGGGGCGGCTGGCCGGGTGGGGGGCTGACTCCCCCACCTCCCTCCCGGACGGGGCGGCTGGCCGGGCAGAGGGGCTCCTCACTTACCAGTAGGGGCGGCCGGGCAGAGGCGCCCCTCACCTCCCGGATGGGGCGGCTGGCCGGGCAGGGGGCTGACCCCCCCACCTCCCTCCCGGACGGGGCGGCTGGCTGGGCAGAGGGGCTCCTCACTTCCCAGTAGGGGCGGCCGGGCAGAGGCGCCCCTCACCTCCCGGACGGGGAGGCTGGCCGGGCGGGGGCTGACCCCCCCACCTCCCTCCCGGACGGGGCGGCTGGTCGGGCGGGGGCTGATCCCCCCCACCTCCCTCCCGGACGGGGCGGCTGGCCGGGCGGGGGGCTGATCCCCCCACCTCCCTTCCCGGACGGGGCGGCTGGCCGGGCGGTGGGCTGACCCCCCGACCTCCCTCCCGGACGGGGCGGCTGGCCGGGCGGGGGGCTGACCTCCCCACCTCCCTCCCGGACGGGGCGGCTGGCCGGGCGGGGGGCTGACCCCCCCACCTCCTTCCCGGACAGGGCGGCTGGCCGGGCAGAGGGGCTCCTCACTTCCCAGTAGGGGCGGCCGGGCAGAGGCGCCCCTCACCTCCCGGACGGGGCGGCTGGCCGGGCGGGGGGCTGACCCCCCCACCTCCTTCCCGGACGGGGCGGCTGGCCGGGCAGAGGTGCTCCTCACATCCCAGTAGGGGTGGCCGGGCAGAGGCGCCCCTCACCTCCAGGAGAGGGCGGCTGGCTGGGCGGGGGGCTGACCCCCCCACCTCCCTTCCGGACAGGGCGGCTGGCCGGGCGGGGGGCTGACCCCCACCTCCCTCCTGGATGGGGTGGCTGCCGGGCGGAGACGCTCCTCACTTCCCAGACGGTGTAGCTGCCGGGCGGAGGGGCTCCTCACTTCTCAGACGGGGTGGTTGCCAGGCAGAGGGTCTCCTCACTTCTCAGACGGGGCGGCCGGGCAGAGATGCTCCTCACATCCCAGACGGGGCAGCAGGGCAGAGGCACTCCCCACATCTCAGACGATGGGCGGCCGGGCAGAGACGCTCCTCACTTCCTAGATGGGATGGCGGCCGGGCAGAGACGCTCCTCACTTTCCAGACTGGGCAGCCAGGCAGAGAGGCTCCTCACTTCCCAGACGGGGTGGCAGCCGGGCAGAGGCTGCAATCTCGGCACTTTGGGGGGCCAAGGCAGGCAGCTGGGAGGTGGAGGTTGTATCGAGCCGAGATCACGCCACTGCACTCCAGCCTGGGCACCATTGAGCACTGAGTGAACGTGACTCCGTCTGCCATCCCGGCACCTCGGGAGGCTGAGGCTGGCGGATCACTCGCGGTTAGGAGCTGGAGACCAGCCCGGCCAACACAGCGAAACCCCGTCTCCACCAAAAAAATACGAAAACCAGTCAGGCGTGGCGGCGCGCGCCTGCAATCACAGGCACTCGGCAGGCTGAGGCAGGAGAATCAGGCAGGGAGGTTGCAGTGAGCCGAGATGGCAGCAGTACAGTCCAGCTTCGGCTCGGCATCAGAGGGAGACCGTGGAAAGAGAGGGAGAGGGAGACCGTGGGGAGAGGGAGAGGGAAAGGGAGAGGGAGAGCTTGTCTAAATTTTCAATGGTATCAGTACAATGTTCAGAATTTCCTTTACTATCTTTTTAATGTCAGTAGGATTACAGTGGTGTCCTTATTTTTATTTTTAATATCAATAAATTGTGTTCTCCCTTTCTTGATTACCCTTGCCAGGAGTCTATCAATTTTTTTATTCTTTTAAAAGAACTAACTTAGGACTCTGTTGGTTTTCTCTTTTGTACCTTTGTTTTTTAGGTCATTAATTTTTTAATTAGTTCTTTCCTTCTACTTTATTTGGGCTTAATTCTCCCACCACACACACACACACAGATACACATTTTGAGATGGAAACCTAGGTCATTAATTTTTCAATCTTCTTTTATACATTCATAGCTATTCATTTCTTTTAAGTGAAATTATTCTATTCAATTCACAACTTTAATTGCGTTTCATAAGTTTTGATGTGTTATATTTTCATTATCAATGAACTAAAAATACTTTTTAGGCCAGGCATGGTGGCTCACACCTATAGACCCAACACTGGGAGGTGGAGGCAGGAGGATCACTTGAGCCCAGGAGTTCGAGACCAGCCTAGGCAACATAGTGAGTCCCCATCTCTACAAAAAATTTTTTAAAAAAGCCGAGCATGGTAGCACACACCTGTGGTCACAGCTACTCAGGAGGCTGAGGCAAGAGGATCACTTAAGCCTTGGAGGGTCAGTACTGCAGTGAGCCGTGATCACACCACTGCACTCCAGCCTAGATGACACAGCAAGATACTGTCTCAAAAGAAAATAAATAAAAATTTTAAAATACTGTTTAATTTTGCGTTTTAAAATACTGTTTAAAATACTGTTTAATTGTGATTTCTTTTTTGACCTGTAGGTATTTAGAAGACTAGTGCTTAATTTCAAACATTTTGAGATTTGGTCATTTACCATTTTTTATTTCTAGCTTAATTCCACCGTGGCCAGAAAACATAGTCTACATGATTTCAGTCTTGAAAGTTGCTGAGACTTGCTCTATGGCAAAGCATAAGACCAATTTAACCATTCTGTGTGGACTTGAAAAGATGTCTATGGGAAGTCATAGTGTGCAATAAATAATCCGTATGTGTAAATTAGCTCATTTGTTAATTGTTTTGTTGAGATATTCTCTATCCTTGCAATTTTTTTTTCTACTTTTTTTTTTATCCTGTAAAACATGTGGACCAGGCATGGTGGCTCCTGCCTGTAACCCTAGCACTTTGGGAGGTGGAGGTGAGAGGATCACTTGAGGCCAGGAGTTTGAGATCAGCCTAAGCAACATAGCAAGACCCTGTCTCTAGGAAAAATTGAAAAATTAGCTGAGTGTGGTGGCACATGCCTATAGTCCCACCTACTCAGGAGACTGAGGCAAGAGGATTACTTGAGCCTAGAAGACCACTGCACTCCAGCCTGGGTGACAGAACAGGACCCCCTCTCTGAAAAAAAAAAAAAAATTGAAAAAATGTTAAAGTCTCTCATTATGATTATGGATTAGCCTGTTTATCCTTTTACTTCTGTTAATTTAGACATATATTAATAATTTTCTGGTAGATATAATGACCCTTTTATTATTGTCACGTCTCCCTTTATCTCTAATGCTCCTGTCTTTTGATTCATGTTTACATGACTTTTTTTAATCCTATTTTTAATTTTTCTGTGTCTTCATATTTAAGGTATGTCTCTTTTATGCAGCATATAGTTGGGTTTTGTTTTGTGTGCAGTGTGCTGATTTTTAATTGTTATATTTAATCCATTTACATTTAATTATTGACATATTTGTATTCATTTTTACCTTCTTACTATTTTCTTATGTCCCATCTGTTTTAGCTTTCTTTTTCTATCCTTTCTTGACTTCCTTTTGCATTAATCAAATTTATTTTATTATTCATTTACCTTTTTATTAGTTTATTTAGTTATATATTCTTCTGTTATTTTAGTGGCTACCTTAAATATATTACACAATCATTTCTGACCAAAAAGAATGTTATATAAGTTACTACTTTCACCACTTCACAGAAATGACTAGAATCTTAGAACACTTAAACCCATTTTTTCTCTTGTGTTATTGTGATGTATTCTAGTTTGACTCATTGAAAACCCCTGTAAAACATTATTATTATATACCCACTTATATATTCTTTTCATGACTTGTTTTTCCTTTCTGCATTTCTGTAGTTCTTTCTGGAATCATTTGCATTCTCTCTTCAGAATTCCCTTATTCTGGATCTTCTGGTGATAAGTCTCAGTTTCTGTCTGTGTCACAGATGCCCAAGACCAACCCAGATTTGATGATTCACTAAGAGGACTCAAAGGACTCAGCATATAGTCACACTCATGGTTAAGATTGATTACATCAAAAGGATATAAAGCAAAATTAGCAGAGGGAAAGGTTGCATGGAGTAAAGTCTGGAGGAGACCAGGCACAAGCTTCCAAGAGTCCTCTCCTAGTGGAGTCACACAGGATGCACTTAAATTCTCCAGTAATTTGAATTCTGATAAAATGTTTGAAATACTGTCTCCTAGGGAAGCTTGTTAAAGACTCAGTCCCCAGGGTTTTATTGGAGGCTGTTCATGTGGCACTTTCTGTCTAGCACAGACCAAAATTCAGACTTCCAGAGGGAAAGCAGGTGTTCAACATGAATCACATTGTTTGCACAGACAGTTCAGGCACACTCTCATCAGTTCTAGGACGGGTGAGAATCCTCCTGAAATCCAAGTTCCCAAATGCCAACCAAGGGCCAACCTTGCAGCAGGCCTTGCTAAGATAGCAGCCTCAGGCCTACTGTGTATCTTTCCTGCATACTTTCTCTATGGAAATGCCTTTATTTCACTTTTACTTTTAAAGGATATTTTCACTGGGTATAAGATTTTACACTCACAGTTATGTTCTTTTAGCACATAAAAAAAAAATTCCATTTCCATTGTTTTGTGGCTTCCACAGTTTCTGTTAAGAAGTTGGCTTTTTTTTTTTTTTTTCTTTTTTGAGACAGAGTCTTGCTCTGTCGCCCAGGCTGGAGTACAATGGTGTGATCTCGGCTCACTGTAACCTCTGCCTCCTGTGTTCAAGCGAGTCTTCTGCCTCAGCCTCCTGAGTAGCTAGGATTACAGGCGCCCACCACTATGCCTGGCTAATTTTTGTATTTTTAGTAGAAACGGGGTTTCACCATGTTGGTCAGGCCCGTCTCGAACCCCTGAGCCCATGTGATTTGCCCGCCTTGGCCTCCCAAATTATTGGTGTGTCTGGAATTGGTTCCTTCAGGTGGGTTCTTGGTCTCGCTGGTCTCGCTGACTTCAAGAATGAAGCCGAAGACCCTTGTGGTGAGTGTTACAGTTCCTAAAGGTGGTGTGTCCGGAGTTTGTTCCTTTAGATGTTCAGATGTGTCCGGAGTTTCTTTCTTCTGGTGGGTTTGTGGTCTCGCTGGCTTCAGGAGTGAAGCTGCAGACCTTTGCAGTGAGTGTTACAGCTCATGAAGGTAGTGGGGATCCAAAGAGTGAGCAGCCATCAAGACTTACTGTGAAGAGCTAAAGAACAAAGCTTCCACAGCGTGGAAGGGGACCCAAGCAGGTTGCTGCTGGTGGCTTGGTGGCCTGCTTTTATTCCCTTATTTGGCCCCACCCACATCTTGCTGATTGGTCCATTTTACAGAGAGCTGATGGTTCATTTTACAGAGTGCTGATTGGTCCGTTTTACAGAGTGCTGATTGGTCTGTTTTTACAGAGTGCTGATTGGTGTGTTTACAAACCTTTAGCTAGATACAGAGCACTGATTGGTGCATTTACAATCCTTTAGCTAGACAGAAAAGTTCTCCAAGTCCCCACCCAACCCAGAAGCCCAGCCGGCTTCACCTTTTATTGGGATTACAGGCGTGAGCCACCGGCCCCTGCCAAAAAGTTGGGTTTAACTCTTAATGTTCATTCTTTAAAGGCAGTGTGTTCGTCACTCCCATCTACAGCTGTTTTTAGGATTTTCTCTGTCTTTGGTCTCGTAATTCAGGTAATATATGCCTAGTTGTGATTTTATTAGTATTTATTCTATTAATACTTGTTATTCATAATGTTCCTTGAATCTGTGGTTTGATACCTTTTTTAATTTTGGATAATATATAGCTATTATCTCTTCAGACATTTATTTTGCCTCAATCTATCGCTCCTGCCCATCAAATTACATGCATGTTGAACTTTGTCTTTCTTTTACACCTTATTTCATACATCTCTTAGGCTCTTCTCTGTTTTTTCTCTAGATACTTTAGTCTGGTTATTTTCTATTGACCTTTTCTCATTCACAGTCCTGTCTTCATCCAAATCCAATCCAGTAAACATGTTAAATTTGATTTAATCTATTGACTTCTTAGGTTCAATTATTGTATTTTTCAGTTCTGGAATTTCCATTTGATTTCTAAGTTTATCTTAAAGTTGGCGCCTAATTTCTCTGCTATTCGGTGTCAAATAGGGGGCTTACTTCCCTCCCTTCTTTCTCAGATCTTAGGCCCTCATGTCCTGGTGGTGTTGGCAGCCTTGAACTCAATATTGGTCTGTCTAGTCCTGTGCAGTTTGCCAAAAGCTCTGCTTCCACACCCACAAAGCTGCTCCCATCTTTTTGCAACAGTTCTCCCTTGTGAGAGTTTTGGCTCTTACTGCTTCATTCAATCCAGTTGTTTGCCTTTGATTTTTTTGGAGATTTATGACTCTTAATTTCTGGTCTGTCATGACCACCTCATCTTGTTTTCTAATTCTATTGAGGCTTTAAAAACTAGAGACATGTGTGCTGTCATCTCTGAAGCTGTGAAGTGGGATGGAAAGGGGCTGCCACTCAAGCTCAGGTTGATCTTATTTTTCTTTCTGACCCCTAGCATCCAATAGGGTGCTCAGTACATAGCAGGCACTCGGCAAGTGGATATTTAGAATAAATATTGAATATTCAAAGAAAAAGGAAATGTTTACTATAGCTCTGAAGTGTCTACAATTGGACAATTTTTATGTGTTAGTTAGAAAACTCTCACTTATGCTACATTTTTGTTCACCATGTTTTTGTTGTATAAATCCATTTTCTCTCTCCATTCCATCATCACATAAAACTTCAGCCCACACACTTCATTGCTTCGAGTCACGACCAGGTCTTCTGTGCTTGACAGCCACTCCCCCAAAGAGAAAAGGCAGTATTGCGCAGGCGATGTGTATTTCCTTTTCGTCACACACATTTGCTGTGTTACTTGTCTGTTTTTAAAATCTACATTCATGCATGCTGCAGGGTTCCAAGCTTGAACTACCCTTGTGGCTGGCAAAAGGACTTTTTGACAACAAGCGACGGATCCTTTCTGTGGAACTCCCCAAGATCTACCAAGAGGGTTGGAGGACTGTGTTCAGTGCAGATCCCAATGTGGTGGACCTCCACAAAATGGGGCCCCATTTCTACGGGTTTGGCTCCCAGCTCCTGCATTTTGACAGTCCCGAGAATGCAGACATTTCCCAGTCTCTGCTGCAGGCAAGTAATGGGTGTGAAAACCTGTGGTGCTGCACTTGTCTCAAGAGCCAGCCACAGATACTACTTTTACCCAGGACAGTGTATGACTTGTAAATTTAGTCTGTTTTTATTCCAGGTCAGCCTACAGTTACACTGTCTGTCCATTTTATATATTTACATATATACACACACACACACACACACACACACATTTTTTTAATATGACTTGTCTGCCACTCCTCATATTTGCTTGCTACAAGTTGAGGCCAGCAGGAACTCTAGGAAATGAGAAAAGGGTGATGATGGCCAGGCATGGTGGCTCACACCTGTAATCCCAGCACTTTGGGAGGCCAAGGCAGGAGGATCGCTGAGCCCAGGAGTTCAAGACCAACCTGGGCAACATAGTGAGATCCCATCTCTATTAAAAAGAAAAAAGAGAAAAAAAGGGCTATGGTGCATTACAGGTGACAGGCACTTAGATACACAGTCCCAGGCCTGGCCTAAGGGTTCCTGTTGGAAATACAAGAGTTATTGGGTTGTTTCCTTCCTTTGTTCTGGGGTTAGGGCTTGGCCCTGCCATGAACTAGCAATATGACTTGGTCAAGCTACTTGACCTCTCTAGACATCAATTCACCTGTAAGAATTGATGGAGATGATAATAGTGCCAAAATTATAGAGTTGTGGTAAAACTATGTAATGCCGTGTAATAAACAATAACTCATATTGTTATTACTTTTCCAGGACAAAACAATGTTATACATCTGTTCCCAACCTTTATGGTATAACCTTATTTTAATTTTTCATAATTACTTTTTTATTCTGTTACTGTTAGAAGAAACCATCATTTCTTCCTCTTGGGACAGAAGCATTTGCTACTAATGACAATAATAGGTGATGCTTCTCAAGGAGCTTGCTGTGTGCTAGCCATTTGCTAGGTGCATTACATGTATTCATTGGTTTTCTTAACAACTTACTGGATTTTCATAACAATCCACTTCACAGATGAGGAAATTGAGGCATGGCAATGTGCAATAACTTACTTGGGTGCTAGAGGGAATTCAGACCTCCTTCTGAGTCCTACACATCATTCTTTCTTTTCATGCCATTTAAATGTTCTGAGATAAAAATGGATATGACTTTGTGGGGTGTGAGGTCAACCCTGACTTGTCTTACTCCCTTGTTTCCCAGACTTTTATCGGACGTTTTCGCCGCATCATGGACTCCTCACAGAATGCTTACAACGAAGACACTTCAGCCCTGGTAGCCAGGCTAGACGAGATGGAGAGGGGCTTATTTCAAACAGGGCAGAAAGGACTGAATGACTTTCAGTGTTGGGAGAAGGGGCAGGCTTCTCAGATCACAGCTTCCAACCTCGTTCAGAATTACAAGAAGAGAAAATTCACTGATATGGAAGACTGAAAGCCGGAAGAACACAGAATGGCTCCTCACAGACGTATCCCTCCGTGTGTCCTTGATAGGAGCTGGTTGACCTTGTACAGAACCAGAATCCTGTCCCATTTCATGGCTTATTTCCTGTGGCCATAGAGAATTATAGGGAACTGGACATGCTGGAGGATGTGGGTGTCCCTGGCTCTGTGAGTCTTCCAGGACCGTCCCACCCTGCTGACCCACAGCCCAGGCCCTTTAACCCAAGAACCCATGGCCAAGGAGAAATCAAAGTCCTTCCTAAATAAGAATCACTGCCATATAATATATCACAGTAGAGTTGCAACTGAGATTCCTTGTGTCTGGGAGTTTGGACAGCTTCAGATGTACAGTTTCACTAGCCACAAAGCACAGGTACAAACTGGGTCATCGCCTGTTCACAAAATGCTCTCTTGATCTTATTTGCCTCATCTTCCTCATGGTTGTACAGAGGATAGCACCCCACCATGCCAGCCTGACTTGGAGATATCTCCTGCTGCCTGCCTGCAGGGAGTTACCCCAGTTTCCAAAAACAGTCGCCCAGATAAAGGAGGAAAAGGGAAAGGCAGACGAATGGCATGGCTTTTACTAAAGAAAAGATGTTGGCCTCATACTCTATACTCAGGGCTTAATGAACTGGAATCTGCATAACTCAGCAGTCAACCCAGAAGGGAAATGGTTAAACTGAGCTTGTTATTGCCTCGGAGAGCCTAAGAGCACCCGCACACTTAATTCTACTCCCTGTCTAGAAAAGCTGTCAGGGAGTCGTTTGGAATTGCAATGTAGTTATTAAGGGCTGTTAACCAGCCTGCATTACATCTGGAAGTCAGGACTTGGGTGCTGACTATGAAGGGCCCTGTTTTCAAAATCTAACATTGCAAGTGTAAATGGGCAAGAAGCCTCCGTTGTGCTTTTTTTTTCCTCTTCAGTAACTTTTGCAACATTATTGCATAGAAGATCCCTGACCATTTACTAGGAACCTGGTTAAGCAAGCACTAATCTCTTTTCCTGGAGATCAAGGATGCAACCTCAGGTTGAGAAAGAAACAGGGTTCCCTGGGCCCATTAGACTGTTTGCAGGGCATCACTGCTTCCCCCTGACACCTCACAACTAGCAAAAATTGTCTTTGTCTTTGGAAATTATAGAGGGATTTGGGTATCCAGATTGTGCAGATGCAAACTTAGGCTGTCTTGATGCAAACTTAGAACCACAGAAATGCTTTTAAAATGCCTGTTTTAAGATGGAATTGTTGTTTTTATAATTTGATTTTAGTGCTAAATAAATGATTGGCTTTGTACATGAATATGTTCTGTACAAGTGCTCTTTCACTAGTACTACAGATAATCAAAGCTATCAGAATTGTGTCTTTGATCATATTTGACGGTAATACACAAATCCATGTTTTAGCAGCTGCTCTTTTGCTTGTGTGGTACACATAAATAGGAGGTACATTCTCTGTAGGAGGGTGCTGTGTCCTAGGAAGATGAGATTTCCATTACTACCGCAGCATTTATATATAGCCAGGGCCCGAGAAACCATTCATAGAGCGAGAAAAGCATATTATTTAACTTTTGGCATCATTCTTTTCACACATAGCTTTATATTTAAAGTCAACTCTAAGTCTGCTGCCATTTTTTCCTACTTCCTAAAAAAAAGAAATTCCTCAGGGGCCATGTGTCAGGAATATGTAGGTATTCATGTCCAAAACTTAGCCCCTATTTTACATTTTGAACAGATTATATTACATGTAGCTTTTGAACTCATTTTCAATTACAGATCTGCCTTCAAGCCTGTCGGACTTCCCCTCTCCCCAGCAGCCCTCCAGTTAGTCGTTTAGATTTTGATTTGGTCCCTTCAAGAGGTTAATTTTTCAAAAAACACAACAAATGGGCTCAAATACCAAATTGCTATCAAACTCCAGGGAGTAAAGCTGTGCCCTTTCCCCTGAAGCACTCTGTTCCCACATGACTGTGGCCTTACAGACAGAAGACCTCAGTATATATAGGTTTTTCCCAGGGACAGTGTGGGCTGCCAGGAGCAGTGGGGCAAGGCTCTGTCACTGTTGATTCCTCCTGCTGTTCGTGACCTCTGGATTTGGGTGGCTCTGGGCTGTCCATGCCTCTCCATCTCCACGCAGATGGCTCCCAAATTCCTATCTCCAGCTCAGATCGCTCCCTCCAACTCCAGACTTGTATCCAATCCCCTGCTTGATGTTTCTACGTCTCCACGGCCTGCTCCTCCTCTGATGTTTCCCATCTCCATTTTTTACAACTCCATCCTTCCCTATTGCTTAGAACAAAAACGCTATGTCCCCCCCTGACCTTCCTCCTCTCACGCTCCATATCTTTTGGGTCTGCCGTCAAATCATTTGCAGCATCCGGCCACCTCCCCATCACCTGTGGTGCTGTCACTCGGGCCAGGCCCCTACCGTTTCTTTCCTGGAGTTTTGGGATCACCCCCTAACTGCCTCCCTGCATTCACCCTCCACTCCATCTTCAGACTCTTCTCACCATAGCAGCCAGAGTGCTCTTGTTAAGAAGTATATCCAATCTTGTCGATTCTCTGCTCAAGACCCTCCCATCTCAGAGAAAAAGGATAGTCAGTTATCCCAGCACACTTTGTTAAAAACTAATCTTTGGGCCCGGTGCGGTGGCTCATGCCTGTAATCCCAGCACTTCGGGAGGTCGAGGCAGGTGGATAACTTGAGGTCAGAAGTTTGAGACCAGAAGGGCCAACAGTGAAACCTGTCTCTACTGGAAATACAAAAATTAACCAGGCATGATGGTGGGCGCCTGTAATCCCAGCTACTCGGGAGGCTGAGGCAGGAAATCACTTGAACCCAGGGGACAGAGGTTGCAGTGAGCTGAGATCACACCTCTGCACTCCAGCCTTGGTGACAGAGCAAGACTCTGTCTCAAAAAAAAAAAAAAAAAGTCATCTTTACCCTGCTAATCTGATGTTGAATTTCTTTATTGCTTGCATGGCAGAAATAATTTGTTTCTTATTTTAAATAAAAAGTCCACCTTCTCCCTAAGAATTCTGAGCATCTTACAGAGCTTCTCACTAACCTCTCAGCACCTCTGAACCCGAGGTTTCTGGAATACTGTGCCTGAACTAGTGAAACCGGCATGCAGAAGCACTGAGTGACTCAAGTTCAAACAGCAGTCAGTTCCACTCTGTGTCTGTCTGTTCTGTCCCCCTCCCATCCTTCAAGAAACCCCAAGAGAGCTTTTTTTTTTTTTTTTTGAGATGGAGTCGCTCTGTGGCCCAGGCTGGAGTGCAGTGGCGCGATCTCGGCTCACTGCAAGCTCCGCCTCACAGGTTCACGCCATTCTCCTGCCTCAGCCTCCCGAGTAGCTGGGACTACAGGCGCCCGCCACCCCACCCTGCTAATTTTTTGTATTTTTAGTGGAGACGGGGTTTCACCGTGTTAGCCAGGATGGTCCCGATCTCCTGACCTCGTGATCCACCCGCCTCGGCCTCCCAAAGTGCTGGGATTACAGGCGTGAGCCACCGCGCCCGGCCCCAAGAGAGCTTTTGTTCTTTATGCTCGAAACAATTGTGTCTACGTGAAAATGTAATATTTTAAACTGAGCTTGGCAAAAGAAAATAACTGCAGAGGCCATATATATATTTCTCAAACAGATATTTTTGTGTTCAGGAGAAAAATCTATAAAATGTAAGGTAGATGCTTAACTGTAAGAATTTTTTTTTTTTTTTTTTTTTTTTTTTTTTTTTTGAGACAGAGCTTGCTCTGTCACCAAGGCTGGAGTGCAGGGGCGCGATCCCAGCTCACTGCAACTTCTGCCTCCGGGTTCAAGCAGTTCTCCTGCTTCAGCCTCCTGAGTAGCTGGGATTACAGGTGTGTGCCACCACGTCCAGCTAATTTTTGTATTTTTAATAGAGACAAGGTTTCACCATGTTAGCCAGGATGGTCTCGATCTCCTGACCTCGTAATCCACCCGCCTCGGCCTCCCAAAGTGCTGGGATTACAGGCATGAGCCACCACACCAGGCCAACTGTAAGAACTAGTCTAAGAAATATAATTTAAACATTCCTTATCTAGTGAAGGCAGATTTTTAGGTCATTTTATTTTATTTTTGAGACAAGGTCTCACTTTGCCACCCAAGCTGGAGTGCAGTGGCCCAATCACAGCTCACTGCAGCCTTGACCTCCCAGGCTTAAACAATCCTCCCACCTCAGCCCCCCAAGTAACTGGGATTACAGGCATGTGCCACCATGCCTGGCTAATTTTTGTATTTTTTGTAGAGACGAGGTCTCAGTATGTAGTCCAGTCTGGTCTCAAACTCCTGAGCTCAATCAGTCCACCTGCCTTGTCGTCCCAGAGTGCTCGGATTACAGGCATGAGCCACTGTGCCTGGCCGATAAATTTTTAATATTGAGTACACATAGAAACAGTTGTTTGAAAGATAATTAAGTAAATGTTCTAAACCTAAGGAAAGGTATCTGAAAGCTGGAATTCTGTTGCTAAATCTGTGTGTGTGTGTGTGTGTGTGTGTGTGTGTGTGTGTGTGTGTGTGTTTTGCTAACTCTTGATATTATCCTTTTGAATGAGGAGGAGAAAATTTCTCATCCTTAATAGTAACAAATAAAATGTACAGTGAATCAAGGACAAGTCTGGAAAAATGTAGAGTCACTCTTTTCCTGAGAGCAAATGACTAATATAGGTGACAGGCCCAGCCTGCTTTTGTTTGAGCTCATTTTGTTTTTCTAGGCTTCTGCTTTTCTGCCTAGTTAATCAAAGGAGACACAGTGCAGCCAGACACAACTTGCTTGCCAAGCAACCTTACTTTAGTATAGCAGCATTCTCCTCCTGGGCTACGCTGTCCCGTTGCCAGCCTTGTGGTCTAGGGAAAGCTGCAAATGAGGACACACCCAGAAACAGAGGTCTCCTTTCTGTATCTGCTTTTTCAAGATCAAGTCAAATCAACAAAGTAAGCATGATTTCATTAAACTTTTTTTTTTTCTCGAGGCAGTGTCTCGCTCTGTCACCCAGGCTGGAGTTCAGTGGTGCAATCTCAGCTCACTTTGACCTCTAACTCCCAGGCTCAAGCGATTCTCCCACCTCAGCCTCTGGAGTAGCTGGAATTACAGGCATGCAGCACCACACTGGCTAATTTTTTTTTTTATTTTTTGTAGAGACAGGGTCTCGCTATGTTGCCCAGGTGGGTCTCAAACTCCTGAACTCAAGTGATCCATCCATCTTGGCCTCCCAAAGTGCTGGAATTACAGATATGAGCCACTGCACCCAGCCAAACTTTTTATTTTAGAAATAATTTTAGATTTATAGGGCAGTTGTAAAGGTAAGACAGAGAGTTCCCATATATCCTTCACCCAACTTTCCCTAACGTCCTACATAATCATGGTACATTTATCACCACTAAGAAGTTAACATTGCTACAACACTTTTAACTAAACCATGGGCTTTATGCAGATTTCAACAGATTTTCCATAAATGTCCTTTTCCTGTTTCAGAATCCAATCCAAAGTCCCACATTGCACTTAGAGGGCAATTATTTTTTAAAGCAAAACTGCATCAGACTCTTTGCTACGTTAATTCAGTAGCTCAGCTTATTGGAAAGGTGTCACTGCATTAAGGCAGGCGCACTGGGGCCAGTTGGAGCTTGCATAGGATGAAACTACTGGTAAGCTCATCAAGAAGAGAAAGAATATTTGCTTTTCTTTCTTTTTAATTTAATTTAATTTTTTATTTTTATTTATTTATTTGTTTGAGATGGAGTCTTGCTCTGTTGCCTAGGCTGGAGTGTAATGGCACAATCTCAGCTCACTGTAACCTCTGCCTCCCGGGTTCAAGCGATTCTCCTGCCTCAGACTCCTGAGTAGCTGGGATTACAGCTGTCTGCCACCATGCCTGGCTAATTTTAACATTATTAGTAGAGATGGGGTTTTGCCATCTTGGCCAGGCTGGTCTTGAACTCCTGACATCAGGTGATCCACCCGCTTCGGCCTCCCAAAATGCTGGGATTACAGGTATGAGGCACTGTGCCTGGTCGAATATTTGCCTTTCATTGAAATTTTTACTTTTCCCCTAGTACTTGCGACTGACGGGAAAAGGCCTCTGATTTTACTTAGAACTTTTAGCATTCTTTCTCTTTGACAGCAATAACTTGATTTTCTTCTCCTTTCTCTTCTGGCACTCTCTAGCTAATTTTCTCTGTGTCTAAATGAGTTTAAAACAAGCATGGCTTTCTACACCAACATGATTAAGTGTCAGCATAGCTCTGAAAATAGTGCCTGGGAACTGCCAGTGTTTCAGAATTCATAATGGTGCACATGGAATCAGCTCATCCTGCAAACATCTCCCACCCGTGGCTCAGGACAAAGAAAAAATCAGGCCGAGCGAGGTGGCTCCTGCCTATAATCCCAGCACTTTGGGAGGCTGCAGCAGGAGGCTAGCTTGAGCCTGGGTGTTTGAGACCAGCCTGGCCAACATGGTAAGACCTCGCCCCTGCAAAAAATAAAACATTAGCTGAGCGTGGTGGCTCATGCCTGTGGTCCCAGCTACTCAGGAGGCTAAGATGGGAGGACTGCTTGAGCCCAGGGAAATTGAGGCTACAGTGAGCAGTGAGAGCGCCACTGAACTCCAGCCTGAGTGAAGGGAGTAAGACCCTGTCTCAAAAAAACAAAAAGAAAAAGAAAAGAAAGAAAAGGAAAGAAGAAAGAAAAAAGAAAGAAGAAAGAAAAAGAGAAAGAAAAAGAAAGAAGGAAGGAAGAGAGAAAGAAAGAAAAAAGAAAAAGAGAAGAAAGAAAGAAAGAAAAGGAAGGAGGGAGGGAGGGAAAGAAGAAAAAGGAAGGAAGAGAGGAAGGAAGGAAGGGGGAGGAAGGAAGGGAGGAAGGGAGAGGAAGGGAGGAAGGGAGAGGAAGGGAGGAAGGAAGGGAGAAAGAAAAAAAGAAGAAAGAACCCAGAGTTTCAAGCCTTTACAGCGCTTTCTGCTCCTGTATCACCCTTGAGAGAGAAGTTTATTTCCAGGTTTAAAAAAAAAAAAAGTTTATTTGATTCTCACATGACTTGTATGTCTCCTTTTGTACAACAAAAATTCTTCCTTGAGGGCATTTTCTTTTCTTTGGACACAGGAAAGCAAACAGGTAGCTAAGGAGTATAGATTCAAGTGCAGCAAATGAGGCACATACAAGAAAGTGTCATTCATTGAAGGGAAAGTAGGCAGGCGCGGTGACTCACCTGTAATCCCAGCACTTTGGGAGGCTGAAGTGGGTGGATCACTTGATGTCAGTAGTTTGAGACCAACCTAGCCAACATGGTGAAACCCTGTGTCCACTAAAAATACAAATATTAGCCAGGCGTGGTGGCATGCGCCTGTAGTTCTAGCTACTTGGGAGTCTGGGTTACGAGAATTGTTTGAACCTGAAAGGCAGAGGTTGCAGTGAACAGAGATCACACCACTGCACTCCAGACTGGGCCGCAGAGTGAGGAAGAGTTAGTCTTCAAAAAAAAAAAAAAAAAAAAGAAGAAGAAGAAAGAAAAGAAGAAGAAGAAGAGGAGGAGGAAGAAGAACAAGAAGAAGAAAGAAAGAAGAAAGAAGAAGAGAAAGAGGAAGAAGAAGAAGAGAAAGTGTGCTTGGGATTTGTTTTGAGGCTTGTTAGACTGGAGGCAGACACTGGTATTAAAAGCCAGCATTACCAGTCATGGAGGAGAGAGATGTCAATGGTTGTTCCCAGAGAGTGGCCTTATCTTAATAGGACCGAGAGGACTTAGCACTCAGCTATCTCTTTGGTTCAGGAGCAGAACATTTTAAAAACTGTTTCAAAGGACACTTGTTTTCTAATTTAGCATTTCATGTTCACTCTGATTTCTTTATCTGAGATGCTAGGTAAACATGCAGTAATGTGCTGCTTTTTATTTATTTATTTATTTATTTATTTATTTACTTTTTTTTTTTTTTGAGGTGGAGTCTCACTCTGTTTCCCAGGCTGGAGTGCAGTGGCGCGATCTCGG
Organism: Homo sapiens; assembly: GCF_000001405.40. NCBI lineage: Eukaryota > Metazoa > Chordata > Mammalia > Primates > Hominidae > Homo > Homo sapiens. Next base: position 58,412,732 of record NC_000016.10, read on the forward strand.
TGCACTGCAACCTCCACATCCCAGGTTCAAGTGATTCTCCTGCCTCAGCCTCCTGAATAGGTGGGACCACAGGTGTGAGCCACCGTGCCGGCATGCTTCTTTTTAAATAGTTCAGCAGTCTAAGAAGTCTTTTCCCAGGTTTTGAGCCAGCTCAGACCTTGATCAACATTTCAGAGGATCCTACCACCTGAATTCCTAGATCATTTTAAAGATTTTTAGGGAGTGGGGATCCATATAACACATCATGTTTGTGTATGGCCAGGATTGAAAATCCAGTTCTCCAATGTTTAAGGCATTTTTTCAAAAGAAATCAATAAAAACTAAAACCTCACTCCATTTTCAAAGACTCTAATTTTCATAGACAAAGCAATCCTCCCACCTCAGCCTCCCGACTAGCTGGGACTACAGGTGCATGCCACCACGCCTGGCTTATTTTATTTATTTAGAGACAGGGTCTTGCTATATTACCCAGACTGGTCTTGAACCCCTGACCTCAAGGGATCCTCCTGCCTCAACCTCCAGGAGTCACTGGGATTACAGGCATGTGCCACCATGCCTGGCTAATTGAAAAAAAAAAAAAATTAAAGAACCTTTGTGATTTTAAAGGGTTCTTCTGCCACTTCAAATAGAAAAAAAAATAGAAGAACAATGTGTCACAGGTTGTTGTATACTTATCTGTGGAAAGAACAAAGTGTTCAGCTGCGTTAAATGGAGATGAAACTATTGCTTTGCTTAATTACAGCTCATGCATACCCACCTCCTCATGTCATCCACATGATGTGGCAAGGTCCCTCAGGGATTCACGTCTCAGAGCAAACCTCACAGGAAAGAGGTTACATCTTCAAGCCCCTGACAGTCATTCGCTGCAAAATCAAATAAACTGATACAAGGGTAGCCACATGGTGGAGGCTGTGGAGATGTTATCAAATCTCCCTAAACTGAGAGCGGCTACACAGCGGCTCAGAAATCATAGCCTAGAGTCGAAGGGGCCCAGAAGGATGAACTATTCCAGGGCTGTTAAAAATATGTATACTTTTTGGCCAGGCGTGGTGGCTTATGTAATCCCAGCACTTTGGGAGGCCAAGGCAGATGGATCACCTGAGGTCAGGAGTTCGAGACTAGCCTGGCCAACATGGTGAAACCCTGTCTCTACTAAAAACACAAAAATTAGCTGGGCGTGGTGGCTTGTGCCTGTAGTCCCAGCTACTTGGGAGGCTGAGGCATGAGAATTGCTTGAATCTGGCTGGCAGAGGTTGCAGTGAGCCGAGACTGCGCCATTGCACTCCAGCCTGGATGACAGAGTGAGACTCGGTCTTAAAATATATGTGTATATATATACACACAGACACACATACACACATACATATATACACACACACATATCTATACACACACACACATATATATATACACATATATATACTTTTTATTATTTTACATTTGATACATGCCAAGAATATATGTAACATATCTGTATGTTATGAAGTGGTGTAATACAATGAACACCCACCAACTTCCACTAATTTAAGTTGAGAACATGATCATTGCCTCCTGCATAGTTTCTCTGCTACCCTCTACCCCCAGAGTAATCATTATCCTGGATTTTATATTTATTACTTCCTTAGTTTTTATATCTAGTGAATATATTATTTTGGTGGTGTTTTGTTTTGTTTTGTTTTGTTTTGAAATGGAGTCTTGCTCTGTCACACAGACTGGAGTACAGTGGCATGATCTTGGCTCACTGCAACTCTGCCTCCTGGGTTCAAGTGATTCTCCTGCCTCAGCCTCCCGAGTAGCTGGGATTACAGGCGCACACCACCACGCCCAGCTAATTTTTGTATTTTTAGTAGAGATGGGGTTTCACCATGTTGGCCAGACTGGTCTTAAACTCCTAATCTCAGATGATCTACCTTCCTCGGCCTCCCGAAGTGCTGGGATTACAGGGATGTGCCACTGCACCTGGCCTGATTTTTTGTTTTTTGGTTTGTTTTTGAGACAGAGTTTCACTCTTGTTGCCCAGGCTGGAGTGCAATGGCGCAATCTCGGCCAATGCAATCTCTGCCTCCTGAGTTCAAGCGATTCTCCTGCCTCAGCCTCCCAAGTAGCTGAGATTACAGGTGTGCGTCACCACGCCTGGCTCATTTTTGTATTTTTAGGAGAGATGGGGTTTCACCATGTTGGCCGGGCTGGTCTCAAACTGACTTCAGGTGATCCACCCGCCTTGGCCTCCCAAAGTGCTGGGATTACGGGCGTGAGCCACCGTGCCAGGACTGGTTTGTTTTCAAACTTTGTAAAACTAAGTTCCTGTTGCATGCAGTCAGCTGCATCTTGCTTCTTTCACTCAATTTTAATTTTCAATCATGTCATCGCAGCTCATTTTTACTGCTGTATATTATTCTATTGTGGGAACATGCCACAACTTCTATAAGTGTTCTCTTATCAGCAGACATTTGGTCCATTTCCAAGCTTTTTTTCTATTACAAACATTGTCACTGTGCGGATTCTTACACAGCATGCATTCCTCTGGGATGAACGCCCAAGTGAAAGTGCTGGCTTATAGGGTCTGCCAGTGCTCTACTTCACAAGCTTCCGCCAAATCACATGACTTTATTCACCCATCAACAGTGTATAAGAGTTTCCATTATTAGAATTCTTTTTTTTTTTTCCAATTTAATGGGTATTAAAAAATATCTCACTGTGGCCGAGCACAGTGGCTCACACCTATAATCTCACTACTTTAAGAAGCCAGTGGGAGGATTGCTTGAGACCGGTCTGGGAAATATAGCAAGACCCCCATCTTTACTTTAAAAAAAAAAAAAGCCAGGCATGGTGGGATGCACCTGTGGTCCCAGCTACATGGGAAGCTGAGGCAGAGGGACTGCTTGAGTATAGAAGCTCAGGGCTACAGTGAGCCTTGATCATACCACTGCACTGCAGCCCGGGTGACAGAATGAGACTCTATCACAAAAGAATTTTTATATATAAATTTATATATATAAATGTTATTCTGATTTGCGTTTTTCTGAGTACTAATGAGTTGCACATTTTAAAATATATTCATTGGCCATTTATGCTTCCTCTTTTGTGAAATGCCTGTTTACATGTTTTGCCCATTGTTCTACTGGATTGTTTATCTTCTTTTTACTGATTTATAGGTGATCTTTTTTTTTTTTGGAGACAGAGTCTTGCTCTGTCACCCAGGCTGGAGTGCAGTGGCGCCATCTCAGCTCACTGCAACCTATGCCTTCAGGGTTCTAGCGATTCTCCTGCCTCAGCCTCCTGAGTAGCTGGGATTACAGGTGCCTGCCACAACGCCCAGCTAATTTTTGTATTTTTAGTAGAGACAGGATTTCACTATGTTGGCCAGGCTGGTCACAAACTCCTGACCTCAGGTGATCCACCCACCTCGGCCTGCCAAAGTGCTGGGGTTACAGGCATGAACCACCGCGCCTGGCCAGTATAGGTGTTCTTTATACTAATCCTTTGTCAGTTATCTGTGTTGCAAAATTCTCCCATTCTGTAGCTTGTCTTTTAATTTTCTTTGTAGTATCTTTTTTTATTTTTCCTTAGAAACAAGGTCTCCCTGTGTCACCCAGGCTGGAGTGCAGTTGTGGGATCATAGCTCATTGCAGCCTTGAACTCCTAGGCTCAAGCAGTCCTCCCACCTCAGCCTCCCGACTAGCTGGGACTATAGGTACATGCCACCACACCTGACTTCTTTTACTTATTTAGAGACAGAATCTTGCTGTATTTCCCAGGCTAGTCTTGAACTCCTTGCCTCAAGTGATCCTCCTGCCTCAGCCTCCTGAATCACTGGGATTACAGGCATGCAACACCACACCTGGCTAAATTTTTTTTCTTTTTTTTTCTGTATTTTTTTTATTATTATATTTTAAGTTCTAGGGTACATGTGCATAACGTGCAGGTTTGTTATATATGTATACATGTGCCATGTTGGTGTGCTGCACCCATTAACTCGTCATTTACATTAGGAATATCTCCTAATGCTTTCCCTCCCCCCTCCCCCCACCCAACAACAGGCCCTGGTTTTAAAATATATTCATTGGCCATTTATGCTTCCTCTTTTGTGAAATGCCTGTTTACGTGTTTTACCCATTGTTCTACTGGATTGTTTATCTTTTTACTGATTTACAGGTGTTCTTTTTTTTTTTTTTTTTTTTTTTTTTGTGGAGACAGAGTCTCACTCTGTCACCCAGACTGGAGTGCAGTGGCGCCATCTCAGCTCACTGCAACCTACACCTTCCAGGTTCTAGCCATTCTCCTGCCTCAGCCTCCTGAGTAGCTGGGATTACAGGTGCCTGCCACAATGCCCAGCTAATTTTATATGTATTATCTCATTTAATTTCCACAAAAACCCTAAGAGATGAATTATTGTTATCCCCCTTTTACAGATAAAGAAATAGACTCAGTGAGGTTAAGTGTGTGCCGAAGGTCACACAGCAACCAGTGCTGGGCCCAGGGCTGGAAACCAGGTCAGGCTGATCCTGAGATCCGACTCTTCTCTGCTCTGCTGCACTGTGCGATGAGCAACAGAGCAGGCCAGGGCAGCCTCTTCCCACCGCACTATCAGGTGTCTCTCGCTTCAGTCCTGGTCCTCCCAACACCGTTTCTATAGGACTTGCCATCCCCTCTTCCCACCGCACTATCAGGCGTCTCTCGCTTCAGTCCCGGTCCTCCCAACACCGTTTCTATAGGACTCGCCATCCCCTCTTCCAACCGCACTATCAGGCGTCTCTCGCTTCAGTCCTGGTCCTCCCAACGCCATTTCTATAGGACTCGCTATCCCTTCTAAGTGTCTCCTTTGGCAAAATTGGCCCAACCTATGCCTATGTCATATCACCATTATCTGCAGTAAAAACAGGACTCCTCCTTCTGTTTCAAAAGACTGCTCATGTCATTGACAACCCGTGCTCATTCTCGAGATTGCAAGCTGCTATTTTTGAAAAGTTATTTTGCATGACATTTTGCCTCAGGGGCCCTTGGTCTGTTTAATCTGGGTATCTCAGTTGGCAGAACACTGTGTGGCTCTCCGGATTGATTACATGTGTCTAATCTGCAGCTCTGGCTGTTGCAAAAACTCCCTTGCCTCCTTCTCTCTGCCTCACCCCCAACTGCCTTGCTCAAAACAGGTGATGGGTGGCTCATGGTTGGTCCGGAGGAAGGGGGAATCCGAGAAAGCAGAGGCTACACAGTTCAAACAGTCCCCTGCAGGGCAGGCTTGGCTGTTTTCTGGCTTCTTCTGCTGGGAATTTCACTGACAGCAGAAATTAATCCCACTTATTCACTCATTCATTCGCCCCTCCAGTGAGGGTCTGAAGTCAGGAGTGGAATGGTCATCCCTCACTGCCCTGTGGAGTTTACACTGTAAAGGGCAAGGCGGACTATAAACGGGATTACAATAAGATCTGTGAGGTGAATTAAAGGGCATGTGTAAATAAAGACAGAGTCTCGCTCTGTCACTCAGGCTTGAGTGCAGTGGCACAACCCTAGCTCACTGCAGCTTTGAACTCCTGGGCTCAAGCGATCTCCACGCCTCAACCTCCCAAGTAGCTAGTACTACAAGTGTGTGCCACCACATCTGGCTAATTTTTCTTGTTCTTAATTTTTATAGAGACGGAGTTCTCACTATGTTGCCCAGGCTGGTCTAGAACTCCTGGCTTCAAGCAATCATCCCACCTCAGCCTCCCAAAGATTGGGATTACAGGTGTGAGCCACTTTGCCCGGCTTTCAGGGACCTTCTTTAGTGAGTCCAAAGAGGGGCTCTCTGAGGAAAGATGCAGAGCTGGCTGGGTGAAGAGCCCAGAGGAGGTCATCATTCCAAGCAGTGAGAGGAGGTGAGAAGTGTGTGGCTTGGTTGGCCTGCTTTAAGAAACAAAAGCAGGCCTGGGTGGCAGAGGTGTGGATGAGAGTGACAGGAGATGAGGGAGTGGGGAGGAGGCAGAGAGCAGATCTTTTGAGGCATGAATATGATAGAGCTGGCCGTAGGGGTGGAGCTGACAGTCAGGGAGTGGGAGGACATTATTAGATCATCACAAGTGTGAGCCCAGGACGGGCCATACACATTGCCTTGAGAGCCTTTGGCAGGGCCACCTTCCAAGTCAGGCTGTGTGTGACTGGAGGGCCTCCGGGGAAGGTAACTTTTAAGCAAAAGTCCATAACAGGAACTGGCTGCAGTGACTCATGCCTGTAATCCCCCTGCACTTTGGGAGGCCAAGATGGATCACTTGAGGTCAGGAATTCGAGACCAGCCTTGCCAACATGGCAAACCCCGTCTCCACTAAAAATACAAAAAATAGCCAGGCATGGTGGTGTGGCCTGTAGTCCCAGCTACTCAGAAGGCTGAGGCAGGAGACTCACTTAAACCCGGGAGGTGGAGTTTGCAGCGAGCCCAGATCATGCCACTGCACTCCAGCCTGGGTGACAGACCAAGACTCCGTCTCAAAAAAAATAAATAAATAAACCCACCACAGTGGTTCTCAAAGGTGTGGTCCCCAGGCCAGCTGCATCAGCACCACCTGTGAATTTGCTAGAACTACAGATTCCAGCGCCCACCCCAGACCTACTGAGTCCTCCAGAGCACAGAGCACGGAGCCTAACACGTGCTGAATTCATGGCCTCCGAATTGCAAGCTGTCAAGTTCCAGAGTGTGCTGACGTGTTAAGATGCACAGAGTCGTGTCATGGGGACACACCCTAGCCAGCAGGTTGTGCCCACCCCGGCGTGGAATGAGGACAGAGCCCAGCTTGGGTGGGTTTAGCTGATTTTAAGGTGCCAGGGTAGAAACAGAAATGCGTCTGCACAGCTGTGCTGGGTGAAATTTCACACTTGGCAAGGTGTGAACAGAATTAACATTTGCTGGAACAGGTTGGAAGCCTTTAGACTGTGAGTTACAAAATCAGGCAAAGAAAGAAAAAAAAAGGAAGGGGGAAAATTAGGTGATCTTCAACCTCATTAACTCAAGCCCAGCTGCAGAGGATGTTACCAAATTATCCACTAAGAAAACCCACCTGGGGCTGAGAATAAGCCTGAGACTTCAGGCCCCAGGGGTCCTTTTGAAAAGAAAGTTCTCCGCCTGAGAACAGTTGCTCTCACGAAAGCGCCTCCTCCACAGCCCCTGCAGAGCATCAGGCCTCGACACTTTAATTGCTCCGATAGAAACAAGCTAATGGGGTTTTAATAAAAATAGAACCCAAATAGGCGTTGATCCCCTATTTTTTGCAACCAGAGGCACTGCCACAGTTTCAGTGCCATCGGTGCTAGCTAGGGGGGTCTCCATGCCATGAGACCCTGGTGAGAATTAAATAAGGAAAACAAGCTTATGGATTCGATATTTTGAGAGCTTCAACAAAAACCAGAACTCTGTCAACAACAGCCTGGTTTATCCTAGGTCCAGGGAAAAACAGGTCAAGACACATGCCCCAAATCACTAAAGGCAATAAAAGCTTGGTAGGGGTAGGGGTGCCCGCGGTCCTGCTCCCCAGCACTGGAGTGAGCAGGACACTGGCTGCCCCTCAAGATAATTTGAATCTTCAAAAAGTAAGTAAGATGTCCGTTTTTTTGGCCAGGTGTGGTGGCTCACGCCTGTAATCCCAGCACTTTGGGAGATGGAGGAGGGTGGATCACCTGAGGTCAGGAGTTCAAGACCAGCCTGGCCAACATGGCATAATCCTATCTCTACTAAAAATACAAAAATCAGGTGGGCATGGTGGCTCACACCTGTAATCTCAACTACTCAGGAGGCTGAGGCATGAGAATGGCTTGAACCCAGGAGGCAGAGGTTGCAGTGAGCCGAGATTGCGCCACTGCACTCCAGCCTGGGCGACAGAGCAAGACGCTGTCTCAAAAAAAAGTCCGTTTTTAGTGCATCTGTAGTTTCAGGTAGGATCATTTAGTAATTAGGGGTCCAGGCTCTGGGCTGGGAGCCCCCAAGTTCAAACCCCAGCTTTGCCATTTTGGAGCCACGTGACGTGGGAGTACGGTGCTTAGCTCAGTGCCCCACTTTCCTCATCTGTAAAACGGGAACCATGATTATACTCACCTGGTAGGATTTTGAGGTGCACTAAATGGGTTCTATGTAAAATGCTTAAAGCAGTGTCCTGCACGTGGTAAGCCCTTGAGTAATGCTGGCTAGTGGGGGAGATCGGGAATAAACAAGTAACAATGAGGATTTCAGACAGGGATAGAACCATGAAGAAGACAAGCAGGCTGAGGTGGTAAATAATGGGGGCAAGAGGGGTGGCTGCACTGTAAGAAGGGCCCTCTGGGTAGTCTGTGGAGCCACCGGACACACAGAGGCCTGGAGCATCCAGGCAGGGGAGCCAGGAAGCCAAATCTTTAAATGGGGAACAGTGTAGGCATTCCAGGCTGGAGAAGGATGGTGATATAGTTTGACGATGTCTCCACCCAAGTCTCATCTTGAATTGTAGTTCCCATAATCCCCACGTGTGGTGGGAGGGGCCCCGTGGGAAGTAATTTAATCATGGGGGCGGTTTTCACCGTGCTGTTCTCGTGATAGTGAGTGAGTTCTCACAGATCTGATAGTTTTATAAGGGGCTTTCCCCCTTTTGCTTGGCACTTCTCTTTCCTGCTGCCATGTGAAGAAGGATGTATTTGCTTCTCCTTCTGCCATGATCGTAAGTTTCCTGAGGCCTCCCCAGCCATGTTGAACTGTGAGTCAATTAAACTGCTTTCCTTTATAAATTACCTAGTCTCGGGTATGTCCTTATAGCGGTGTGAGAACAGACTAATACAGATGGCCTTGGGAAACCAGGACACCCCCCTTGGGAGGCTTCTGTGATAAAGGAGGTGAGAGATGAAGGTGCCTGGGGCCAGAGGGAGAACTGTGGGGATGTCAAGAAGTGAAGGGAGCCAAGAGGATGTGGTGACGACAGGATTCCAGATGACTTGCAGGCTTGTGGCTTCAGAGCTGGGATGAGAAAGCCCCGGGAGAAACAGCTTTGGCCTAAGATGCCATAGCCCCACCTGGCTGTGCGCTGCAGCCCTCCTACCTCTATCCGGGGCATGCTTCATCCCACCTGGCTGTAAGCCCAGCAGCACTTGCATAATTTCCCACTTGACTTTTGTCCCTTACTTTCCACATCGCTCCAAGATATTTACAACTAGTGTTCTTGCTTAGGACATAAGAGTGTGCCCCAGGCCAGGCACAGCAGCTCATGCCAGTAATCCCAGCACTTTGGGAGGCTGAGGTGGGAGGATCACTTGAGGCCAGGAGTTTGAGACCAGCCTGGGCAACATAGTAAGACCACATCTCTACAAATAATTTAAAAATTAGCCAGGTGTGGTGGCAGCACCTGTGGTCCCAACTATTCAGAAAGGCTGAGGTAGGAGAATTGCTTGAGCCTGGGCAGTCGAGGCTGCAGTGAGCCGTGATGGCGCCACTGCACTCCAACCTGGGCAACAGAGCAAGACCCTGTCTCAAAAAAAAAAAGTGCCCCTTATGGCTGCATCACTGTTTACATAACATTTGTCCTTTGCTGGAGACACAGCCTGTTTGTTTTTTTACAGTTTTTTCTTGTTGTTGTTGTTGTTTTGAAACGGACTCTTACTCTGTCACCCAGGCTGGAGTGCAGTGGCACAATCTCAGCTCACTGCAACCTCTGCTTCCCAGGTTCAAGCGAGTCTCCTGCCTCACCCCTGAGTAGCTGGGGTTACAGGCATGCACCACCACGCCTGGCTAATTTTTGTATTTTTAGTAGAGATGGGGTTTCACCATGTTGGCCAGGCTGCTCTCAAACTCCTGACCTCAAGTGATCTGCCCGCCTCGGCCTCCCAAAGTGCTGGGATTACAGGTGTCAGCCACCAATCCCGGCCTGTTTGTTTTTTAAATAGAGACAGTGTCTTGCTATGTTGCCCAGTCTGGTCTCAAACTCCCGGCTTCAAATGATCCTCCTACCTCGGCCTGCCAAAGTGCTGAGATTACAGATGTGAGCCACTGTGTCCGGCCCAGTGATGGAGCCTGTTTCTATCTAGACAGTAACCAAAACCCATGGCCGTTTCCTAAGACTATCAGTTTGCAAATGGAGTCCTTGAGCAGTTCAGTAAGGGGAAAACATTTTAGAGTTTAGGGGCTTTTATTTTAAAACTTTCATATTTTTACTGTGTTAAATTGATGACATATATAATACATGGTCCTGCATGTACAGACTTCTGAAAGATTCAAGTAACCAGAACAAAACAAGTCCCCTTCACCATCGCCTCCCACACCCACACCCAGCTCCGGGAGGTAACAACATCAACAAACAGATGGCTTCCCTCCAGTTCCTTTCAACGCCTTCATGCTCACATGTAGTCCTTTATGTAGGTTGGATCCTATTATACATTCTGTTCTGTGCCCTCCCTTTTTTACCTAACAATATCTCGGAGATCTATCTACCTTATTCTTGTTTAACAACCACAGAGGTTTTCAGAGTAGGGAAAGATCATATTCTATTTAACCACTCAACTTCTCTGAAGGATTTGGGCTGTTCATAAATTTTCACAACGTTACGGTGAACGTCACAGGACTTACATGCAGCCGCATGTGCAAGGATTTCTGTAGTGCAGACTTCTGGAAAGGTGGAATTGATGGAGCATAGAGTAAGTACATTTAAAATTCTGATAGGGGGCCGGGCGCGGTGGCTCATGCCTATAATGCCAGCACTTTGGGAGGCAGAGATGGAGGACTGCTAGAGTTCGAGACCAGTCTGGGCAACATAGCAAGACCCACATCTCTTAAAATTCTGATAGGGACTACCAAATTTTCTGCCCAAAGTCTGCCTTTTTCTAAAAACAAAAAGTATATTTAATGACAAAAGTAACATTCCTGTAAACATGTAATGAATACAAACAAGACCAGAAAATAAGTTTTAAAACACCCAGAATTTCATTACCTAGAAGTGGCGATATTAACATACATAGTCAATTTGAGTCATTTTACCATGCATATAGGTAGAGATAAATTTTTAATGAAAATGTGGTCAGAACGTAGACTCTTTAGTAACCTGCCTTTTGCAGTTAACTATATGCAACAAAGCTCTTTCCAAGTCATTAAAGATTCTTGGATTTTGTTTTGTTTTGTAAAGATGGGCTCTCACTAGGTTGACCAGGTTGGTCTTGAACTCCTGGCCTCAAGCAGTCCTCCCATCTCAGCCTCCCAAAAAGCTGGGATTACAGGCATGAGCCACTGCACCTGGCCTAAAGATACATCTATGGTGACATTCCAGATTCTTAACATCATTTAGGGACAAGAAAAGGGAAGCTTATGTGGAAGGAAGGAAGGTAAAAAATTTTTTTAAGACTATGCTAAAAGCAGCATTGACAATTCCTAACTTTGCTTATGTAGGAAAATTATTCTACAACCCTGGTTCCTGGAGGTCTTTGAGAATCTGATAAAGCTGAGGCGGGTGCATCACATGAGGCCAGGAGTTCGAGACCAGCCTGGCCAACATGGTGAAACCTCATCTGTACTAAAAATACAAAAATTAGCTGGGCGTGGTGGCAGGCACCTGTAATCCCAGCTACTCAGGAGGCTGAGGCAGGAAAATTGCTTGAACCCGGAGGCAGAAGTTGCAGTGAGCTGGGATTGCGCCCCTGCACTCCAGCCTGGGCAACAGAGCAAAACTCTCTCGAAAATAAAAAGAGTATGGGCTCTTGATTCAGACACAAGAAACACAACTTTGAATCCTGGCTTTACTACATACTCTTCAAACCCTCCGCCTGTTTCTTCACTTGTAAAATACAGACGATAATCAGCAGGTTCTAGGGTTGCTGTGAAGTTTAAATAAGTTCATACACATAAAATGTTTGCAACAAGGTCTACACACAGTAAGTGGTAATTAAATGCCAGCTCTCATTATTTCCAGTGTTTTGCCCTTGTGACATTTCTAACCATATCTTTGTGCACATCTGTGATTACTTCCAAAGGATAAATTCCTAGATGTAGAATAGCTGGGTGGAATCATGAGCATGTTTATGAGATTTGGTTTTGGTTTTTTTTTTGTTTGTTTGTTTGAGACAGAGTCTCACTCTGTTGCCCAGGCTGGAGTGCAGTGGCGCAATCTCAGCTCACTGCAACCTCTGCCTCCTGGGTTCAAGTGATTCTCCTGCCTCAGCCTCCTGAGTAGCTGGGATTACAGGCATGCGCCACCATGCCCCACTATTTTTTTTTTTTTTTTGTATTTAGTAGAAACGGGGTTTCACCATGTTGGCCAGGCTGGTCTCGAATCCCTGACCTCAAATGATCCACCCGCCTCGGCCTCCCAAAGTTCTGGGATTATAGACGTGAGCCACTGAGCCTGGCCATGTTTATAAGATTTTGGATACATGATGCAAAACTCTTCTCTAAAGCCTCAGATTCAATGATGGTTCTAGGACTGGTTAACAGTGGTAAAGAAAATGCACAAAAATCCTTGCCCTCCTGGAGTTTCCATTAGAAAGGGAGTAGACAGTCAAACTGAAAATGTGATCTATTGGGAGGTGACAAGTGCTATGGAGGAAAATAAAGCAGGGCTGGGCTTAGGAGGGCTGAGACAGGGTGGGGGCTGCAGTTCTACAGAGGGTGGTCGGGGGGCTTCCCTGAGAAGGTGACATTGGAGCACAAAGACTTGAAGGAGGGAGGGAAACATGCAGACGCCTGAGGGGAGAGTGTTCCAGGCAGAGGGAATAGCATGTGCAAAGGTCCTGAGGCAGGAACTTGCCTGAGTGGAGGGGGGAGGATGGGAGGAGAAGAGGATAGAGCAGCGAAGGGGTGGGACATGTCATGGAGGGCCTGGTGGGTTGAATCGAGCTACACTTTTTTTGTTTGTTTGAGACAGAGTGTTGCTGTGTTGCCCAGGCTCGAGCGCACTGGCACGATCTCGGCTCACTGTAACCTCCATCTTCCAGGTTCAAGCATTTCTGGTGCCTCAGCCTCCCAAGTAGCTGGGACTTAAAGGCATACACCACTAGACATGGCTAATTTTTGTATTTTGGGTAAAGACGGGGTTTCGCCACGTTGGCCAGGCTGGTCTCGAACTCCTGACTTCCAATGATCCACCCGTCTTGGCCTCCCAAAGTGCTGGGAGGGAGCAGTGTTAATTTCATACCACTGTAGCTCTAGGAAGGGTGAAGCAGGCATTCAAAAAGACAATGAGAACTAATCAAAATTGTGTTTTCCTTGTTTCAACTTGTGCTTAAAAGCACTAAAAGGAAGTGACGACTCTCATTGTTTCCCAAGAAAATCAGAGGTTCCTTGTTTTCTCAGTAAAACATGCGAATATTTCAGATACTCAAATCCAGATACTTTTTTCCTAAAACACTAAGAACCAAGAGTAAAATGAAAAGACACACACCTGTTTTGTTTGTTACTGGGTGGTGTTCTCAGAAAAACCATCTGCCAGGCATGCAACCCGAGGCAGTGTCTATCAGGGGAATGTAGGGCTGAGATCACAGTGCCCATGATAGAGGGTACCCGTGCCCAAGGCCTCATCCCTCCTCTTCCTGCCACACGTCCCACCACAAAGCCTCAGTCTCAGAGACACATGCAGAGGGCAGAAAGGCCAGCTCGGAGATTACAGTTCAGGGTGAGGAAGTAGCAAACCACAGGTTCATCTGGCGGACCACTGTGGCTGAAATAAGTGAGCTAGAATTTCCACGCACTTCCCCAAACAGCAGAATCTGTGCCTTGAAGAAACTAGGAAGTTCCAGGGACTTGGGAAGGACCAGAGTTTGACCTGAAATGGTTATAAATGAGGGGAGGGCCAGGTAAGGTGGCTCACACCTGTAATTCCAGCACTTTGGGAGGCTGAGGAGGGTGGGTCACTTGAGGTCAGGAATTGGAGACCAGCCTGGCTAATGGCAAAACCCCGTTTCTACTAAAAATATAAAATTTAGCCGGGTTTGGTGGCAGGTGCCTGTAATCCCAGCTACTTGGGAGGCTGAGGCAGAAGAATTGCTTGACTCTGAGAACTGGAGGTTTCAGTGAGCCAAGACCACACCACTGCACTCCAGCCTGGGCAACAGAATGAGACTCTGTCTCAAAAAAAAAAAAAAAAAAAAAAAGAAAAAAAAGAAAGGAAGCAAATATTGGTATAGTATGAAGGCTGGGGTTGTGGTCCCAGCTACTCGGGATGCTGAGGTGGGAAGATCGCTTGAGCCTGGAAGGATGAGGCTGCAGTGAGCTATGATGGCACCACTGCTGTCCAGCCTGGATAACAGAACGAGACCGTTTCTCAAAAAAAAAAAAGAAAAGAAAAGAAAAAATTGAGGCTGGTAAATGTGCCTGATGGCTTAGGGGGTCAAAAATGCGCCCTGGCTTGATGAAGTGGCTTCTCCACTATTACCAGCATTTCCATCTGTTGCTTTGCTTGTCAACAATATGTCACTGATCACCTACTGTGCACAGGCACAGGGCCAGGTGCCCAAAGAGAGGACAGAAAGAAATATATCTGGAGGAGCTGCCAGTTCCTGCAGGGGACGGAGGGACACTCTGAACCACAAGAGCCTTGGCAAAGTGCCCCTCAAGACTTCCCTTCTCCAAGTTAACACTTATCAGCTTGTTCTTTTTCTCCTCCTTTCCTTTCCCCTTTTCTTTGTCTCCATTCTCTCTCCTTCCTTCCCTCTCTTCTTCTTTCCTTCCTTCTTTCTCTTTTGCAGATTGGTACAGCTTTATCATCAAGAAGTTAGAGTTCACATAATAATTTGTCTTGATAACTGTACCTTAGTTCAATTTCGTTTTTAGCAGAAATAACAAGTGCTTGTTGAAAAGATAAAACCATATGAAAACATCAAAATAAACCTAGCAAATCCTCACTATCTCCATGCCCCACTCTTCCTCTCCTGAGAATCACTATTAACAACTTACCATTTACTTTCCAGGTAAGACTTTTCTCCCCCATGCATACACATATTTCTGTATACAGTTTTTAGAAAGTGAATATGAATTCTTCCTGTTTAACTTACTGGTGTGTTCTCAGCTCCTGGCACATAGTAGGCATTGAAAGCATTTCTTGAACAAATAAATTATGAATTTCTGAAAATTATCTCTTATTCAAAAATACATCATGGGCCGGACACAGTGGCTCAAGCCTGTAATCCCAGCACTTTGGAAAGCTGAGTCAGGTGGATCACTCGAGGTCAGGGGTTCGAAATCAGCCTGGCCAACATGGTGAAACCCCGTCTCTTTCAAAAAATACAAAAATTAGCTGGGTTTGGTGGCATAAGTCTGTAATCCCAGCTGCCCGGGAGGCTGAGGTGGGAGAATCGCTTGAACCCAGGAGGGAGAGGTTGCAGTGAGCCAAGATCACGCCACTGCACTCCAGCCTGGGCAACAGAGTAAGACCCTGTCTCAAAATAAATAAACAAATAAATAATACATCGTGGACATCCTTCCATGTCACCTACCTCCATCTTTTTATGGCTGTGTGATATTCCATAGAATGGCTGCGTCATTATCCAACCAGAACCCTGTTGTCAGATGTTAGGCTGTCTCTGTGTTTTCATTGTTTGAGATGATTGTTCCTACATCCTTGCACACTTGTGTATTCTGTAGGCAAGTGTAGAGGACAGAATAATGGCCTTCCAAAGATGCCCACATGCTAATGCTCAGAACCTGTGAATTTGTTACCTTGCATGACAAGAGACTTGCAGACGTGCTTAAATTAAGGCTCTTGCGGTAGGTGGGGGGAGGTGATCCTGGATTGTGGGGTAAGCCCATTATAATCATAAGGGTCCTTGTAAGAGAGAGGCAAGAGAGTCACAGAGCAGGCCATGTGATGCAGAAGCAGAAGGGAAGAAGGAGATGCAGTGACAGAAGCAGAGGCCAGAGTGATGCCATTGTTGAAAGGACTACAAGCCAAAGGAGGCCTCTAGAAGCTGGAAAAGGCGAGGAAATGAAGTCTTCCCTGTAGCCTCCAGGATTGTGGCCTTGCCAACCCATTGGACTTCTGTCCTCCAGAACTATGAGGTTATGAATTTGTGCTCCTTAGCCTGCCCAGTTCGTTATTGTGATTTGTTATCGCCACAATAAGATGCAAACTGAGCCAGAGACCTAGAAATGAAATTGCTGGCATCTTAGTCTGTTCAGGCTGCTATAAAAAACACCATACCCTGGGTGGCTTATAAAGAGCAGAAATTTACATTTGACAGTTCTAGAGGCTGGGATGTCCAAGATCAAGATGACAATAATTCCTTGTCTGGTGAGGGCTGTTTCCTAGTTCATAGATGGCACTTTCTGGCTGTGTCCTCCCATGGTGGAAGCGGTTAGTTAGCTCTCTGTGACCTCCTCCATGAGGGCTCTGCCTCATCACCTCCCAAAGCACCCCACTTCCTAATACCATCACTTTGGTGATATGAATTTGTCACGACAGCTGGGGGAGATGTAAACCTTCAGACCAAAGCACTGGCTCAAAGACTAAATTCATTTTCTAAATTCATGCACCATCACTCATACACACAGCGGTTTCCATCCCGCTCACTGCCCTCCAGCTGCTGTCTAATATTTCTATGACCTTCTCAAAATGTCAATCCCAGAACGACCTGCCTGTCCACACACTGCTGACCCGTGCATAGTAAGCATTCTGCTGGGTTTGATCAGCATCCTTGGGAACTGCACATTAAGCTGTGCTCATTCAGCTAGAAATGACCTGAGCGCTTCAGTCTTCAGTCACGCCTCTGCTGTCCTATTCTCGTGCCATTGGTTTGTTTTTGACATTGGGGCAGAACTTTACTTTTATCCCTCCTAAATTTCACATTGTCTAAGTAAAATGGGGAGAGATGAGAATCTTCAGTGTCAAATTACTGAGTAGTTCTTTGTTGCCATTTCATTTCCATGAGTTTTTGGAGAATGGAAAGAGCAGGTGGATTTGGCCCTTAAATCTCATAGGGAAAAAGAAAGTGAATAGAAATAACATCATAAATAATAGAGAGGGTAAAAGCCTCCATATCAGAAATGGCTCAACCTCAGGGATTTTAACGCCTAAGAAGTGATATTTATTTTTTATTTTTTATTATTTTTTTGAAACAGGGTCTCACTCTGTCGTCCAGGCTGGAATGCAGTGGCACGATCTTGGCTCACTGCAGCTTCGGCCTCCTGGGCTCAAGTGATCCTCCCACCTTAGCCTCTCAAGTAGCTGGGACTACAGGCACACAGCTAATTTTTGTTGTTGTTGTTGTTGTTGAAACAGGGTTTCACCATGTTGCCCAGGCTGGTCTCAAACTCCTGACCTCAAACGATCCGCCTGCCTCGGCCTCCCAAAGTGCTGGGATTACAGGTGTGAGCCACCGCACCTTGATCAGAAGGGATATTTATACAGGAAAGCTCCATAGGACAGTCCAGCTCAGCAGGGACTGGTTTAATGTTGGGAATTCTATTTTGTCATTAGTTCCAGAGCAGCCAAGCCACCAAAATATCACTTGGATGCTGCCAGCTTCCTCCAGTGCAGGTAGAGGAGGTGTCCTGGGAGCCCACAGGCTGCATTCCCATGAGACAGACGCCCCCATCAGTCCCCTAGGACCCCGCCCAGTATAGGGCAAGCAAGCTCTCAATGGTTGACAGTCCCTTGGGTCTTTATGTCCTGACTAGGAATAGGAGGTCTTACAAAACTGAAACAAGTTAGAATTTGAAGAGGGCTAATTCCATCCCGGCCCCTCCTTTTACAGACAGGAACCGAGGCTGGGTCATCGGCTCCAGAATTTACCAGGCTGTGCATTGTAGAACCTCCTCATGGACGGGCTCTGTGTGCAGGCTTTACTCTGGCCAATGGCAGGTGCGTTACCAGACAGGAACGCTTCTGGACAATGCTCCCCGACTCTTGTGTCAGAAGCACTGGATTCCTTTCCTGTGGCTGTCGTAACAAAACACCACAAACTAGGTGGCTTAAAACAACAGCGATTTATTCTCTCACAGTTCTGGGGGCTAGAAATCCAAAATCAAGGTGTCAGCAGGGCCACGCTCCCTCTGAAGGCTCTAGGGGAGAATCCTTCCTTGCCTCTTCCTAATTTCTGGTGGTTTCCTTGGCCGCAGCTGCGTCAGTCTGATCTCTGCCTCCATCGTCACACACGGTCTTCTGCTGTGTGTCACCGTGCTCTCTTCGTTCTGTGCATGGCTGTCTCTGTGGCCAAATTTTCCCTTTTATAGACACCAGTCATATTGGATTAGAGCCCACCCTAATGAGCTCTTCTTGAATTGATGACATCTGCAAAATTCCTATTCCCAAAATAAAGTCACATTTACTGATATGGGGGTGAGGACTTCAACATATATTTTTTATTATTTATTTATTTATTGAGATGGATTCTCATTCTGTCACCCAGGCTGGAGTGCAGTGGTGTGATCTCAGCTCACTGCAACCTCCACCCCCCAGGTTCAAGCAATTCTCCAGCCTCAGCCTCCCGAGTAGCTGGGGCTACAGGCATGCGCCATTGTGCCTGGCTAATTTTTGTATTTTTAGTTGAGACAGCGTTTCACCATGTTGGCCAGGTTGGTCTTGAACTCCTGACCTCAGGTGATCCACCCACCTCAGCCTCCCAAAGTGCTGATATTACAGGCATGAGCCACCACACCAGGACTTCAACATATATTTTAGAGATGCAGTTCAACTCATAACAAGCACCTTCTACCAGGAGACAGAATGAAGCTGGTAACAAAGGCCCAGAGACACTGGTTCCTTTAGCCAGAGCCTGGTGATACTGCGGAGTACCTCGACAGGCAACCCTGAAACTAGTATCCCTGGGCCAGATGTTTAATGGGCATGTAAGAGGCTGTCCCTGAGTCAGAGCTTGCAGAAGGAGGGGCTGGTACAAGGTCCAGCCTCTCCTCAACTGTCCTGAGCCCCTAACTCAGCAAAACAGAAGCCCTGGCGTTCTTCAGCCACCTGCCATAGGGTCCAGCAAGCAATTGTCATGACTACTTACTCACATCCTTGCCATCTTTCCTCCCTCACTCCAAGAGGCTCACCAAAGCACCCCTCCCTACCCCACACACGGCTTTCCCTGAGAAGAGCTCTGATTAATTCATATGGTTGCCTCCTTCTCATGGCATTTCCAATATGTCATGGTGCCCCTTACTGACTGGCCTCCCAGGCAGCTCTCGGGCTTGCAGCTCTCAGCCTTGGGGAACGAGGCTGCACCATGTCCAGGGCCTTGCTGCCTGGGTGCTTACTGGTTTCAAAACATTGCCACTGGGCTGCTTGTCCTGATCCTTCCTCCGACTTAGTTCAGTCAAGGTTTGCAGATGTACCCTGATCTGTCACCTGGAAAACATCAAGACCCAGCCTGTCCTGTTTGTGTGTGGCCACTCAGGCTAATCCATTCCGCAGGGGCAGGGAAGGCAGCCCAGACTGCTTCCTTCCAAGTTCTTTCATCTTTGACTGGATGCATTTCTCAAGCCGACTCTCGGCCTAGATAGAAAATTGCAGCAGAGTTTTTACGTTGGGCAGTTCTAAAAATGCCACCTAAGAGCTTGCACCTGTGCTGAATGCTTCCCATGTGTAATAGAAGCACAGGTATGAAGGTGGGAATGTTCCCAGCTGTCCCAGGCCCACTAAAGAGGGCTCTGGCATTGCCTACTGTTTGCTTCCACGCCCTCCCTAAAGCATCTTGCCACTGCCAGACAAGTTCTGAGAGACAGAAGGGGAAAGAACTGTCCCGAGGAAGCAAGGTCAAAGGCAGTACACCTCATGGCAGGTGGCAACAGGACTGCTGTGCAGACTCACCCGTTGAACATGCTATGAGTGCTGCCTTCTGTAATTGGGCCCCTGGCTGCAGGGCAGAGGCCTGGCAAGGTGGCAGGGGTGGAGCAGACATGAGTAGAAGAAGGAGATTTTCTGTAGAGGAGGATAAGCATCTTATGGGAGTTGCATGTGTTACAGAGGACGGTGATGAGCCCAGAGTGGCTGTGGCATATACGCCTAGACCCCCATCATGTTCTTCAGGAGACATGAGCACTCACTGGAATTCCAATGGGCTGTTGTTCTTTTAGACTCTACCCCGAGACTGGACCACATGGGTCTCAAAACCTCCATAGGGTCCCACTTGCATTGTCCTATATAATCCTCACAACCACCCGGAAGCATTGGTGTTATTATTATCCCCATTTTACAGATGAGAAAATCAAGGGCCAGGCAGGCCAAGTGACTGGCTAAAGATCTCCCACAGCCGATATGTGCAGAGCTGGTGTTCCGTGAAAGAGCCTATATTAGTTAGGGTTCTCTAGAGGGACAGGACTAATAGGATATATATATATATATATATATATGTTAAGAATTAACTCACATGATCACAACGTCCCACAATAGGCTGTCTGCAAGCTGAGGAGCAAGGAGATTCAGTCCAAGTCACAAAACTGAAGAACCTGGAGTCTGATACTTGAGGGCAGGAAGCATCCAGCATGAGAGAAAGATGTAGGCTGGGAGGCTAGGACAGTCTAGTCTTTTCACATATATATATATATATATATATATATTTTTTTTTTTTTTGGCCTGCTTTATAGTCTAGCCTCACTGGCAGCGGATTAGATTGTGACCACCCAGATTAAGAGTGGGTCTGCCTTTCCCAGCCCACTTATTCAAATGTTAATCTCCTTTGGCAACACCCTCACAGACACACCCAGGATCAATACTTTGCATCCTTTAATCCAATCAAGTTGACACTCAGTATTAACTATCACGGAGCCATATGTGCAAAGCGATCCCCAAATGCCAAAGGAGCCAAGAAACAAAGGAGGCAGACAAATCCTGTTTGTCAGTATTGGATGATTTATTGGGGGAACTCACAGACAGAAGCGTGGTCTTGGGTGGCCATAATACAGGTAGATCTCCCACTGTTACTCCCAAGACCTCAGGCTTGTATACCATAGAGAAAGGGTACATGTGTTCCAGCAAGAAAATTACAGGCACCCCTCCAGAACAGGCAAGAACACTGTGTGTGTCACAGCCCACAATTTGTGCGATAACATCAAGGTTGACGTGTTCTTACACTAGGGACAGGAAATAAAGTAGAAACAAGGAGGCATTCACAGGACTAAGCTAATCAGAAGTCAAACCTAGGGATGCATCCAAAATGGAGTTGCTCTTGTCTCTACAGCTAGGATTTAGAACCTGGACCTGGACGCCTCACTGCTTCCTGCTTCCTTAGTGCCTTGTGGCCTGGAGTCAGAATAATCTAGCTCAAACTTGGGAGTCAAATGCTCCAGGGTCTTGAACTGGTCAGAGCTCTCAATGCCGTAAGTACCTACAACCCCCTTGGGATGTGCTGTGGGGGGACCATCAGGTGTCTCTGCAGCCCAGGAAAGGCATTCACAGTGCCCTCAGGGAGAGTCTGCAAGGGCTGGCCAGAGCCGCTGCCCACAAGGAAAGCTGGCCTAATGTGCTCTGGCTTCCCGCCTTTCTCCATTTGGCCTAAGAACAGAGAACACCCTCATCCCCCACCCTTACCCACACCCCCACTCCCAGGACTCCCCGGGCTGCAAGGGTCACATGGCTGGGAGGAGGCGAGTCTGAGTGGGTCCCCTCCCAGCAGGCTGTCAGTGTGAGATTACAAATAACTGGCAGTTCCCATAATTACTGTGCTGCCCAGAAGCCTGGGCTGTCTATTCTGAAGTAAGGGTGACTAAAGGTCAGGGCTCCACGATCAGCCCCGGCTCAGGTTCTGGTTCTTCCATGGTACTGGTCTCATGACCTCAGGCAAGTGAGCGAGGCAGGCAAGACTGGGGCTGGCACGCAGCTCACCCTCACTGCTGCATTCAGTCCATTCCAGCACCCATCCATGAATCAGCACCCATTCTCCTGGCCAGCAGCCATCCCCTGACTGATCAGCACCCATCCCTCCTGACCAGGACCCATCCCCCCCAATTATCACCCACCCTCCTGACCAGGACCCATCCCCCTGACAAGCACACATCCCTCCTGACCAGCAGCCATCCCTCCTAACCAGGACCCATCCCCCTGACCAGCACCCATTCCTTGATCAGCACCCATCCCCCGAACCAGCACCCATCCCTCCAGACTACCACCTTTCCCCCAACCAGCACCCATCCCCCTGATCAGCACCTATCTCCCTTGACCTGCACTGAATCCTCCTGATCAGCACCCATCCCCCTGACCAGCACCCATTCCCTGACCCCACCACCACACCCGGCTAATTTTTTGTATTTTTAGTAGAGACGGGGTTTCTCCATGTTGGTCAAGCTGGTTTCAAACTCCCGATCTCACGTGATCCACCCGACTCAGCCTCCCAAAGTGCTGGGATTGCAGACATAAGCCACCGCGCCCCACTGCCTCATCACCTTTTAAAGGCCCCACCTCTTAATACTATCACATGGCCATTAAGTTTCAACACTTGGGCCAGACACAGTGGCTCAGGCCTGTAATCTCAGCACTTGAGGAGGGTGAGGCAGGAGGATAGCTTGAGGCCAGAAGTTCAAGACCAGCCTGGGTAACATAGCAAGACCCCATCTCTACAAAATAAAAATTAAAAAATTAGGCGTGGCGTCATGCCTGTCATCTTGGCTACTCCAGAGACTGAGTCGGGAGGATCGTTTGAGCCCAGGAGGTTGAGGCTATAGTGAGCCATGTTCATGCCACTGCACTCCAGCCTGGGCAACAGACTGAGACCTTGTCTCTAAAATAAGGAGTTTCAACCCCTAGATTTTGGAGAGGACACTTTTAAATCATAGCAAAACCTAGTCCCCAATGTGATGGTACTAGGAAGTGGGCCTTTGAGGGGTGAGACGTAAGGGTGGGGCCCTCAGGAATGGGATTAGTGTTCCTTGTAAATGAGGTCCAAGGGAGTTCATAGGACACAGCTAGAAGGCACCATCCATGAATCAGAAAGTAGGCCCTCACTAGACACTGAATCTGCTGGTGCTTTGATCTTGGACTTCCCAGTCTCCAGGACTGTGAGCAACACATTTCTGTTGTGTATAAGCCACTCAGTCTATGATGTTTCATTATTGCACCCCCAACAGGCAAAGACACTTTCAGAAGAGGAACGAAGGCCTGGAAGGAAAAGCATCAGGGGAACGACGCTTACGTCTCTCCTCCTCCCTCCGGTCTCCCACCAGTGCTCCCATTGGCTGAAGCCAACCAGAAGCCACAGGGTAAGGGATCCCAGGCCATAGGGCACCCCCAGGTCAGCCATCCAGGGTTCGGAGCAAGCTGAAGGGAAGATGGTAGGTGGAGAGGGGCAAATGGAGAACAGTCAAGTCTAGGCAGATGGCACTGTGCATGTAAAACCCAGCTAGGAGAGCCACCAGGGGGCTGGTGAGCAGCCAGAACCCAGCTCTTCAAATCTTCAGGCCAGTGTCCTCACCTGTAAAACAAGGATTTGAACCCAAAGAACACCAAGATCCCCTCTCATACTAGGATTCCAGCTGATCACCCCGGCCTGGGCCTGGGCTCTGCTCTTTGCCCCTGCTCCCCCCAGCAGAGAAGTAGTCCAGCAAGTGTTTTCTGAAGGTGATGAAACGCTGCCTTTGGCAGTTTGCAAGGTGTACTAATGAAAGGCAAGATGCTCTTGGCAGCAATTGTATCTTCAAACATGGAGCATATATGCGTCTACCTATGTTAAAATTATAGACAAAAATAATGAATTGAGGCATTTAAAAAAGACTGGAAGGAAAAACAACCACAGATTTTGACAGCTATGGTCTGTGGGTGTTTTTTGCTTTTTATAGTTTTCTGTGTTTGCAATTTTTCTAAGTTGAGCGTGGCGGGGTGGGGGAAGTAAGGAAAAATAGTGTGAAACAAAATTCTTTGGACCTTAAGCCTGAATTAGAGTTTAAGAAAATTAGGCTACGGGCCAGGCATGATGGCTCACACTTGGAATCTCAGCATTTTGGGATGCCGAGGCAGGAGGATTGCTTGAGGCCAGGAGTTCCAGACCAGCCTGAGCAACATAGTGAGACCTCACCTCTACAAAAAATTAAAAACTTAGCCAGCGTGGTGGCACATGCCTGTAGTCCCAGCTACTCAGGAGACTGAGGCAGGGGGATGGCTTGAGCCCAGGAGTTGGAGGCTGTAGTGAGCTATGACCACATCACTCCATTCCAGCCTAGACAACAGAGCAAGTCTCCATCTCAGAAAAAAGAAAAGAAAAGAAAAGAAAAGTTGGCTCTGGCCCAGGAGCACGTGGTACAAGATCCTCCTGATTCCCTCCCTCTTCCATCCATCCCTCCTTTTCTCCATATTGACCAAGCACTAAGTATGCCCTGTACCAGTGAGAGGCATCAGAAATGCAATGATAGCAAGGGAGGACCTCCTGCCCCATCAGTAACAAAGGAGAGCATATAAGCATTTTGTTTCGTGGATTTATTTTTCTTTGAAATAACTGCCCCATGTTTTTCTGTCTCAAACAAATCAGCTGACCTGATTAGTAATGTCCTATGAGTGGTGGTTTTCAGTAATCTGTTGCATCCTCATTTGTCTTTCAGAAGCCCACTGTCTGTTCAGATTTCTGACCCTTGGAAAACTGCAGAGCTCAATGATTAAATGAATGGACTTTGGAGCCAGGTGACCCTGGATTCCAATCCTGTCTCCACCACTCCAGGCTCTGAGACCTGGGCCAGTCACTCTGCCCTTCTGGCTTTAGCGTCTCCATTTGTAAAACAGCACAGAGTGCCAGGCAGGTCAGACTGAATGACAGACAGAAGGGACTTAGCGTCTTCTATGCACTGGATTATGTTCCCCTAAAATTCATATACGGAAGCCCTAACCCCCAGTGTGATGGGATTTGGAGATGGGGCCTTTGGAAGGTGCTTATAGCTAGGTGAGGGTATGAGGGTGGGGCCCTCATGATGGGATTAGCGCCCTTATAAGAAGAGACACCAAAGAGCTTGCACACATGTGCTCTCTCTCTCTCTCTCTCTCTCTCTCTCACACACACACACACACACTCTCTCTCTCTCTCCCATGCACAAAGAAGAGGTCATGTTGGCCAGGTGCAGTGGCTCATGCCTGTAATCCCAGCACTTTAGGAGGCTGAGGCAGGAGGATCGCTTGTGCCCAGGAGTTCAAGACCAGCCTGGGCAACATAATGAGACCTTGTCTCTACAAGAATTGTTTACAAAATTAGCTGGGCATCGTGGTGCATACCTGTAGTCCCAGCCATTTGGGAAGCTGGGGTGGGAGGCTCACTTGAGCTCAGGAGGTCAAGGCTGCAGCAAGCTGTGACCATGCCATTGCACTCCAGCCTGGGTGACAGAGGAAGACTCTGTTTCAAAAAAAAAAAGAAAAGAAAAAGAAAAGGTGATATGGGCACACAACGAGATGGCCACCACGTGTAAGCCAAAAGAAGAGGCTTCAGGATGAAACCTACCTTGCCAGCACCTTGATCTTGGACACCCCATCCTCCATAATTGTGAGAAATTCTTCTTGGGTTAAGCCACCCAGTCTATGGTATTTCATTATGGCAGCCTGAGCTAGGGCAGCATAGCTGCAGGAGCAGTGATGGCATGCACTTCTGAAGCCTCTGGTTCATGTCCATCATTAGGTTCGGTCAGGCACCAATCAGTCAGGGAGCTGCAACCACCCCTGTCTGCACTTCCCCAAGGAGTGACTGACCCTCCAGGGCCCATCTGCTCCCAGCTCCTCCACCTCATCTGCCAATTGTTACCAGACTCCCTGTGCACAGCCCTGAGCTGACGGGGGATCTTGAACCCAGGTTTGTTCCCGTGTGTGTACCCTGATCTAGGGGAAGCATCCAGTGGAAGCTGCTGCTTGGCCTCCAGGCCCCAAAGATATGATACAGATGCCTGCAGCCTTGCCCACCACTACCACTCATCTAAGGAATGTGTCCAGAACCTACAGACTCTGTGTATGTGTCCATGAAACAAAAGGCTGAATTATTTCCTGATGTTTCACTTCAGACTGAGGTTTGCTGCAAAAGATGAAGGGAGACAGAAAGAGATTCA
This sequence comes from Homo sapiens, assembly GCF_000001405.40. Lineage (NCBI taxonomy): Eukaryota > Metazoa > Chordata > Mammalia > Primates > Hominidae > Homo > Homo sapiens. Next base: position 58,438,635 of record NC_000016.10, read on the forward strand.
CCCACAGAAGTGAGACTTCATTTCTGGAGGGGGAGAGGCCAGGGAATGGGTGACCCTCCAGAAGGATGAGCTAGAAAAACAGGGTCTCCCAATAAGCAGGTGTGCAGAGCACAGCAACAGGAAACTCATGCAGCAGGCATGAATGAATGAAGGGCCTGCTGTTTACCAGTCCCTGCAGGCACTCTGGGATATAGACAGGCCACAGGCCATGGGGGCTTAGTGGTCCACAACCCCAGGTGCAACCCAGCCCCTCCACTTAGCATCTGCTCGAGGCCAAAAACAGCTGCTGTTATTTCTGCCCGCATCCGTTTTCTATCCCTCTGGGAACCATACCCCTGTTGTCCTCTGGGGATCCATCCCATTGGTTCACATGTTCCCAGAGAAGCTGATAAGTTCCAGGGGAGGAGCCCATGATGCCTCTCACCCCAAGCCAATCAGTAACTCCAACGCTCCCAGCCATGGTGGGTACAGGCATGTGACCAGTTCAGAACACTGGTCACATTCCTGACACGAGCAAATTCACTGGACCTGAAACCAGAGAGGAAGTAGGAACTAGAACGCCTGTCTCCATCTGGCCACAAAATGGAGCCTGAAATTGAAGTGAACACAACAGAAGCAAGAGCCAGAGATGAGAAACCAAGGCTTCTCTGGGTCAGCGGTGCCTGAAACAGATGCATCCCCAGGCCTCTCCGTTCACTGAGTAAATGACCTTTTTTTTGTGAGACGGAGTCTCGCTCTGTCGCCCAGGCTGGAGTGCAGTGGCAGCAATCTCGGCTCACTGCAAGCTCCACCTCCCAGGTTCACACCATTTTCCTGCCTCAGCCTCCCGAGTAGCTGGGACTAAAGGCACCCGCCACCACGCCTGGCTAATTGTTTTTTATATTTTTTAGTAGAGATGGGGTTTCACCGTGTTAGCCAGGATGGTCTCGATCTCCTGACCTCGTGATCCACCCGCCTCGGCCTCCCAAAATGCTGGGATTACAGGTGTGAGCCACCGTGCCTGGCTGTAAATGACCTTTTTTAAAAAACAAAACAAAAAAAACTATTTTCTGTATAAGCCAGTTTAAATTTTTATCACATACAACAGTTGTAATACATGTTCGTACACAAACCAAGTGCAGATTTCTAAAAAAAATAGGGTGCGAACAAAAGACAACGGCGTCTCTAGGTTGCACTTGGTTACTTGTGGTAGGTGAGGGATTTGTTGATGAGGGGCAGATTTGTGATTACTGTTGGAGCTTATCCAATGCAGACAAAAGAGCTTCTCATCTAAGTGGCTTTGTGGATACCAGATAGAGCATGACCTTTTCCCCTTCCTTTTTGAGGGTGCTGCACAAGCTGGTAGATTGGTCCTTGGGAACCCCAAGGGGAGATGCCCCCATGCACCCCCTGAGGGGCCTTTGAGGTTAGAGACCTTCGATTGCCCCCCACCCCCACCCCTGCAGCTGTCTAGGATGGCCATAGGTCCAGGCAGGCTCACTTACCCAGCATTAACACACCAAACTCACCCGGGAATGGGATTCTTAGATCAAGAGAGGGGCAAAGAAAGAAGAGAAGGTTGGCAGAGTGACAGAAGGAATTTCATGTCCAGATGGGGAGTGGCAGGAAGCAGCTAGATCTGTTCTTAGTCAAGTAACAGAACTTGGCACCCATAGGGGCTCAATAGACTGGTGCTCTCATACATACAAAAGAACAAACGAAGGAACGAGTAGACCTCTCAGAGGAGCAGCATAGAGATGGCTATGATCCAGGAGTTTCTCAAGACTTTGGGATGCCATTTGGCAGAGTGTACCCCAAGTTTGTCATTCAGATTTTTGCCACATTTCCATGCTACTTCACTGTCACTAACTATATATATCTATATATACACACACATATATGTATATATATACATATATGTATACATGTACGTGTATATATATATATATAGAGAGAGAGAGATATATATATATATAGAGAGAGAGAGAGAGAGAGACTTGCTCTGTTGCCCAGGCTAGAGTGCAGTGGTGCAATTTTGGCTCACTGTAACCTCCGCCTCCTGGATTCAAGCCATTCTCCTGCCTCAGCCTCCTGAGTAGCTAGGACTACATGCCCACACTACCACGAGGGCTAATTTTTGTATTTTTAGTAGTGACGGTGTTTCACCATATTGGCTAGGATGGTCTTGAACTCCTGACCTCAAATGATCTGCCCATGTTGGCCTCCCAAAGTGCTGGGATTACAGGCATGAGCCACCGTGCCTAGCCCAATTTTGTTTTTAATGGATGAATGATCAAATGCATGAATTTTGTGCCTGTTTCCTCTAGGAAATTTGGTATGTTTGGAGGACAGGGTGTCTGCCTTCTTCCTGGCTGTAATCTCTGGTCTTCCTCTACATCTACTGACATCTTCTTTCTTCTTTCTTCTTCTTCTTCCTCTTCCTGTTTTTTTTTTTTTTTTTTTTTTTTTTTTTTTTTTTTTTTGACAGAGTCTTGCTCTGTTGCCAGGCTGGAGTGCAGTGGTGTGATCTCAGCTCACTGCAACTTCTGCCTCCTGGGTTCTGCCTCCTGTCTCAGCCTCCCAAGTAGGTGGGACTACAGGTACGCACCACCATGCCTGGCTAATTTTTGTATTTTTAGTAGAGACGGGGTTTGGCCATGTTGGCCAAGCTGGTCTTGAACTCCTGACCTCAGGTGATCTGCCTGCCTTGGCCTCCCAAAGTGCTGGGATTACAGGCATGAGCCACCACATCTGGCCTATTTTTATTTATTTATTTTAATTTTGAGACAGCGTCTTGCTCTGTCACTCAGGCTGGAGTGCCGTGGCACAATCATGGCCTACTGCAGCTTTGACCTCCTGGGCTCAAATGATCCTCCCACCTCAGCCTCCCTAAGTAGCTGGGATTATAAGCGTGCACCGCCACACCCAGCTAATTTTTTATTTTTTGTAAAGATGGGGTCTCCCTATGTTTCCCAGGCTGGTCTTGAACTCTTGGGCTCAAGCAATCCTCCCATCTCAGCCTCCCAAATTGCTGGAATTACAGGCATGATCCACCGCGCCAGGCTGATTTATGGTTTCTAATGGAGCAAAGACACAGATGACAGAGCAGGAGCACCATCATCTCAGACAAACACTGCCACTTTAAGCTCCAGCTCCCTTCTTAGCCTTATGCATTTTAAGGAAATCACTTCCCTTCTAACTACAAGCAGCCAGAAAGAGCAAACAGTGAAACACAGATAAAACAACTCAGGCACAGAGGGAGGTAGGGGGAAAGTCTCTTGGGTAAATGCTAAACTTCACCCTCATACAATGGGCTCCAGTAAAACAGTGGGCCTTAATAAGTACATTTCTTTCCCTTCAGGTGCACTAAAATAGGGATGGTAAAGGCAGACTCGGGGGGTATGTCTGCAGCTGCAGAAAGATGTATGGGAACAGACACACAACTCTCTCTCCCGAATAAGCACAACAAAAAAACACAAAAGCAGTCCGAGCCTGTAATAAACTCTCCTAACCTGAATCCTTAAAAACTCTGAGTCTGTAAAAAAGTGTGCCTCTAACCTAACTTGGCCAAACACCCCTCTCAGGTTTGTTTTCTCTAAAATAAACTTGTCTTAACTGCCAAGCCACCTTTCATGTTTCTTTCCTCTTTCTTTAATTCTTACAACTGACACTGTTAACACTACTGTAGTTTGTTGCTACAATGATAATTGAAGGAAATACTCAGTTGCAGTTAGAGGTTAGTGAAAAGAAAGATGGACACTTGTCTGTCCCTTGCTTTAAACGTAGGTTTTATTATCATTTAGCTATGGTGACACCAACAGATCAGGAGCTGACTGCTGTTGAAATGATAGCTTGCTACTCACAGATCCCAGAGGAGGAGGCACACCACGCCACGCAGGACAACATGGGGTTTGTCAGGAAGCAAAGCAAACAGGAGGAAAACTGGGCCAGGGCTTTTATTGTGGTTTTTGCAGGAAGGAATGGGTGAGACAGGGTACACAGGCTTCGAATTTGCCAGTTTGAATAATTTCAGGGGGTACTAGGGCATAGGGGCTGTCTCTAGTTGTCTGGAGGTGATTAGGGCTGGAGAAGAGTGGCCCAGTGTGTAAAAGCCCAATGCAGCAGGTGGCTGTGGTGTTCGGGCTCTGGCGGTTAGGAGAGTCATTTACTACCACTAGGAATTGGCTGGCCCTGCAAGGGGGAGTCTCTCCAGGGCCAGGAACGTCTCAGATGTCAAAACATCAGAAACATGTGATTAGTACACCCATCCAAATTCACAGGCTCCCTCACTTTTTACCCGTGGCCACCAGGGTAAGAACCCTATCTGAGAAAGCCCCCAGCTGAGAATGGCAGCATTAAAACCTGAGAGTCAGAGGTCTGAAACCCAGTGCCTTCCAGGGTCAGGATGACATCGGTGAGCCAGGTATAAAGGACAGCAAGGGGTGGCGACTGTGGGGACCCAGGTGTTCATGCCTCATAAAGCCAGCTGCTGTCAGCTCCAGCCAGTGGCTACCCAGTGTTGCCAAATCTTCTGAGCTTTCATGAGAAGCCAGAGATCTAGATTGTGTGTGTGCATGTGCATATGATGCACGTGAGAGAGAGAGAAATCTTGATTTTTTAATGTTTGCGATTCTTTAAAAAAAAATAACTTTGAGTAAAGCAGATTAATATATTAATAGTAAAAAAATTTTTTTTAAATTGTATAAATAAATAAATGCATCCCTGGATTGCAACAGACTTGGGGCCACCAGCTGGCAGCCTCTGCCTTGGTTTGTCCCCACCCAGCCTGTCTGGCTCCCCCAGGGTCCTTCTCATCCCCAGAGCATCCCTCATCTTGCTGTGGGAGACAGTGGCTCCGCTGATTCTGGGCTTGTTTCTTTTGCCTGTGAAATTAAACCTTAAATATTCTTCTAGGCTTAATTTTCAGTTGGCTATGATATTCTAGGGAGTGAGGAGAGGGTGTGGGATAATACAGCACAGCTTTTTTCAATGATTTCTTTTCCCCAAGAGCTTCATAACCTTTGAAGTTCAATCCCAGCTTTGCTATTTTTTAGCCTTAGGACTTTGGATAAGTCCCTAATGTTCTCAACCTTGGATTTTCTCACTTGTACAATGAGGCCAATGATAGTTCTGACCACCCAGGGCTGTTGTGTTCATTCAAGGACATGCTGCAGGCAAGAGAACCAGCTAGAAACTGTTGAGTGCTGTGAGCCAGAGCTATATGAGTCTTATCTCCGAAGTTGTTAATCCCACTTCGCTGATGGGCAAACCAAAGCACAAAGATGGATTCATTTGCACTGGGTGCAGAGACAGAGCAGGATTTGAACCAGGCAGGATGTCTGAACCCACAGCCTCATGATTAATCGCTAGGCTGAGCTGCCTCATGTCAAAGATCTCTCCTTTTACAGATCGGGGAGCTCAGATAAGGGCTGAGACTTTCTCAAGGTCTAATAAGGACTAGGACAAAAGCTAGTTTTTTACCAGACCTGGAAGCCAGAGAGGGGGTTTGATGGTCAATGGTGAGCAGACCAATTCTCTGTCCCTTCAGAGTGGACACATAATTGCAGCTTGATGACTCAGGTGAATGCTCATGTCTCTCCAGAATGAGGACATCCTGACATAGCCACCTGTGTAGCTCTGAGGCTCAACCGGGGTGGGGGGGAGGATAGATGCCTCCTGCTGTGGTTTGGATGCATCCCCCAAAAGTTCATGTGTTGAAAACTTAATTGCCAATGTAATAATATTAAGAGGTGGGGCTTTAGGAGGGGATTGGGTCATGAGGGTGGAGCCCACATGAATCATGAATAGATTAACGCCCTTATTGCAGGAGCGAGTTAGTTCTCCCAAGAGTGGATTGTTGTAAAATGAGCCTGGCTAGCTCTTGCAGGTTCTTTCACACATGCTCTCTTGCCCTTCACTTTTCTGTCATGTTATGATGCAGTACCAAAGCCCTCACCAGAAGCTGCCATCACACCCTTAGATTTCCCAACCTCCAGAACCATGAGCTAAATAAACCTCTATTCTTTATAAATTACTCAGTCTGTGATATTTAGTTATAGCAACAGAAAATTGGCTAAGACACCACCTAAATGCCTGACCCAGAAGTCCCTGTGCTCTTGGATCTGGCTCAAACCAAGAGGGACATACAAAGTGGAATATATGGCCCAGGCACTGTGGTTCACGCCTGTCACCCAGCACTTTGGGAGGCTGAAGTGGGAGGATCATTTGAGACCAGGAGTTTAAGACCAGCCTGGGCAATATAGTGAGACCATATCTCTACAAAAAATTTAAAAATTAGTTGGTATGGTGGCACATACCTGTAGTCCCAGCTACTCAGGAAGCTGAGATGGGAGGACTGCTTGAGCTTAGGAGGTTGGGGTTGCACTGAGCCATGATTGCGCCATTGCATTCCAGCAATAGAGAGAGACCCTGTCTAGAAAAAAAAAAGTGGAATATATGGATCAAAGGATTAATCATAAAATTAAAAGGCTTTAAAAACTTAAAAGGCTCTTTATCCAGCACAGTGGCTCACGCCTGTAATCCCAGCACTTTGGAAGGCCAAGGCAGGCAGATCACTTGAGCCCAGGAGTTCAAGACCAGCCTGGCCAACATAGTGAAACCCTGTTTCTGCCAAAAAATACAAAAATTGGCCGGGTATGGGGGTGTGTGCCTGTAGTCCCAGCTACTTGGGAGGCTGAGGAGGGAGAATTGCTTGATCCCAGGAGGCTGAGGCTGCAGTGAGCTGAGTTCATGCCACTGCACTCCAGCCTAGATGACAGAGTGAGACCCTGTCTCAAGCAATCCAGTAAAAAATGAGGAAAATATTTGAACAAAGGACTCACAAAAGAAGATCTATGAATAGCAAATATAGACAAGAGTTCAACATCATTACTCATCAGGGAAAGGCACATTTAAACCATAATAAAAAACTATGTTACTTTCACCAGAAAAGCTAAATTAAAAAGACTGACAGGCCAGGCACATTGTCTCATGCCTGTAATCCCAACACTTTGGGAGGCCGAGGCAGGGGGACCACAAAGTCAGGAGTTCGAGACCAGCCTGGCCAAAATGGTGAAACCCCATCTCTACTAAAAATACAAAAAAAAACTATCCAGGTGTGGTAGCGCACGCCTGAAGTCCCAGCTACTCAGGGGGCTGAGGTAGGAGAATGCTTGAACCCAGGAGGTGGAGGTTGCAGTGAGCCGAGTTTGCGCCACTGCACTCCAGCCTGGGCAATAGAGGGAGACTCCATCTCAAAAAAAAAAAAAAAGCCTGACAAGACAAAATGTTAGCAAGGACGTGGAGCTACTGGAAATCTCAGAACTCATTTATGGGAATGGAAAATGGTTCAATCACTTGGGAGAAAGTTGTGGTGGTATTTTATAAAACTAATTACAGGTTGGGCATGGTGGCTTATGCCTATAATCCCAACACTTTGGGAGGCTGAGGCAGGAGGATTACTTGAGCCCAGGAATTTGAGACCAGTCTGGGCAACATAGGGAGACCCTGTCTCTAGACAAATATGAAAATTAGCCAGGAGTGGTGGTGCACACCTGTAATCCCAGCTACTTGAGAGGCTGAGGTGGGAGGATTGCTTCAGACTGGAAGGTCGATGCTGCAGTGAGCCAGGATCACTCCAGCCTGGGTGACAAAGCGAGACCCTGTCTCAAAACAAAACAAAACTAAACTAATTATACCTTATGACCCAGAAATTCCTCTTAGCTAATTAGTCAATAAGAATTAAAACATATGCTCACCAAAGAAAATTGTACATGAATGTTCATAGCAGCTTTATTATAATAACAAAAAACTGGAAATTGCCCAGGTGTTCATTAACAAGAGTATGGATAAACAAACTGTGATCTAGCCATACAATGGAATACCACTCAGCAATAAAAAAGGACCAGGCCAGGCGCGGTGGCTCACGCCTGTAATCCCAGCACTTTGGGAGGCTGAGGTGGGCGGATCATGAGGTCAGGATATAGAGACCATCCTGGCTAACATGGTGAAACTCCGTCTCTACTAAAAATACAAAAAAAAAAAAAAAATAGCCAGGTGTGATGGCAGGCACCTGTAGTCCCAGCTATTTGGGAGGCTGAGGCAGGAGAATGGTGTGAACCCGGGAGGCAGAGCTTGCAGTGAGCCAAGTTCGCGCCACTGCACTCCAGCCTGGGCAACAGAGCGAGACTCCATCTCAAAAAAAAAAAAAAAGGAACAGCCAGCGATATACAAAACAACATGGAAGAATCTCATCAACATTACGTTAAGTGAAAAAAGCCAAACAAAAAAGTATATTCCATTTGTATGACATTCTAGGATAGGCTAAATAACATACAGGACAATTCCCAACAAGCAGTAATCATTTGGGCCACAATGTCAGTAGTGCTGAGGTTGAGAAACCTCAACTAAACTAATTTATGGTGGAAAAAACTAGAATAGTGGTTGTTGTCTCCGTGAAAGCAGAGATTGCCTGTGAATGGGCATGAAGGATGTTTTTCAGGTGATGGTAATGTCTCATATTTCAATATAAATTTTCATTACACAGGTGTATGCATCTGTCAAAACTTAGCAAATGTATATTTAAGATTTTTGCATTTATTTGTAAAGTTCATATTAAAAGAAAAGAATGGGTACAATAACTGGTACATTATTTGAGTGATGAATACACTAAAAGCCAAGACGTCACCACTGTACAAAATATATGTGTAACAGAATTGCAATTGTACCCTTAAATTTATAAAAGTAAAAAAAGAAAAAACTGAAAAAATAGTGAGCTTTAATGAATGACATGTGATAGGGGGATGGATGGATGGATGGATAGATAGATAGATCAACAGATAGATTGACCTAGTTCATAATTCTTTACATTAAATTCCCTCTGTCCAAATAACTGATGTGATTTCTGTCTCCCAGGTGGACCTTCATTGATGTATCCATTGAGCAGCCATTCTAGAAGGCAAATCTAATCATGCCATTCCCCTGCTTAAAACCTTTTAATAGTTCCCTATCTTCAAGTTAACCTCTTAGTCCATCATTCAAGGCTCCTAACCATCCAACCAACATCTACAAATGCATACTATATACTCTAAATTGTAATCACAACCAGCAACTTGCTATTTCATGGACACAAGCTTTTCCTATCCCCATCATCCCCAGGTAATTTTGCATATCTTCTTCCCTTTGCCCAGAATGTCTTCCCCACCTTCTCTACCTGGAAAACTCCTATTCTAAGTGTGAGTCACCTACTCTGTGAAGCCTTCCTTGACTTCTTCAGGCAGAGCAAAGATTGCCTCTTTTGGTCTTCCCCATTGCACTCCTAGAGCACTTGTCAAATTGTGTAACTGTTTGCATAACTGTCTCCCCCTAGACTAGGAGGTGCTCAATCCTGAGGCTCCATCCTCATTCCTTCTCGAATCCTTGAAGCCTAGAATACTGACTTGTATAGGGCGAAGCTCAATCCATGTTTGTTGAATGAAAAACACACAAACAGATCCACGCTACAGTCCACTTGCAAATTTACATAAGTCATGCCCGCGGGTAAACAAAAGTGATGTCTAAGATTTAACAAATGATAAAGTTTACATTTTAAAGCTCAAGTTTCATTCTATTTTTAGAAATATATGAACATAATTAATAGCCATGGTCTTGTTTTCTCTTTTGGCATCGAGTTTTGCTCATTTTCAGAGGGGTCTGCTTCTGGGAATGGCTTTAACAAGTTCATAAAAGCCAGACTCATCTGAGGCTTTGCCTAAAGGATAATATTTATCTTATTGAATTAACTTTATTTTTAATCACAATAAATGTTGGTTTGTTTTTTGTGGTTTTGTTGTTGTTTTTTGAGAATCACGCAGGCTGAAGCACAGTGGCGCGATCTGGGATCACTGTAACCTCCGCCTCCCGGGTTCAAGTGATTCTCCTGCCTCAGCCTCCTGAGTAGCTTGAATTACAGGCGCCCACCGCAATGCCAGGCTAATTTTTTTGTATTTTTAGTAGAGATGGGGTTTCACCATTTTGGCCAGGCTGGTGTCAAACTCGTGACGTCAAGCGATCTGCCTGCCTTGGCCTCCCAAAGTGCTGGGATTACAGGCTTGAGCTACTGCGCCCGCCTTAATCACAATACATGTATTCTTATTTTATTATTAAAATTATACAGACTTTGGAAACTACAGTGGAAAATAAAACAGATAAGTATAAAGAAGAAACTAAAAATTCCCTTAAAATCCACCACCTGGATATAACCACTCTTAGCATTTGGTGAACCAAATGCACCAGTAGGAGCTCAAGCTGCTTCTTTCTGCCATGATCTGGTAGGTTATATTTTTCAGGGTTTCAGACTGGCTCTCTTATGTCCTGGCTGACTGCTGAGCCTCAGCACACAGAGAGCCAAGGCCTTGCCCTTGGTGAATAGACACCCCAGTCATAAATCACAGGTCTCCGCTCTGAAATCCATCGGGCTTGTGTGAGCATGAGTTCAAAGAAGAAAACAATGATCAGATAATATCTGCTGAGTAATCAGTCCAATGACAAGTTGAAAAAACACACTCATATTTGAAAAACAGGATTATTGAATTAGCAAAAGGGAACATATTAGACAGCAGGTCTGAGTTTCCAAATGTCTTTTTGAAATAATTAACTCCAGGAAGTAGGGATGGAGTACATTCATTGCAAATGGGAACGGCTGCAGGACTGCTAGCTAGAAGGCGGCCCTGGGGAAGGGGTGTACAGAAGAGGGCTTGGGTGAGGGGCTATCCTATGAAACCAGGCATTTCTACCAATATGAAAAGGCTCTCGGCAGAGTGGTTAAAAGTGTGGGCTTAGAGATCCAGGCTCGAGTCTTTGCTCCACCACTGACCAGCTGTAAGACTGTCAGCAAGTTAAGTTTTAACTTCCTCAAGCCTTGGTTTTCTCATCTGTAAAATGGGAATAATCTAAATTCCTAATTGATGGGATTGTAGTGACAACTATATAGAACTTTTCAGATGGATTCGCAGTCCATGGTGAGCCCTTGAGGCTTGCTGATGATGATTGTGCTTGTTCCTATGAAGAATGAGATGGAAGAAGGGCAGGTGTGTGTTCACAAGGGGCACAGTTGATTCTGGATTAAGAGGGCATTGAATGTGGTGAAGGTCACTGAAATCACTTGAGACCTTAGACTCTTGCTGATTCACTATAGGAAAGAAATCACACAATGAGATTTAAAGCAGATGAAGCCGGCCTCCAGAATCTCTTAAGAAAAAATAAAAGGCAGCGGTGTGTGGGTGGGGGGGTGCTCCTGGTAAACCAGTGAGCTATTGCTGCAAGACTATTCTCCTCCTCTGCCTCCTATTTACCAGGCACCCACTAGCCCAACAAGGCACAGGATGCAATGACGAAATGCTGGCACTTGGGGCTTGTGGCTTCCTGGACACCAATCACACTGTTATCTAAGTTGTCTCATCGCCCTAACAGCAGACTTTTCAAGTTGTGCTCCCAAGACTGGGGAAGACTTTGATGTAGATCCAGCATCACTTACCTGTGCCTCCAGGATGAGGCATCTGCAGAACCAACGTCAATTGACCTGGATCCAAGAACAGTTATGGTGATTGGAAATTGATCAAAATACGGAGATCAACGATGCTCAATAGGAGGAAGAGAGAGATGGCAAGGTCTGGGAAAGCTCGTTCCTTTAATTCTCAGGGTCTTAGGATGGAGGAGAAGGAGCCTGGAGACAGGACTCTGGAAGTCTAGAACTCTTCCCAGGGGTATCTGGGCAATCCCCAACAGAGCACTTGGTCTCTAATTTCTCAGAGTGGCCACCTGCTTTGGACTCACTCAGGAAACTTATTAAGGATACAGATGCTTTGGTGCCCTTGTCCCCAACCAACCAGGGTCCCAGGGTCAGGACTCAGGGGTTTTGTGAGTCACAAGGTCTCCAGATGATTCTGAGACTTTCAACCAGAGACTTTAAAGTAGGGAGGAGAAACCAAGATGCCTGTCCTTCGGCTTTATGTGCTAACACTTGCCAAATGCCTTCAAATCTGAGGAAATGGGAGGGAAGAGTTCAGTTCAAGAAGGGAAAACTTCGGCGATGACCTGGGGTTTTCACTTTTATTTTCTAGAATTCCATAATTTTAGCCATGGCTTTAAGCAACTGCTCAATTCAGCTATTGCCCATTTTATAGACATGGAAACTGAGGTGAAGATGACCAAACTCCTGCCTAAAGCCCAACGAATTCTGCCTGTGGAACCCTGGGCTTCTCCTCTCCTCCTGGTGTTCTTTCTTCCACAAGTTTGTGATCCAAACGCATGCATCGTCAAAAGCTCATTTTCAGTGTTTGCTGTCCCTCAGGCTCTGTGCTGAATGCGTTCTATGCACTCTCATTTAATCTTCATCATGATTCAATGATATAAAGAGAAGGAAAATAATGCTCAGAGAGATTCAGCAATTTGCTCAACATCACACAGCTCCAAAGCTGTGGGATCCCAGGGTTCCCAGGGGCCCTGCTCCCAACCTTAACTCTAGATCTAAGCACCTCTTCCCACCCCCCTGGGTGACAGGGAAGAAGAAAATGACCCTTGCTGGTTACACTTTCAGTTATGAGACCCAGAAGAGGCAATGCAAATGGGTTCAACCATGAGTGCTTAAACAACCCCTCCCACATACAACACACACACACCCTCCTCTCAAGACACACATACACGCACATGCACACACACCATCCACACCCTCTATGCCACCCCTGCACATGTCAGGGTGAGGGCATGGAAAGCTTGGAATTCACCACTACCCTTGCTTTGCTCAGCAAGTCAGGAGCCTGCTGAATATGTCAGCTGGCTTGGCAAAGAGGAATCTGTGCTCACAAGGTGGTTCTGGTGGGTGGGACGGGACAGGCTGTGCCACACACCAGGAGCCTGCAGAGACCCAAAGAGGGAGCAGCTGGAGAGGAGAGCAGAGAGTGGGGCTGGCAGGGGGTTGGGGGGGGGGCACCATTGATCTTCTCCAGGGGACACTGAGGTCACAGCTCTGGCAGGCAGCATCTGGATGCCTGCAGGAGGTGGGTAATGGCCCATAAATAATGCACCAGGACAAGACGGGGGCAGCCGGTGGGAGTGGGCGACTCTGGACTTGGAGGCAGGAGACCCCAGAAGGAATCCCACCCTCATCTTGGATGGTGGATGGGTGGGTGTCTCCCTCTCTGGGCTCTGTTTCCCAAAATGTGAGCCAAGGGCACTCATCATCATAACCAGCCACTGTGAGGATGACAAGAGAAAACAGGAGAATGTGTCATAAACAGAAAGGCCTGATCCAAATGGGAGATGGTATTGTAGGGGAGGAAGAAAAGATTCCTTTTCCTTCCATCCTCCTAGATTTTCTGGCTGGGGTCCTGTAAACCAGGCTGACAAAAGACAGATTAACAAGAAAAAAAACAAGCAGAAGTTTATCAATATGTGCATCATGCATACACATGGAAATACTCAGGGATGAGTAACTCAAGGGAGTGGCTAGAACTTGGGCTTATACAGCATCTTGACAAAAGAACAATAAATTATTAGAGAAGTGACAAGACAAAGTGAAAGGATTTAGAGCTTCTAGGGAGGCAAGCTGTGGGAGGGTAAATATATGGAGAAGCTAAGGGAAGATAGGGTGGGTGAGTCAGGTTTGTTTTGTAGATTCCTCTGGTGCCCTCTCTGGGCTAAAGGTCCAAAGTTGTCTATGTTGATTAACTTCTGTTCTTCCTGGCAGAGAGTGAAGAAGAGCTACTTTTACAAATTTATATCCTGCTTTTAGGCAAATAGCGGGAGGCCAGAGAGTTTTTCTTGTATCTGCTTCTTTTCAGTTGACTTCAGTTCAAAATAACCAATGTGCTAAAATGGCATATTTTGGTATATAATTATTAAATGTTTGTACTATTATACTATTACATTAACAGATATATAATTATGATATAATTATTATTCCATCTAGAGAGGCAGTAAAGCATAGTAGTTAAGAGACTCACAGCTGAGCGTGGTGGCTCAGGCCTATAATCTCAGTACTCTTGGAGGCTGAGGTGGGAGGATGGCTTGAGCCCAGGAGGTTGAGGCTGCAATGAACCATGATTGCACCACTGCACTCCAGCATGGGTGACAGTAGGAGACTCTGTCTCAAAAAAAGAAAAAGAACAGAGACCCTGGGCCCACAGTGCCTTTGTTCAGACCCAATTACTGGCTATGCGAGTGGGCAAGTGACTTCCTTTCTAGGCCTCAGTTTCCTAATCTGTAAACTGGGGACAATGATGGGAGCCATCACATGGGGCTGTTATGAGGACTCAATGGGTTAAGGATGTGCCACTCTTGGAACAGTGTCTGGCATGGTGGAGGAGTACACGAGGGCTGGCTGTTCTTTCCTCTGGCAGGCAGGCAACATCGTGTTGCCTACATAATGGGCTGTTGGGCTGATGTTGTGGGGGGCTTAGGATCCTGTCTGGCAGAGGGTCTAGACTCAATGCATGGTAGCCCTAATGATTATGCAGGGACCCCAGGCCTGAGGCCATAGGTGGTCCCAGGATGCTGACATCTACCTGTCCAGCATCACTACTCACTCATTAGCCTGTGACTCCCTTCCCTAGAAGGCCCCTGGTGTCACTCTCTGTGATCCATCCAGCCCAACCTGCTGAGCCAATGGTTCTGTCTCAGAATCAAATTCTGACCCACATTGAGACCTCCCAGTTAGACCCCAAAATATAAATTTTTTAAAAGCACTTTTTTGTTATGCATCTTTCCTGATAGTAAGTGGGTGCTTATAGCAATACTCCAGTGCAATTCAACCATCATATGATAAGTGACCACTAAGGGTCAGATGTGATTCTTGACATCAGGGATAGGGCATTATATTCACTTTTTTGTGGAAGCTGTCAAAAATCACATTTGTGGGCCGGGTGTGGTGGCTCATGCCTGTAGTCCCAGCACATTGGGAGGCAGAGGCGGGTGGATCACCTGAGGTCAGGAGTTCAAGACCAGCCTGACTAACATGGTGAAACCCCGTCTCTACTAAATACAAAAAAAATTAGCAGGGCATGGTGGTGCATGCCTGCAATCCCAGCCACTTGGGAGGCTGAGGCAGGAGAATCGCTTGATCCCAGGAGGCGGAGGTTGCAGTGAGCCAAGATTGCCCCATTGCACTCCAGCCTGGGCAACGGAGCAAAACTCCATCAAAAAAAAAAAAAAAATCACATTTGTGGCTTAAAACAACACAAATATATTTGCTTACAGTTCTGGAGGTCCTCAGTCTGAAATGGGTCTCTCTGGGCTGAAATCAAGATGTCGGCAGGGCTGCCCTTCTTTTGGCAGCTGTAAGGGAGAATCCCCTTCCTTCCCTTTTCCAGCTTCTAGAGGCTGCATGCTTTCCTTGGCTTTGTGGCCCTTTCTCTATCTTCAAATCCAGCAACACTGTCAAGCCACATCCTTCTCACACTGCCATTTCTTTGGTTCCCTCCTGCCTCCCTCTTCCACTTTTGATGACCCCCGTGATTACCTTGGACCCACCTAGATAATCCAGGATCATGTCCCTATTTTAAAGTCAGCTGATTAGCAACTTTCATTCCATCTGCAACCTTCCTTTCCCTCTGCCAAGTAACATAACATATTCAGAGGTTCCAGGGATTAGGATTTGGGGGGGGGGGGGGTTATTCTGCCCACCACAGGTACTAATATTTGTTTGTTGTCCGTGGTCCATGGTATTCCCAGCTTGCATTGCCACTTTACAAACATTCATCTACTCATTCATTCATTCATTCATTCATTCATTCAGCAAGGACTGGTGGAGGGCTCCCATCTACTAAGTATCTGGGGCTAAACAGTGATCAAGCTTCCTTGCCCTCAGGAAGCTCATCGTTCAGGGCACAGATGAAATTGCACACAGACAACCACTGTATGGAGTGAGGGAGGGTTGTTGAGCCACCAGCTTCACTTCTGTGTATCTGTTTCTTCATCTGTAAAATCAGAAAAATAAAGCTACAGCTAGCTCTCTAAATATTGAGTGAGTCAAAGGAGATAACATATGTAGGTAATGCCCTCTGCATTATCCCTGGCACAATAAATGGCAGATTATTATTACAACAAAGCAGGGGGCTCAAAGGGGGCCCAGAGGAGGCGAGTCAGGGAATGAAGGGGTTAGTTGAGGTCTAAATGGACACTCCAGAGATAAATGGGAGGTGTAGAAAATGGAAGGAAGAGGTCTCCAGACAGAGAGAATGCACATGCAAAGACCCCACGGTGAACAAGCCCCTCAGTCCTCACAACCCCAAAGCCCCACCAGCTCTCTTCTCGTCATGTGCATGAGTTGTGCTCCCTCCCCAGAAGTCTTGAAGCCCCAGGACCCCCCTGACTTCTCAGCACCCAGTTCCAAGGCAGCTGGATGTGTCACAGCACCTACTGCACTCATCACAAGGATTCTCTTTGCCCCCACGCTTTGCACCTGAAACTACGTGATTCATCGTCCTCACAGCTACTAATCAATGGATTCAAACGGCACCAGGCCCTGGGCTGTTACCCACTCACTAATTCCTCAAAGCTTTATCATTAGACCCACTTGAGAAACAAAGAGATCTGCAAGGTTAGGTTACTTGCTCCAGGTCACCCAGGTAGTGGATGGTGGAACCCAGGGCTGTCTGTCTCCAAGCCATGAAGCCTGCACAGGCCAGCAGCCCAGGTCTTTAATGCTCAGCTCTATGCATGGAGGATATATGGTGAGGAAAGCGGGGTGAGTTGAGACTTTAGAAGAATAGCTGTTCTGGCCAGGCGCAGAGGCTCATGCCTGTAATCCCAGTACTTTGGGAGGCTGAGATACGAGAATTGCTTGAGTCCAAGAGTTTGAGACCAGCCTGAGCAACATGGGGAAACCCTATCTCCACAAAAAATACAAGAACTAGCCAGGTGTGGCGACATGCACCTGTAGTCCCAGCAACTCAAGAGGCTGAGGTGGGAAGATCGATTGAGCCTAGGTGGTTGAGGCTACCGTGAGCTATGATCACACCACTGCACTCCAGCCTGAGCAATGGAATGAGACCCTGTCTCAAAAAGAAAAAAAAAAAAAAAAAAAGAATAGCTGTTCTATCCTAGGGTCATAGAGTCAGCCTAGTAGGGACCAGAGCCTGGGGCAAGGGGCAGGGCAGAGGCCACAGCACTTGCTAAAAAAGAACAGACTCCCTTCTTTGCCAGAATAAGTTGTAATAGTAATGAGTTCCAAGAAAAGAAAGGACAAACAGGCTTAGATGCTTAAGGGAGGAGGGTTCCATACCGTGCCCTCCCATCCTCAGCAGGGCCTGGTCCTGCCCAAGAGTAGGGACATCTGACTCAGAACCAGCACAGGAGCAGAGGGAAGGCTGAGCCTCTCAGGTCATCCCTTCCTTGACTGGAGACAAAGCTGTGCAGACAAACAAGAAAAAAAGCCCATGTTGGGTTCATGGTGTACACTTGTGGCTTCTGGTCCCTTCATTTTCATAGTCAGCGACATCAAGCCAACTGTTTTCTCTTGGAGAGCACAGACCTCCACCCACACTGTCATAATGTCCAAACTACCTTCTTGGCATTAAATCTTTCTTTTATGAAATCATGGTGATAACAGATGATTTCTGCGTGTATTAGGTAAAATAAATGATTGGCATCTGAACAGTAAAGAGTTAGCTCAGCAGGCTGGTATTGCTCAAACCCTGCACATTCCAAAGAAGGGGCTGGCCCTTGACTCCTTCTGGGAGATAACCTCAGCCCTTGTAGCATCCTGTTTGATAACAATGTTTTTGTACGTCTGGGGCCTCCTGGCACACTGTATCAGTTTGACCAGAGTTTATGCTAACAATGTAACTTGTGATGAATGCCTGTTTTTATTTGTCTGACACCACTGTGTCCGTTTGATCTCTGGGGGCCTGGAGACTGGTGGCTAAGGTTGGTCACATGGGTGATGCATACTTACATGACTGACCTCAATAAAAACCCTGGATGCTAAGGCTTGGGTGAGCTTCCCTGGTTGGTAACACCTTGCATAAGTCATCATACATTGTTGCTGGAAGAATTAGTGTGTTCCCAGGTGAATCCACTAGGAAGGGACACCTGTAAGCATGCACCTGATATCCCCGCGACTTTGTTTTTGTACCTTTTCTTTTTACTGATTTTGATCTGTATCCTTACACCACAATAAGTGATAAATACGAGTACAATGGCTTTTCTGAGTTCTGTGAGTCCTAGCAAATCATGAAGCCTGAGGGTGATCCTGGGGACTCTCAAGCCAGCATTCTAAGTTGGCTCCCCAGTTTCTGTTATTTGGAAACTTGATTGAAACCTGATTCAACCCAACCCTGTTGTCATGGTGCTCAGGACACTGGGGAAGCTGCAGCCCCTGAGAACGGAGAGTGCCCCTGGGTGGTGAGCCATAGAGCTGAGTCTGCCCCAGGTCTGGGGAGTGGCCCATGCCCAGCTCTGTGGGTGGCTTTAGCTCAGGCCCAAGATGAGGCTGGGCCAATGACAACCCAAGAAGGATGAGCCTGCCAAAAGGGGGCCCCTCTCCAGCTCTTCAGGAGAGATGTTTCTCTGGACATACGGGTTTTCCTAAGGAAAGAGAAGGCTTTGCCCAGCTCCAAAGAGCAAGTCTCATCTTTTCGTCTGCTTTCGGCCAGATTCCTACCTGTCCTAGAAACTCCCTGGAGCCCACAAGGGAAACCGTGCCTCCCCTTTTTCCCCTTCGGGTTCTCCCCTCCTGCAGAGAGCAGGGTAGGTCAGCCCCTCAAGCACACATTTGGGCTGCAGGAGCACTATGATGGAGGAGAGCCTGGATGGTCACCCGCCACTCTCCATGAGGGGTGCTTTTCCCTAGACCAAGTCCCACCTTTCAAGGGAAACTGAGACAAGGAAACCTTAGCTCTGGTCCACGTGACAAAGTGTAGAGTTTAAAACAGAAGCTTCTGAAACTGAGGTCAAATAGTTCATCCCCGGCCTGCCTCAATTTTTTTTGGTTGTTGTTGTTTTATTTTGAAATGATTGTAGATGTACAGGAAGTTGCAAAAAAATTAGTACAGAGAGGTCCAGTGTAGCCTTCATTCAATTTCCCCCAATGATAACATCTTACATAACCATAACAAAGATCAGGCTGGGCACGGTGGCTCACGCCTGTAATCCCAGCACTTTGGGAGGCCGAGGTGGGTGGACTGCTTGAGGTCAGGAGTTCATGACCGCCTGGCCAACATGGTGAAACCTTGTATCTACTAAAAATACAAAAATTAGCTGGATGTGGTGGTGCACATCTGTAGTCCTGGCTACTCCGGAGGCTGAGGCAGGAGAATCACTTGAACCTGGGAGGCGGAGGTTGTAGTGAGCCAGAATCAGGCTGCTGCACTCCAGCGTGGGTGACAGAGGGAGACTCCATCTCAAAAACAAACAGACAAACAAACAATAAAAACACACACACACCATAATACAAGATCAAAACAAAACCTCAGGCTTTGAAATGAGGTGGAGGTTGTAGTGAACCAAGATCGTGCCATTGCACTCCATCCTGGGCAACAAGAGAAAAACTCCATCTAAAAAAAAAAAAAAACAAAAAAACTAATACAATGTAAATGCTGTGTAAATAGTTGTTATGCTGTATTGTTTTTTATTTGCATTACTTTATAGTTACATTATTTTATTTTTTAATATTTTTGATTTGTGGTTGGTTGAATCCATGGATGTGGAACCCATGGACACAGAGGGCCACTGTATATATGTGTGTGTTTGTGTGTGTGTGTGTATATGTGTGGTGTGTGTGTGTGTGTGTGTGTATGTGCGTATGTATATATATAAAGCATTGAAGATCATACCCCCAAAATGTTAACACTGCCTATTGTTAGGCAGTGGAATTATTAGTGATTTTTATTTTCCCCCTGCATAAGGTTTATGCATTGAATATACATAACTATTATAATTTGTAAACAATATTATCAGTTCCACCTCTTGCCTTGACTCAGCACCAACTGGGTTTCCATGAGCCTGCTAAAGTTTCCAGGGGAAGTGGAGGGACATTTGCAAATGGCACTGGAGGGGGCTCTACTGTCCTCAGGAACCGAGGAGACAGTGGGGTGTCCAGAGTTACCAGGATAGCAAGGGGCTGGCCCTGCAGGGCAAAGGGCCCTTACATATCATGGGAGAAAGGGGATTGCAATAAAACCAGTGAGTCGTCCACGGTGGCCCAGGAGCAGGGAGCAGATAATCTGGTAACTGGTGAAATTCCAGAGCCAGGCTGAGGCCGGGAACTCTTCCCCACCCGCTTCCTCGTTCCAGCTTCCTCACCATCTACTCATGCATACCCAGGCCTCTCCACCTCAATTCAGGAGCTCCCATTGAGGGGCAGGGCTGCAATGTGCTTAGCTCTGTGCCTCCCTGAGCTCAGCACAGGGCCTGGCTGATCCAGTGTAGGATGGATGGATGGATGGATGGATGTTCTCTCCCTTTCGTCCGCCTCCCATCTCCATCTGCTGATCTTCCACCTCTTGGGGGCTCAGATGCCTCTTCCTCCAGGAAGCCCTTGCTGAGTCCCCTAGGCCTCCACTGCACTCTATGGTAACATCAATTACTCATCTTAGTAGAGTCGGCCTGGTACTGAGATTATGGGACTCTGAGCTGGTTTCCATCAGTGCATGAACCTTAAAGTCAAGGTCAATGTCCTGATCAGCTCTGTTCTCCATTGAACCCCACAACACCAAAAAGACGCTCAATCAATACTATGAAAGGAAAGAAAGGAGCCTCTCTTCTCTCCCTGAGTGTGGCTCAAGATTCGGAAGTAGGGAGTGTTACTGGGGAGGGGGAGACAGTTCCTATCTCCCCCACCCCTGCTAAGGGAAGAAGATTCATTGGCCCCAGGTTCATCATCTGCACCTCTGACTCCATCAGCTGGTTCTTTCTACTTGCTCCCAGTCATGGTCACGAGGGGATGGTGACTCAGCCCAATTCATCACCACAATGGAAAAACCCAGTCACCTGTCCTCCTGGCAGCAGGACTGGAGCTGCCTCTGTCTGTGGAAGGGCAGCAAGCCATACTGTTTTCAAGGTCCTTTTGTCTTTTACCTGCTGAAAAATCAAAAATTTAAAGAATGGAGGAGTACCACTGGTTTACATTTACAGTGTGGTATGAATCTCAACAACGAGGGATCGTTGAGATCCCTATGTTCCCTCCACGCCAGGCTCCAAGTCAAATGTCCATGTGCATCATCTTACAACAGTTTCACAAGACCATTGTTATCTGAAGTGGTCACTGGTCACTCTTGGCCCCCAGCAGCTGACACACCCTTTCTACAAGGCAGAGCCCACCTCCCACTAGAGAAACTGAAAACATCTTTCCCCAGCTTTGCTTACAGCTTTGCCAAAGTATATGACCTATGCTCCTCCAATCAGACATCCCATTCTATTTATTTATTTATTTATTTATTTACTTATTTATTTATTTATTATTTACCGAGACAGAGTCTGTTCTGTCACCCAGGTTGAAGTGCAGTGGTGCAATCTCATCTCACTGTAACCTCCGTCTCCCAGGTTCATGCGAGTCTCCTGCCTCAACCTCCTGAGTAGCTAGGACCACAGGCGTGTATCACCATGACTGGTTACTTTTTGCATTTTTTGTAGAGACAGGGTTTTGCCATGTTGCCCAGGCTGGTCTTGAACTCCTGGGCTCAAGCAATCTTCCTGCCTCAGCCTCCCAAAGGGCTGGGATTACAGGTGTGAGCCACTGCACCTGGGCGTGTTCTGTTCTTGGTTGTTAATTAGAAACTAGTGGCACGAGGAAGCCAAGACCACACAGAATCCACTGCGGTGAGGACTGGGGAAGCAGCAGCTGAGTTCCTGATGGCAGTGCCCAGTGACCACGTCCAGGGGTGGCACTGGCTGCAGCTTCTGTGCTGGGGGATGGCAGTAGTGGTTTTAACATCAGGCCAACATAGCAGTGTCAGGCCTGGCACCTGATATTCCAAGAGATGCCCACCCTCCTTTTTTTTTTTTTTCTTTTTCTTTTTTGAGACGGAATCTCACTCTTTTGCCCAGGCTGAAGTGCAGTGGCAGGATCTCGGCTCACTGCAACCTCTGCCTCCTGGGTTCAATCAATTCTCCTGCCTCAACCTCCCAAGCAGCTGGGATTATAGGCGTGTGCCACCACACCTGGCTAATTTTTGTATTTTTGGTGAGGTTTCACCATGTCGGCCAGGCTGGTCTTGAACTCCTGACCTCAAGTGATCTGCCCGCCTCAGCCCCCCAAAGTGTTGGGATTACAGGGTGAGCCACCATGCCCGGCCTATCCTCCTTTTAACAAAGCCTTTTTCTGCTTCAATTAGCCAGAGTAGGTCTCTATTTCTTGCAATTAAACACCCTGACTAGATATATCAGCCTGAGTTTACAGATGAGAAGTGAAGGCTCATTTGAGATCTTTAGAAAGGTTATCTCATCTCCGACCTGGGTGCAGGCCAGTGATCTTCTGCCCATTTTACAAGGCAGTGACTTAGGAAGCATGTTTCAAGTAATTAGGAGCAAGGCTGGGGGGACACTTTCTTAGAGGCCTCCTGTCCCAGGCAACAGCTTGGCTCTCTGCACTGTTCTGCTTTTCACTGTTAATCCAACCTGCTCCCAAACATCACCCCTCCTCCGCAGAGTGCTGAAGATGAAGAGAGCCCAGCGGCACAGGGGACCCAGAGCTTGCCCTTCTGCTGACTCAGTAGTGACTCCGCTGCCTGTCATGACTGATGTTTCCAGAAGGGTCAGGGCCTCCTCAACCTACCTCTTCCTTATGCACCTTTGTTTGATGCAATAGCCCTGGGGACTCTCACGATTACGTTTCTTCTTCATCTATTGTCTCCACTTTTATTTATTTATTTATGTATTTTTTAGACTCTATCACCCAGGCTGGAGTGCAGCAGCGCGATCTCGGCTCACTGCAACGTCCGCCTCCTGGGTTCAAGTGATTCTCCTGCCTCAGCCTCCTGAGTAGCTAGGATTACAGGTATGTGCACCACGCCCAGTTAATTTTTGTATTTTTAGTAGAGATGGGGTTTCACCATGTTGGCCAGGCTGGTCTTGAACTCCTGACCTCAGGTGATCCACCCACCTCGGCCCCCAAATGTGCTGGGATTACAGGCATGAGCCACCGCGCCCGGCCCTACTGTCTCCACTTTTAGGAGTTCAAATCCACAACCTGACTCACTGGAATGCTCACAGGAGTTCATGAACTATCTGAGCTACATGGATAGTCTGCATGAGTTCAAGGCCACTGCAGACACCATGTCTCAGACAGGCGTGTCATAGTGTCAAAGCTCCTGTTAGGCAGCCTGCAGAACAGCCTAGGCCCCGTGAATTATGTCACTAGAACATCAACAATTAATTTTGTCCAATGACAAAGTCTGAAATGACTGAAAAGGGTAGGACTCAGGTAAGCCTGAAAGAATCTCTCATGCGATAATAACAATTTCATCATGAATAATAATAATGACCATGTATTGAACACTTAAACTTAAGTCATGCGTCTGGCACTATATTAAGCATTTTCTTTATATTCTGTTATTTAATCTTTACAGGAATCCTGAGGTCAGCATCATCCCAATTTCACAGAGTATGACATGACGTCTCAGAGAGGGTAAGCAGCTTGCCAAACATTCCACAGCCAGGAAGCTGTAGGACCAGCCTGTGCTCCTAAGGACTGGCTCCTGGCTGCTATATATAGAACTAAGCCTGGTGGAGGTGTCAGAAATAGAGGTTCACTTCTGTCATCACCGACCTCCCTCCACACCTTTGCAAAGGAGGAAACTGAGAGGCAGGGATTTCCGCAGAGCAAGGAACCCAAATTGCTGCCTCCTGTGATTTATACACTGCACCCCAAGCTGTAGGGGTAACCCAAGGACAAAGCTGTAACCCAAGCGGGAACATATGCCCCATCTGGGGCCACCAAAATCTTACCAGCTTCCTCAGCTGGTGGATCGGTTAATTCACGGCCACAGCCCCCTGGAGCTGGGGGAAAGGAAAACCAGGGCGTCTCCGCAAACCAGCCCAGAGAGAGGTCTGCGGAAGGGCCCGGAAGCCTGCAGGCCCCTCTGCACCCCCAACCCCACCGCCATCCTGGACCTCCAAGATGACCTGGTCCAACAGAGTCCTGCATGGAAAAGACTGGAACCCAGGGAGGAGCAGAGCCCCGCCCAAGGTCACCGGCCGAGCCTGAATAGAACCCGGTTCTCCAGGAGCCCTGTCTTTAGCTGTCTTGTCCAAATAAAATTTTTCAGGCCATCAGATTTCCGTACTCCCTGGAGTGGGACTTCATCTGGGACCAAAGGAGGGCTGGTGAGGGGAGTGGCAGGAGGGAGGAGTGCCTCGGGGCCCCGAGCAGGATGAGCCTGAGGAAGAGACGGGTCCCCATGTTCCCTTTCCCGCTCAGATAATGGAGGTGAATTGAGGGGAGCAGAGACCTCCCCACCTTCAGGGTGGGACCCTGAGGGACCAGGACACCTTTGCTAGGGGATGTCCCTCCTCACTCCTGCACAAGTTCCTCAAGGACACCCTCGGGCTCCGAAAACGGGGGGAGGGGGACGACGCCCCAGAGGCCCCTGAGCCCCTGGTTCTTCCCGACCCTAAGGGCTTTTCTCCCTCGGTTCCCAGGCGGCGACGGCGGGTAGCGCGAAGCAGCAGGCGCAGGGGCGCTGGGATGGGGATGTCTCTGCAGGTCTAAGGTTCCCCTTGGGAGTCTAAACAAAGACTACGGCAGCGCCGTCCCCTCCCCCGGGAACCCGACGCCGCGCGGCCACAGGGGGCCTGGAGGGGCGGGCAGGGCCTCGCAGCGCACCCAGCACAGTCCGCGCGGCGGAGCGGGTGAGAAGTCGGCGGGGGCGCGGATCGACCGGGGTGTCCCCCAGGCTCCGCGTCGCGGTCCCCGCTCGCCCTCCCGCCCGCCCACCGGGCACCCCAGCCGCGCAGAAGGCGGAAGCCACGCGCGAGGGACCGCGGTCCGTCCGGGACTAGCCCCAGGCCCGGCACCGCCCCGCGGGCCGAGCGCCCACACCCGCCAAACCCACGCGGGCACGCCCCCGCGGCGCACCGCCCCCAGCCCGGCCTCCGCCCCTGCAGCCGCGGGCACGCGGAGGGGCTCCTGGCTGCCCGCACCTGCACCCGCGCGTCGGCGGCGCCGAAGCCCCGCTCCCCGCCTGCGCGTCTGTCTCGTCCGCATCTCCGCGGTGAGTCGGCGGCGCCCTCGCCCCTGAGCCCAGGGCCAGCTTCTCTCGCCGCCGCGGCTGCTGCGCGCGTCCCCGCCCAGCCCAGCCCAGCCCCGAGCACGACCCCAGCCCCACGCACGACCCTAGCCCCGCGAGTCCCGCACCGACTCGCTCCCGCCCCATTTCGCCTCCGCGGGGGCGGCGCCCCCTCCTCCCCGCGGCTCCCGCTCTCCTTCCTCGCCTTCCCGGCCGCGCTGGGGACCCCCAGCCGCCGTCCGCGACCCCCCACCGCGACGCCCGGAGGCGGCGGGGTCTCTTTGTTCGGGCGGCGGGCACGGGGGACCACCTCCCACGGTGTCACCGCACCCACCCCGCGCCCTTCCTCCGCCTCCTGGAGTTCACCGGGACCAGGTGGCGGCGGGTGCCTTTTTGGGGGTGCGCGGCCATGCAATTGGTGGATTTTTTTAAACCGTTTTGGAGGGGGGAGCGCGGCGTTGGGGGCGGGAGAGCGCTCCTGGCTGTGAGCTGCTCCTGCCGCTTCGCTCCGCGCTCTCCTGCCGCTCCGCTCCGGGTCTCCCGCGCTCCTCTCCCCGGCTCGGCCGAGCGCGCTGCCCCGACGCCGCCACCCAGAGCCGGGCCGCGCCGGGCGCCGAGATGAAGGTGCTGGGACACCGGCTGGAGCTGCTCACAGGTACCGCCCGCCTGCCCCGCAGCCGGCCGCCACTTTCCGAGTTGGAGCGGACTCCGGGCGCGGCGGCCGGGGACTGGGGCGGCTCGGGTCTGAGCAGGAAGGGGTGCGGACCCCAACTAAGTCCTAGTTTTGTGCTACCTGTTTGTGTGCGGAGCCCAGCCCCGGGAGAGGACTTGAGGTTGTGGCGAGTCCCTGGCGCTGGCGTCCGGGCTGCGGGAGCACCGGTCAGGGGGTGGCCCCATGGGGTCTCTGACCAGCGGAGCTCGGATTAGGACCCTGAAAGCTAGCTCAGGGCTCCTGCCCTCCAATCAGTGTCGCTTGTCCCCTAAGAAAGGACCCGTGGGCTTCTGGCAGGACCCGCGCCATGGACCTCTTATTTCTGCGCCCTGTGACAATCTGAGCCGTCTTTCTCTGGGGGAGAAGTTTCTTGCTGGGAGTGGAGGCGACGCCAAGTGGCCTGGGAAGTGGGAAGCCAGATTGGACCCTACTGACTGGGGACCCTCAGCCTTGGGGCTCCTCTGGAGAAGTGATCAGTTGCCCTGCTGGAAACTCACATCCAGGGGGCAGTGGCTGGAGAGCAAGAGCGAACGGTCAGGAAGAGGAGGTGGGAAAGGGAGCAGGGACGGGGGGGAGGATTCGAGGAGTGACTTCTGTGTTCTCCCCGGTGTGGAGAGACCCAGACAGGAGGAAAGGAAAGCAACCCGGTTTCCTCCAGCTCTGGGACTTATAGGTGCTCCATCCGTGTATGTCAGATGAGCACAGATTCCAGTAAGTGTCCTCCGACACCTGGGGGAGGGGGCTGATCACTGCCTTCCAGGACCTTAATGTCCGATGAGGGAGCAGAGCCCCGGAGCCCTGTTACAAGGCTGGAAGGGGCAGCCGTCTGTGGGTGCGCTCAGGAAACGGTGGAATCCGAGTCGGGGGCAGCTTTTGAAGACCTCGAAAAACAATTTTTGTTAATGAAGAAGGAGGTGGCATTATGGGTTCAGGATCAAGGGAATGGCCCATGCTCTGGGGTGTGAGAGAGGCTTGTTCGGGGAGAGGTATGGAGGCTGAATGGCCTGGAATGTGCGTGTGTGTTGCGGGGGAGGGGGCTAGAAGGTGGGGGTGGGGTACGTTGGGTGAGGTTTTATTAAATCGGCAGTAGCAGGCCAGGCGCAGTGGCTCATGCCTGTAATCCCAGCACTTTGTGAGGCTGAGGCCAGAGGATCGCTTAAGGCCAGGAGTTCAAGACCAGCCTGGGTAACATAGCGAGACCCCATCTTTACAAAAAAATAAATAAATAAATCAGCAATAGCTCGTGACAGACTTGTAGAGAAGGAAAGGTGGAAGCTGTTCCTGGGACACTGGAAACTGACTGGGTGCTCAGAAGTTCCAGCGCTGAGCCCAGTTAGCCACGGGGCTGGCACCCCCTCCAATCCCTTGCCAACTTTTTCTTTGTGGAGCTCACTTGAGGCAGGCCCAGCTCACCCAACTTGGAAGGGAACCGCGCAGGCCACTGAACTTGTTAACCCCCTGGAGGGAAGGCTTGCGGTTCCATGGGTGTTTTGTTTGTTTGTTTTGTTTTGAGATGGAGTCCCACTCTGTCGCCCAGGCTGGAGTGCAGTGGCACAGTCTCGGCTCCCTGCAGCGTCCGTCTCCCAGGATCAAGGGATTCTCGTGCCTCAGCTTCTCAAGTAGCTGGGATTACAGGCACGCGCCACCATGCATGCCTAATTTTTGTATTCTTAGTAGAGATGGGTTTCGCCATGTTGGCCAGGCTGGTCTCGAACTTCTGACCTCAAGTGATCCACCTGCCCCTGCCTCCTAAAGTGCTGGGATTACAGGCGTGAGCCACCGCACCCAGCCCCCACCATGGGTTTTTAGAGCTCTGCATGGTGAACAGATCTCCTGGTTCCTCTCTTCCCCAACTCTTCCTGCCCCCAAAGGGCCTGGATGAGAAATGCTCACAGGAGACATGTGTGGGGGGCTCAAGCAGGGGTCTAGGCTTTGGAGACCCCATGCACTGTTCTCTCATCTCCTGGATAGAGGAGTCAGGACCCCTCTTCCCCCACCAGATGGGGTCACCAGATTCTGGCGGGCTTTCTAAGTCCCTGGCCAGGGTGGATGAGGCCCCTCTCAGTTACTGTCATCAGTCACAGGCTCCGCCCCCATTGTACCTGCAACCTGGCCCTGGGAGACAACCCATCCCCTCTGTTGCTATTTTGTGGTCTTCACAGACTTCCCTCTCTGTCCTCTTCCTTTTCTCACAGATCGGGATTCTAACTCCAACCCCATCAGTAGCCAGCTGTGTGACTTCAGACAGGTTGCTTAACCTCTCAGACTTCAGCCCTCTCATCTTAAAGATGGAACTGTTGGCCCCTGTCTCTAAGAGATGGTGTAAGGCTTGCTGAGATAGTGTAGGCGACACACGTGGTTGGGACCTAGACCCTGGTGGGCACCTCTTGGGCCCCACCTGTCCTGGCTGGTTGGCACCTAGAGCATTTGGATCTGCCCCCACCCTCCTTTATCCCTGCTTTCCTGCGTCTGTGAGATTTGACCCATCTCCCCCATTGGATAACAAGCAGGTCACAGTCCGGGAGGTGGCCACTTTATTGTGGTGGCACACAGCAAATGCTCAAGGGTTGCTGACTGAGGCTAGGCTCACACAGCCCACTCGGCATCTACGTCTCTAGGATAATTCTGTAGAGGCCTCTAACTCCCTGCCCCGACATCAGCCTTAGGAAATTTTTACTGAATTTTAAAAACTCATATTGAAGGCTGGGCACAGTGGCTCACACCTGTAATTCCAGCACTTTGGGAGGCCAAGGCAGGCAGATCACTGAGGTCAGGAGTTCAAGACCAGCCTGGCCAACGTGGTGAAACCCCCATCTCTACTAAAAATACAAAATCAGCTGGGTGTGGTGGCGCACGCCTGTAGTCCCAGCTACTTGGGAGGCTAAGGCAGGAGAATCACTTGGACCTGGGAGAGGGAGGTTGCAGTGGGCCAAGATTGCACCACTGCAGTCCAGCCTACGCAACAGAGCAAGACTCTGTCTCAAAAAAAAAAAATTGATTTAGTTCTGTATACTTTTCACATTCTCCTATTTTATTATCTTGCCTGTCTTGCCAGTGAAGTCAGTGACTTCCTCATGTTCCTATTTCTCAGAAGAGGCAGCACTGGATTCAGAACCCAGCCCTGAGCCGGGAGTTGTCCCATATGGCATTCTAACTGCCTGGCTTTGGGACAGTCTAATAGCCGTTCCACACTTCATTTTCCTCATCTGTAAAATGGGATCGTCGTGGTGCCTACCTGGCTGGGATCTTTGGAGATTAGGTGTGTGAGCGTGTGCAAGACGTCGAGTGCAGCTTCTGGCGGGCGGATAGTTGATGACAGTCGTGGAGCTGGCGTCCTCAGGCCGCCTCCCGAGTGCACTCCATCACTGTGCTGGGGGCTCCTTCTCCTCCCACTGTGCTCCAGTTTCCAGATTCCCTCCCCGCAGGGTGTTCCAGTTCCTTCGTTGGGTTCTCACAACAGTCCAGGCCTCTCTGAGCTGTGTCTCTGGGGGACCCTACTTAGGTCTCAGGTTCCTGTGAGTCAGGCATGGCCTCAGGGGGTGGGGCCCTTCCAGCCAGACACCCACAGCTCTGACATCATGGGGAAGGCCAGGTGCCCCCTCACATGTGGGACTAGAAGGAGACCCATGGGTTGTCATGCCCAGATCCAGCATGTCTTTTTGTTCTGGAGAGAAGAGGAGGCTGTTGGGGTCCTTCTGGAGGCTTTGTAAATCATGAATGCTTGTCGAGGCCATTTCCAGGCGCCTCAGCGGGGTCTTGCTGCAACAGGGACAAGGAAGGCGGGGGTTTTGGAATCAGAGGATGTGAATTTCGGGGTCTCCCCTGTGCTTCTCAGCTCCTGGGCAAATTGTTACCTTCTTTCGGCCTCAGTCTTATCAGTAAAATGGGAATAATAGCCCTCATTAACAGTGTTAGGCCAGAGCAGTTGTCTCACGCCTGTAATCCCAGTACTTTGGGAGGCCCAGATGGGTGGATCACCTGAGGTCAGGAGTTCTAGACCAGCCTGGTCAACATGGCGAAACCCCGTCTCTACCAAAAATACAAAAATGAACCGGGCTTGGTGGTGTGTGCCTGTAGTCCCAGCTACTGGGGAGGCTGAGGCAGGAGAATTGCTTGAACCTGAGATTAGGAGGTTGCAGTGAGCTGAGATTGCACCACTGCCCTCCAGCCTGGGCAACAGAGCGAGTCTCAAAAATATATATATTGTGGGGAGCCAAGATGATACTTGTGAGGGAGCCCAAGACACCGTCACACCTGCACACGAGCTCATTACAATTCTCAGAGGGCAGATTCCTGGTGCCTTCGGTAGCCGGATGATTTTTTTATTTTTTAGTGTGATATGTGAAAGTGGGACACTGGTCTTTTTGCAAGTAGGAAGGCAGTTGTTTCTGCGCATTGGCACTCGAGCAATATGTTCCAAAACGGTTCAGAGTCAGAGCTCTAAAATGGCAGATTTGGGCTCTGAAATGGTCCCTGGGGAGCCTCAGTAGTGGATCTTGGAAATTTTTAAAAATATACTTGATGTGTGATTGAGAAACAAAAGTTTTACCAGTTGTTTAGAATTTTGGTTTCATTTGAATACATGGAATATCTAGCCCCAGTCAATTTTATAGATGATTTTAGTGTTTGTTGGCAGATGTGTTGACCCACATTTTACATACGGAGGAAACTGAGGCATAGGTTTGCCCTAGGAGGCTGAAAGCAGGACCCTGGATCCTCATTTCCAGTTCATCTGCTTCTCCGCTTCACTGGGGTGCTGTGATGTTGATGTGGGGGCACGTACATGGTTTAGTAAGGAAGCGTGGTCCCTTGGAGGAGAGGAGAGACATGAGGGTCATTGGGTGTGCTCAGGGAGGGTGGGTGTGGGGAGAGGGGCGTGCTGTTCCTCTGGGTAGAGGATTATAAAGGGCAAGTTGGCAATGATGTATCAATAGCTTAAAAATATGTGTGATCTCTGACTCAGCAGTTGAATTTTTAGGAACAAATAAAGATGTGTGCAAAGGTGTTTGTTCAAGGATAGTTATCCCTTCATTGTTTATAGAAGCAAAAAAGCAAAAAAAACCCAAAAAACTGGAAACAACCTAAATGCGTAACAGTAGAGCAGCAGTGCATTCATACCAGAGAACCCCAGGTAGCTACGAATTATACTGCCAAAGGTTATTTATCCATCTGAACAGATATCCCCTTAAATAGTGTAATACTAATGGTGATGACAGCTCACACGTATATGGCATTTGCTGTGCGCCAGACATAGTCTTAACCACATGCTATATGTTAACTCATCATCATAACAGCCCTAGGAGGTATGTGCTATCATTTCTTCTTTTTTACAAATAGGTAAACTGAGGCACAGATAGGTTAAGTAACTTGCCAAAGAGCACACAGATGGTGAGTGGCTGGCTGGAATTTAAACCAGAATGTCTTGACTCCAGAGTCCAACAGATGTTTCAAAACATATTTTTTGTTGGTTTGTGTTAGAAACATTTTCTTTCAGTGTCTAGATGAGCATTGGAAAATGAATAAAAGGGTATACACAACACATTAACAGTGGCTTCTTCTGTTAACAGGATTGCATGTGGTTTTTACTTTCTTCTTTTTGGTCTTCTGTTTTTCTCACTTTTCTCAGTGAATGTGTCTTATAAGAAATTCAAATTCTGTTTTTAAAAACAAAAAAATTCTCTTCTGAAGGCTAATTTTTTAAAAAAACTAAAAATTAATGCAAAGCACTAGATGCTGACAAAAACCAATCCTGTGGGAATTCTGAAGATGAGCTGGAGTCCAGTGGACAGAGAGGAAAAGGCCAGGAGGAGGAGTGGTTCAAGGTGGATGTGAAGTTGGCTTTCCTTGAAGTCTAAGGAGGAGGAACCAGCAAAGTGAAAAATAGAGGCAAAGGTGGAGCCATGGGAACCTTGGAAGGAGGCTGTGTTGGGCTGAATAATAGCCCCCAAAGATATCCTAATCACTAGAACCTGTAAATGTTACCTGATGTGGCAAAAGAGATTTTGTAGTCATGATTGGGGATCTTGAGTTGGAGCTGTTTTGCAGAATTATCCAGTGGGCTGTAAGTGCAACCACATGTGTTTTTATAAGAGGGAAGCAGGGCTGGGTGCGGTGGCTCACACCTGTAATCCCAGCACTTTGGGAGGCTGATGCAGGTGGATCACCTGAGGTCAGGAGTTCAAGACTGGCCTGGCCAACATGGCAAAACCCCATCTCTGCTAAAAATACAAAAATTAGCCAGGCATGTTGGTGCGTGCCTGTAATCCCAGCTATGAAGGGGGCTGAGGCAGGAGGATCGCTTGAACCTGGGAGGCAGAGGTTGCAGTGAGCTGAGATTGTGCCACTGCATTCTAGCCTGAGCAACAGAGCAAGACACCATCTCCAAAAAAAAAAAAAAAAAAAAGAGGGAAGCAGGGGATATTCAAAAACAGAAGAACAGGTGATATGATTGCTTCAGCAAGAAGCTCTGTTGTTGGACTTGGAAGGTGGAGGAAGGGGCTACCAGCCAAGGAATGCAGCTCTGGAAGCTGGAAAAGGCAGGGGAACAGATTCTTCCCAGAACCCCCAGAGGGAGACAGCTTACCAACATGTTAATTTCAGCCCAGAGAAATTGATTTTGAACATCTGACCTCCAGAACTATAAGAGAATGAATGTGTGTTGCTTTTTTTTTTTTTTTTTTTTTTTTTTGGAGACAGGGTCGTACTCTGTTGTCCAGGCTGGAGGGCAGTGTGGCATGACCTCGGCGTGAATGTGTGCTGCTTTAAGCCACCAATTTTGTGGTGATTTATTATAGCAGCCACAGGAAACCAGCAGGGGTGTGTGCAGATCACACTCAGGCCTCGGCCTGCACTGAGAACAGCACGGTGGGTTGGAGTCTGCCAGCCTCGTTCTGATCACTCTGGCTGTGTGACCTTGAACTGAGCCTGGCTTTGCCCCCAGGGTAGTTGCGGGATCAGCTGGGAGAGCACCATGACACTGTTATATAAACTGAAGAGCATCACACAAACCTAAGTGGGATGAGCACTTCCACCCAGCCTAGCATAAACCTGGTCTCACAGAGCCAGGAAAGCTGTCATCATACACCACCCCCTCCCTGCCTCTTAATCCTCAGTGCTTTAGCTTCCAAACCACAGGTGGAATGTATCGCCAGCCAGAGTGATCAGGTGTCTTAAGCCCCATAACAAATAACCCTGGGGACCTAGATGCTGCTTCAGTTCACCTGTTGGCGGGGGTGGTCGGGCAGGTGCTGTGTGCCTGCTGATAGGTCCCACCCTAGGCAGTGAGCTGGGGAAGGTGGGACCCCAGCCTCTTTGGAGGGGACAGAGGGAATATTTCTGGGATGTCTTCTCCCCAGAGTGTGTGAGTGTGTGTGTGTGAGAGAGAGCAGGGAGTGGAAGAGTCCCATAACCAAGTCCAGGGTTTGCAGTCCCTAGGATCATACCCTGTGCACCCCAAATTGTTTCCTGACAGCTCTAGGGGTGCCAGAAATGGCTTTTAACAATATTGGCCACTTGGTGTTCTGGAGGATAAATGTGCTGTTGGGGCCTGGGCTCTGGGATAGGGAGAGGGAAGCCAGCAGGCTCCCCTTTAAGTTTTTGGAAGAGCTCCCGCACCAGCCTTTGCCTCATCCATAAAGGAAGTGCACTCAGCCTACTGCTCCCAAAGCC
The DNA here is from genome assembly GCF_000001405.40 of Homo sapiens. Taxonomy (NCBI): domain Eukaryota; kingdom Metazoa; phylum Chordata; class Mammalia; order Primates; family Hominidae; genus Homo; species Homo sapiens. The sequence continues at coordinate 58,472,193 of NC_000016.10, forward strand.
CTTACCAGCTGCAGAGTATTCACTCTGTGCTTGGCCTATGTGGACGGAGCAGAGGAGCAGTTGTCAGAGATGACCCAGAGGTCCCTTGCAACCCACAACCTAAGGTGAGCACCCAGGAGGATGACCAGGGTGGCCTGGGGGTGCTTTTCCCCATCACAGCTTAGGGTCCATCTCTGAAAGTGCCTGGGTTGGGAAAGGCCGAATTACCCTGGAGTAGAGCATGGTGTTGCCATTCGAGTGTGGTGGGAAAGGCCTGCTGTCAAGCACGTAGGGCCCTCTGACCCCGCACTGGGGCCCGGCTGCCTGTGTGTGATTGCCAAAGGGAGAGGCGGGATGCTGGCTTCACCCGACCCCCTGGGACCATGCAGGAGAGAATAACTTAGAAGTTACGTTAGGTCTCTTGGGTGCAAGTGACAGAAACCGAACTCAGACTGATACAAAGAGAGGAAGATGGGGTGTCCCTGGCCAGCACAGTGGACACAGGGCCATCGGCCTCTGTCTCTCTCTCCCTCATTCCTACTAGTTTGGTTCTCTGGATTGGTTGAGCTCTAAGTCAGGCCCTTCCTCGCAAGGGCAGTGTGGTTGCTGGCTCACAGACCGTCCTCCTGAAAACCCCATTGCTGGGGAAGAGCTTCCCCTCTCCAAGGATTCCAGTAAAGGCCTTCGAGACCGGGCCCAGGGCTCGGTCCACTTGGTTTCCAGGCCACCCAACCCCTCTGTCTCCTGCCTCAGTGGCTTCTCATTGGCTTTGCTGCTTTATCCTCATTGTCTTCTTCTGGGGCTCAGTGCTGGGACATCTTCTTCCCTGTCCTCATTCACTCCCTAGATGACCTCATCTAGTCTCTCTATGATGATATCTTTGAAGTGACTCCTCCCAAGGTTCTGAAGTACAAATTGTTTTCTAAAAACTGTATTATGTATTATCCTTCCCTCTGTTCCTTCTCCTCCTTCCTCCCTTTCTCTTCCCTTCATTTCTTTCTTTAGAAAGACAGGGTCTTACTTTGTTGCCCAGGCTGGAGTACAGTTGCCTGATCACAGCTCACTGCAGCCTTGACCTCCTGGGCTCAAGCGATCCTCACGCCTCAGCCCCCGCCCCTAAGTAGCTGAGAACACAGGCATATATCACCACACCCAGCTGACTTTTAAATTTTTGTGGAGACAGGGTCTCACTATGTTGCCCAGGCTGGTCTTAAACTCCTGGGCTCAAGTAATCCTCCCACCTTGGCCTCCCAAAGTGCTGGGATTACAGGCCTGAGCCACCGTGCTAACCTGAAGCACAAACTCTTACATCCACCTGCCCACGGGGAGCTCCACCTGGCTCAGGTCTAAAACCACACCCCTCATCTTTCCCCCAAACCTTTTCTCAAGGTCTTCCCTAAATCATAAATGATAGCTCTATCCTTCCATAGCTCCACCAAGTCACCCTAACTTCTCTCTTCCTCTCCTGCCCATGTCTGATGGATCCGTGAGTCCCCCTAGCTTTACCTTCAGAACATACCCAGAAGCTGAGGACTTCAGCCACCTCCTGCACTCCCGCTGTGTGGCAAGCCAGCAGCACCTCAATAACTGGTCTCCCCATTTCCACCCTAACCCCCAGCTCTGTTCTGCACATTGCAGAAGGAGGGATCCTTCATGATGAAAACTGTATCACATCAGCCCCCTGCTCAAAACCCTCCAGTGCATGTTTATACTCAGAGTAAAAGCCAGTTTCCCTAACAACCTTCAGGGCTGAACGGGACCAGCACTCCAACGCTTACCACCCCTGTCCTCATCTCCTCCCCTCCTGGCTCACTCTGCTCCAGCCACCCTGGTTTTTTCACTTTTCTTTTCTTTCCCTTTTTTTTTTTTTTTTTTTTTTTTTTGAGAGAGAATCTCTCTCTGTTACCCAGGCTGGAGTCCAGTGGCGTAATCTCAGCTCACTGCAACCTCTGCCTCCCAGGTTCAAGTGATTCTCCTGCCTCAGCCTCCCAAGTAGCTGGGATTACAGGTGTGCACCACACACCACACACCCGGCTAACTTTTGTATTTTTAGTAGAGACGGGGTTTCACCATGTTGGCCAGGCTGGTCTCGAACTCCTGGCCTCAAGCCGTGCACCTGCCTTAGCCTCCCAAAGTGCTGGGATTACAGGCGTGAGCTGGCTTCCTTTCATTTGCTTGCCTGACCGGCTTCCTTTCGTTTGCTCAAACATGCAGGCGCCTGCCTCCTGGCCTTTGCGCTTGCTGTTCCCCCTGCCCTGAGTGCCCTTCCCGGACATCCCAACGCTCGCTCCTGGATCTCCTTCAAGTCTTGCTTGCCTCCCCTTCTCAGCAGGTGGCTTCTCACTCTTACCACCCTGTTTCACATCCCTCTCTCTCCCCTCCTGTGAAGCTGCTTCCTGCATTGCTTAGGTCGTCTGACACTCTGTGAATTTACTTAGGTTTGTTGATTTTTTGCCTCCCCTCCAGCACCCAGAAAGCTCCCGAAGGTAGATATGTTTGTCTGTAATGGTCAGTATTTTATCTCCAGTCCTAGAACACAGTAGGTGCCAAATCAGTATCTGGTGAATGAATAAATGACTTAGGCCTGGGCCACTCCTGGGGTATGGACATTCGGGCCCAAACCACATGTACTGAGAATGGGGAAGGGAGGTTTCCCAAAAGGAAACCCAGTGCTGTTAGGAGAAAGGACCTTGGTGTCAGGTGGGGACCAATGCAGGTAGCCCCTTCTGCAGACATTGCATTTGAGGCAGGAAAGCTCTGGGAGTTGCTTGGAACAGAGTCCCTCTCTGCCAGATGAATGTCATTCCTCAAATGCTAATAAATTAGGCATTTCAGAGAAGTAAGGGGCTTTCCGTGACAAAAATGCCCAGTAAGAAAGATGCCCCTCGGGCTCTCTCTTTACTGGAGACTGTATTGCAGACTCCTGTGCCAGAGAAGTTTCATTGACTCAGTTTACCTGTTTGAATCTTGCACAAAGATCCAGGATATGTGTATCTGGGAAATTTGCCAGCTTGGGCAAAGATACACAGCTGAATTGAGTGAGGCACCCGTGTAAAAGAAATGCGAGAATTCGTGACAAAAAGTGCCAGTTGCTTTTAACCTTTTAATGTAGGTCATGGTTACCCATGTCAGTATAATTATTGTGAGCTTGTGAGGTGTGGGTTAGGAGGGGCTGGCTCACTGGTTTAAACTGCCAGAAGAGAATGGCATCATGGATTATGCTGCCTGCTGGAGAGAGGAAGTTGCAGGTTTGCTCTAGCATTTCCCTGTTTTTCTCTGGGAAAGCCCCACCCTTTCCTTTTTCCTTGATTTCCTTTAGCACGATAGGGTGGGTCTCCAAGAAAAATATCCCAAGTTTAGATTAGCTTCAGCTGTGTGTAACAGAAAACCCATGGTAATAATAAGTAAGATAAAAGTATTTTTTTCTCTCTCATAACCAGGATCTCAAAATAGAGGATTCCCAAATCATGGCTTCATGATTCTCAGGTACCTTGACTCTTTATTTCTATATCACTACTATGCCACCTTTAGAATCCTGCCTTTGAGCCTAAAATGGCTGTTCAAGCTCCTGCCATCACATCTGTATTCCAGCCAGGAGGCAGGAGGAAGAGTCAAAGAATGGCATGTCTCCCCTTTTTTTTTTCAGACAGAGTCTCACTCTGTTGCCCAGGCTGGAGTGCAGTGGCACAATCTTGGCACACTGCAACTTCTGCCTCCCAGGTTCAAGTGATTCTCCTGCCTCAGCCTCCCAAATAGCTGGGGTTACAGGTGCTGGCCACCACACCTGGGTAATTTTTGTATTTTTAACAGAGATGGGGTTTTGCCATGTTGGCCAGGCTGGTCTTGAACTCCTGACCTCAAGTGATCCACCTGCCTCGGCCTCCCCAAGTGCTGGGATTACAGGCATGAGCCACTGCGCCCAGCCATGTCTCCCCTTTTAAGAACACTGCCTGAAAGTAACATGCTTCCATTTACCTCGCACTGGCAGAACATCACGTCATCATAAACAAATTTTATTCCCATCATCCACCTACTCATCTAAAATATGGGGATTATTATTAAGGAAGAAGGGGAGAACAGATATGGGGGGATAATTAGCAGTCTCTGCTGCAGTAGGACTCTTTCACTGGTTCCCTATAGAAGCTGCCTAAATGGAATGTGTTATTGGAATTCTAGTTCCATCTGGCCTTGCCCTTGGTCTTAGAATTAGAGGCCTGTTGTGTCTATTGTAATGTCCGTGCTTAACACCTGGAGCCATGTTGTGTAGAGAAGCAGAGTTTACACGTTGGTGCTGTACATCACCTTCTTACTTTATGAAAGCGCTGTGTTATGTCCTTTCTAAGATGCACCTTTTTTTTCATACTTTAACATCTCTAAGATTGGGATGCATCATACAGTCTCTGTTGGCAAGGGGGGCCTCATGCTGTTACTGCCATCACATGAACATCAGAATTTGCGAGTGGATGTCAGCAGCTCAGAAGGAAATCCCAGAGATAGTAGTAGAGCATCCTTGATGCTGGAGAAGCCCAGGCTGTGTGGAATAGCACAGCATTAAAAACTCCATGATAGAGAGATTAAGAGACATTGGACTCGAAATGTGAAAAGGAATACCTTAAACAATTTATTTCAATTATATTTTCCTTTTTAAAAATTTACAAAAGTGATAGATGCTTTTTTAAAATCTGGATCTAATATATTCTAAAAGAGTTCTTTCAGTAAGTACAAAAAAACCCCTGAATGACAGGAACTCATCATAAGGGTAGCAGTTCTGACACTACTTTATATGTATCCCAGGAATGAACAAATAAGCAAAAATATTATGGATGAGAGCCAGGTTTCTCACCACTGGAGAAAAACAATTGCAATCAAACGGGGGAAGCTAGAATGCACTCTGTGGTGTTGAATTAGAGTTAAAGGGATCAGTATAAATTCCAGATTCCATATATATGATATATATGTGATATATATATGTGTGATATATATATATGTGATATATATATATATATGTATGTGTGTGTGTTAGTGTCTTGCATACATTTCATAGCTCTGCCTGCTAAGAGGGCCTAGACCAATGACACCCCAGTAGCAATGAGCACACCTGGTGTCCAGATCTTGATTTCTAAACGTCATTCTCCAATAAAGGGAACTAGGTCTCCTTGGAGAAATGGTTGATTTCATGGTTGAGGCAGAGAAAGTACAAGATGAGTTTAGAACATGTAATGAGGCTAGAATATTTGAAACTCAAAAAATAATGGGTACATGTTGAAAGCACAAAAGAGCCACCTTAAGGGAACTCCCAATGGCCAAGCCTGGCCCAGTTTGAACAATGAAACAAATAATGATAGCAATGGCTTTTAACCCACAGGGTAAAATAAATATCCATGAGTCCTTATTGATATAAATAAGTAATTGAATAAAGGAGGAAAAAGGACAACTCTTTCTTACAGGATAATTCCAATAAGTGTAGAAGAGATTATGGAAATAGAAAATTATCTTCTTTTCCTCAGCAGGAAAAAAAAAAAGAAAATTATCATTAGGCAACCACCAAAGTAATAATTGCTGTAGGCAAGAATCAATAGTTGTTAAAATTAGCAGGGGTAAGGGGGGTGGAGGGGGTGGGGAAGTATGATGAGACATAGGATGTTTACATAGTGTCAAAGTATCTTCCCACACTGCTTACAAAGGGAAAAATAGTAACATTTCAGTGGAGAAACCTGGCAGAGAGCTCCTTATCAAGGGATCAAGGTTAACGTCCTCTGTAATAAGACAGATTGACATCATGTGCCTGCTGATACAAACTGAGAAGGGCACCTCCTTCTGTCGTATTCTTGCCAAAAATGTATAACCTCAGTCTAATCATGAGAAAACAACAGACAAACCCAAAGCGAGGACATTCTACTGACTAACTGGCCAGTACTCTTCAAAAGTGTCAAGGTTGGCCGGGTGTGGTGGCTCACGCCTGTAATCCCAGCACTTTGAGAGGCCAAGGTGGATGGATCACGAGGTCAGGGGTTTGAGACCAGCCTGGCCAACACGGTGAAACCCTGTTTCTACTAAAAATTCAAAACTTAGCCAGGCATGGTGGCGGGCACCTGTAATCCCAGCTACTTGGGAGGCTGAGGCAGGAGAATCACTTGAACGTGGGAGGCAGAGGTTGCAGTGAGCCGAGATCGCGCCATTGCACTCCAGCCTGGGCGACAATATGAGACTCCATCTAAAAAAAAAAAAAAAGTGTCAAGGTTATAAAAGATGGGCTGATAAACTGTCCCATTTGGAGAAGGCCAAGGAGGACATACCAACTAAATACGATGTGGCATCCTGGGTTGGGTCCTAGACCCAAAAAAGGCATTATTAGGAAAGCTGGTAAAATATATGTACGTTCTGTATATTACTTAACAGTATGTATCAGTGTTTAATTTCCTGGTTTCTCTAATTGTATTATGGTTCTGTAGCATGATAACATTGGGGGAAGCTGAGTGAAGGGTATGTGGGAAATGTCTGTGTTTCTGTGCTTTTTTGTTTTTTGTTTTTTTTTTTTGTAATTTTTTTGTAAGCCTAAATATTTTTCAAAATAAGTTAAAAGGGGGGAAAGTATTATGTCTTCATTTAACTGGCAGTGGTTTTTTTTTCTTATTGATACATAAAAATTAGTGTCACTTGTAATCAGTGATATCTTAGATTTGATAAAATCTGGTGTATAGGATTAAAAAAAGAATCTCCCTTTTATACCCTTCTAAACCCATATCCTTCCTCAGAGAGAAGCATTGTTACAGTTTACCCTGAATCATTTGAGGATTTTTTTTTGGAAGTTGCCAATATATGTACCTGTTCAATGCATATAATTTTTACATAAATGAGATTATTATTATTATTTTGAGACAGAATCTCACTGTGTTGCCCAGGCTGGAGTGCAATGGCGTGATCTCGGCTCACTGCAATCTTCGCCTCCCAAGTTCAAGCAACTCTCCTGCCTCGGCCTCCCAAAGTGCTGGGATTACAGGTGTAAGCCACTGTGCCCAGCCATAAATGGAATTATTTTTACACATTATTTGGTGACATGCCTTTTTTTCTTAATTGCATATTTTAGAATGCTTTCCCACTCTGTTTGAGTGGAGCTGCCTTGTTTATTTAATGGCTGCATGGTACTCCAGGGTGCAGATGTTCCATAATTTATTTCACCATCCTCCTGGTGCTCACTGAGGTGGTTTCCAGATTGTACTCCTCCACTCGGCTGTGCAGTGAGCACCCTTGTGTACTGCCTCTTAGTGCACACATGGGTGTTTTTCTTTAGGATAAATACCTGGACACAGAATTGCAGAACTGACAGATATTTGCATTTAACAGACTACCAAGTTGTTCTCCAAATAAAGTTGAACCCACTGCCATCCAGCCAGCAGCATGAGTGTGTGCCCACTTTCCCAGAACCTCACCAACCTTGCACATTATCAGTCTTTTAGTAAGTTGTGGTCTGTGTGAAGAATGATTCATTCGTTCATTTACTTACATGATTGAACAGAAATGTTGAGTGTCTGCCCTGTGCCCAGCACTGTCATAGACACAGGGAACATCCGAGCGAACAAAACAGATGTAGTTCTTGTCCCCTAGGAGTGTCTGAGGAGCAATGGTCTGAGCAGGTCATGTTGCTCATTGTTTCACGTGCATTTCTCTGACGGCCAGTGAGGCAGAGCAGATGCTTTTCCTGTGTTGTTTCTTCTCTGAATTCCTATTCCAGACCTTCGCCCACTTTTCCATTGAGTGCATAGTATTTTCTTTCTCCTTATTGAGCCCTAGAATGGGAGTGCTACTAAGTCTGTCCCCTTTAGGGGATTTCGGCAAACCTGGTGGGGAGACTGGAGACACAGGTAGGATTTGAGAGGAAGGAGGGAGCCCAGACCAACCTGTAGGAGGTGGGGAATGTGCAGAGGCTGCATCTGCCCCTCCGATTTTTTGTTTGTTTGTTTGTTTTTGAGACGGAGTCTTGCTCTGTCACCCAGGCTGGAGTACAGTGGCACGATCTAGGCTCACTGCAACCTCTGCCTTCCAGGTTCAAGCAATTCTCTTGCCTCAGCCTTCTGAGTAGCTGGGATTACAGGTGCCTGCCACCACGCCCGGCTAATTTTTGAATTTTTAGTAGAAACAGGGTTTCACCATGTTGGCCAGGCTGGTCTCAAACTCCTGACCTCAAGTGATCTGCCTGCCTTGGCCTCCCAAAGTGCTGGGATTACAGGCGTGAGCCACCGCACCCGGCCCTGCCCCCTCCAAGTTTTGTGGCCAAACTCACTGACCTGGAAGCCTCTTGACAGCCAGCCCTGTCAAACAGCCTTGTACCAGAGTGGCCTCACCACCTTGGTGGTGTGCATTTGAATACTGCTTTATGCCTATAACTGACATTGGAACAGTGGCATTTGAGCAACAAAAATGTTTATCCTGTGCTTTCCTATGGCTTCTGTGGACAGGTCAGCCGTGGAGATTTCTGGCCTGTCCTCCATCCATTTTACCAGTTATTAAGCCTTTGTGTGTTTGGACTCTGATAGGGTTGGACAAATGAACAAGATCAGGTCGCTGTCCTCTGGGAGATGACAGTAGGGAGATTAAACCACTCATCCATGCATCAGTGGGTTAGCAAGATGATAGAGTCCCAGCCTGGCCAACATGGTGAAACCCCATTACTACTAAAAGTACAAAAATTAGCTGGGCGTGGTGGCAGAAGCCTGTAATCCCAGCTATGTTGGGAGGCTGAGGCACAAGAATTACTTGAACTCAGAAGGCGGAGGTTGCAATGAGCTGAGATCGTGCCACTGCATTCCAGCCTGGGCGACAGAGTGAGACTCTGTCTTAAAAAAAAAAAAAAAAAGATGATAGAGTCCACACATGAGCATATGAGCTCCAGACCTGGACATCATGGGTTCAAATCCAGGTTCCATCACTTACCAGTCGTAATACCTTGGGCTGGTTATGTCACCTGTGTATGCCTCACTTCCTCAGCTACAAAATGAGGACAATAATAGTACCTACCTCCATGAGGAGTTAGGAGGACTAAATGAGCTTATACATGTAAAATGCCTGGAACATAGCATTCATTAATATTAAGGATTGTTTTTCATATTGCTCCCATTGTAGGGATATGATGGGGAAAGGCACTCTAGGCAGAGGGAACAGCATGAAGAAAGGCATGTGCTTCCCATGGGGAGGATGCGCCTACTGAGTCAGCCCGGGTCTTTAGCCAGGAGTGCCAGAATCCAAATATGGCTGCCTAAGACAGTGGGAATGTGCTGGGGGTGCGTGCGTGTGTGTGTGCGCGCGCATGCAGGGTGGTGGTGTGGTTGGTGAGGGCATAGGGATTCACAGGCTCAACCCAAGGAAAAAGCAGAACTGGTCAAGTTCAAGTTTGACATAAATCAAGGAGCCATACCTAGATATGGAGCCTGGGCTGGAGAAATAATGTCCCTTGCATCCTCCTGTCCTGCCACCCACCCGGGGAGGCGGAATGCATGTAGGCGGGTGGAAGCATGCACTCTGGGTCCCCTCCTGGGTTGGCCACAGGAGGACTTGCACCAGTCAGTTGCTCCTTCCTGTGCCTCTTATTTCTCATCCGTGAACTGGGAATCCTGAGGGAAGATTGAGCCCCCATCCCTGCCCCACCCTCAGTGCTGTCCCAGGCCTAGGAGATCAGGATAAGGACAGGGAGAGAAATAAGAGGGTCCAGTTCCCTGGACAGTTCCAGACCCCCTATATAGTGCAGTTGGAAGGTGATTCCCCAATTTCCGGGGTCCCAGATTTCTGGGGCTTCTTTTCCAACCAGGCACTGGTGTAGCGTCGGGTAGGGTGGTGGCCCATGTATCACTGAGCACCAACTCTGATCCAAGCAGTAGGGATACACCAGGCCCACGGCGCCTGGGTGCAGAGGCCTGGACATGAGTCACATGCTCCCACTCGGCCACATCATTCCTTTTCCATGTTACGGACCCCTCCCCCAGGGTAGAGCTGGCTAGGCCTGGGTATGGCTCATTTCATTTGCCTGTGGCATTTCTCATAATAATGGGACCTTATAACTCAGGAGTGTGGCATACTCAAGGCAGTGTGGACCGGACCTTGACCCTGACCTGTGGGTCCCCTTCACCCCTGTGGTTGAAGGAACACCAGCCATTCCACAGTTCTACCTCTTTTCTTGTTTGGCCTCTTCCTGTCCCGCAGGCCTGTTTCCTCTGTCTGGCTTCTCCTGAGCCCTCTAACTTCACTCCATTTAAGTCTTGCCCTCTTCTCTTTCAGTTCTAGCGTTTCTCACTGTGCAGCTGTGGGGGGTAGAGTGGGGAGTGATCCTTCATGTGTAGCACTGTCCCCACATCGCATGACCCTTCTCACCCGTGGTCCCTGGGCACTGAATGTAGGACCCCCAGTCACTGAGACCACCCAAATTCTCCGATGTATTTTCATTTTTTTTCTCCTCTTCTCTTCTCTTTTTCCTTCCTTCCTTCTCTCTTTTCTCTCTTTCCATCCCTCCCTTCCTTCCTCCCTCCCTTCCTTCCTCCCTCCCTCCTTTCCTTCCTCCCTCCCTCCCTCCCTTCCTTCCTCCCTCCCTTCCTTCTTTCCTTCCTTCCTTTTTTCCTTCCTTCTCTCTCTCTCTTTCTTTCTCTCTTTCTTTCTTTTGACAGAGTCTTGCTATGTCACCCAGTGGAGTGCAGCTCACTGCAACCTCCACCTCCCGGGCTCAAGTAATTCTCCTGCCTCAGCCTCCCAAGTAGTTGGATTACAGGCACCCGCCATCACGTGAGCTCAGCTAATTTTTGAATTTTTAGTAGAGACAGGGTTTCGCCATGTTGGCCAGGCTGGTCTCGAACTCCTGGCTTCAAGTGATCCACCTGCCTTGGCCTCCCAAAGTGCTGGGATTACAGGTGTGAGCCACCGTGCCCAGCCCCCCAGTGTATTTTCAAACACCCCCACCATCTCCTACCACTGCTGAATTTGTTCTCCCGATTCAGCAATTGCTTTTTTCTGTAGGATGTATAACTACTACTGATCAATTTAAGCATTTATGGGATAGTTCCAGGAATGATCACAGTCATGGCTTCTATTTTTAACCCTAATAATCAGAGGGTTCGCCTGGCCGGGGTCTCAGCATGGAATCACAGTTACAGAAGCATAGTGGGAGGGGCCTGCTGGCTGCATGGTGGGAGCTGAGTGCTCCTGTTTGCCTTTAAAAAAAAAAGAAGAAGGAGAAAAGGAGAAAAAACACAAATCAGCAACCAGAAGTAATTAAACTGAAATGCAATTCCTCTTAAGGAATCCATGCCACTAACACAGCGCAGGAGCCCATTTCCACACTCCCCGGTGCTCTTTTGCCCTTGAGGGGCCTCTTACATGTCTCTGTCCCCCAGCCAAAGGGGCTGTTTCCTCTCCCTCATCCCCTGTACCATCCCTCCCCTATGTACATCAGCTTAGCCCCTCTGCGTGCAGCTATGAATCTATCCTCTAACAGAAACAAGAGGAAAAACACAAAAAACTCCAAAGTTATCTTAAATCGGCAGGGAAAGGCAAGGAACACACTGATCACCTATGTGATTTTTGTTCCATTCAAATATGTACAAAAATCTTTCATTTAAAAGGCATTTTAGGCTGGGCATGGTGGCTTACGCCAGTAATCCCAGTGCTTTGGGAGGCTGAGGTAGGAGGATTGCTTGAGCCCAGGAGTTTGCGACCAGCCTGGCCAACATAGTAAGACCCCATCTCTACAAAAAATGAAAAGAAAAAATAGTCGGGCTCTGGTGGCACACACCTGTGGTCCCAGCTACTTGGGAGGCTGAGGTGGGAGGATCACTTGAGTCCAGGAGTTCGAGGCTGCTGTGAGCCATGATTGTGCCACTGCACTCCAGCCTAGAGTTTGCTTAGAGCAGAGCCAGGGTTTGTTTTGACCAAGACCCTGTCTCTGAACAAACAAAAAAGGTCATTTTTACACTTTGGGAGGCTAAGGCAGGTGGATCACCTGAGGTCAAGAGTTCAAGACCAACCTGACCAACATGGTAAAACCTCATTTCTACTAAAAATACAAAAAAAATTAGCCAGGCGTGGTGGCAGGTGCCTGTAATCCCAACTACTTGGGAGGATGAAGCAGGAGAATCACTTGAACCCAGGAGGCAGAGGCTGCAGTGAGCTGAGATCGCGCCACTGCACTCCAGCCTGGGCGACAGAGTAAGAATCCGTCTAAAAAAAAATTTATATATTTATTGTTTCTATTGTACCTCAGACTTCTCTGAGGTGGGCAACATGCTCTCATATTGCAAATAAGTGAGGCTTTGAGTGATTTGCTCAAAATAAAGCAAGCTGTTGAATGATAGAGGAGAAATGCCAGCCTGGTTGCAGTGGCTCCAGGCCTTACCCCTGAGAAGTAGAAGCATTTGGATTTATCCCAGGCCCATTTGGTGTGTACAGCTTCTGTCTGCCCAGGCCCAGGTCCCTGCACACGCGTCTCCTGGGAGAGCTCTTGTCTGCACCAGGAGCTGGGCAGGGCGGCTCCTGTCCCTTTAGGGAATAAGAGATCAAGAAGTGGAAAAGCATGATGGAAGGGAAAGAGCCATTGCTGGCCACTTCATAGACCCTGGCGTTCGCCCACCTCTGTGCTACTTAACTCCTTGGAGACCTTAGCCAGGCTTCATTAGTAGGACTCTCATTTTCTTATAACTTATCACACAGCTTCTTAAAAAAAATCATAACTTACTTTTTTTTTTTTTTTTTTTGATGGAGTCTCGCTTTGTCCCCAGGCTGGAGTACAGTGGCGCAATCTCGGCTCACTGCAAGCTCTGCCTCCCAGGTTCACGCCATTCTCCTGCCTCAGCCTCCCGAGTAGCTGGGACTACAGGCACCCACCACCATGCCCAGCTAATTTTTTTGTATTTTTAGTAGAGACGGGGTTTCACCAGGTTAGCCAGACTGGTCTCTTAACTCCTGACCTCGTGATCCACCTGCCTTGGCCTCCCAAAGTGCTGAGATTACAGGCATGAGCCACCACGCCCGGCCCATAACTTTCTTTAGAAGAAACTTCTCTGCCACCGTGCTGTGGAAATGTCTGCTCTGGCGTCTTTCTTGTGGAGCCCCACAACTCCAGCCAAGCCCTGGACTGTCTGTTTTTCATGGGCTGAGACATTCCCGGTTCTCTGGATGATGAGGTCTCTCTCTGCCCCCTTCCCCGCCACCACCTCCGTCACAGGCCATCTGTCCCTGCACTGCCCACTCTCAGCCCTTTTAATAGCATGGGCCTTGGGGAGGATGGTGTCCAGGGTGGTTTCATAACAGGCCGGGGGAGGGGGGCTACAGGGATACCCCAGGGCTACTAAGGGGTTTAATTGAGATGGGTGTTCAGGAAGGCAGGTGGCTAAAATGTCCTGATGCGGAAGAGTTTTCCAAGGAGGGGACCCCTCTTTCAGCTCTCCCAGCCCCCACACCCTGGATGGATGGGTGAGTGTGCACACATCTGAAAGGATGGAAATGGGAGCGGGAGAGCCTTGAGGATGCCTTTCTAAAAATACAGCCCATCTGCATTGTGTTAGCTGGTTTCCTCGGAAACCACTGGGAGCCGGGACTCCAGCATGGCACGTGCACAGGGACCCAGGCCTGCTTTTTCATTTATTGTAACAGGAATTTTCCCATTATATTAAATAATATTTTATTATTGACACACAGTTTATCTTGTACCCTATTGATGGACATTTTCTTCCAATTTTTTTCTGTGTTATAAATGGCACTGTGGTAAGAATTCTTATAGATAAATTATTTGTTGCCATCTCTGGTTTCCTTAGGCAATTTCTCCACGGGAGAGGATTGCTGAGTCTGAGAGTATGAACCTTTTAAATAGTTTTAATTCATTTGTAAAACTGCCCTCCAGAAAGATATGTCCATTTATATACTTACAAGCCATATAAGAAGGTGCCTGTTTCAGTGCACCTTCGCTAGCGGTGTAAACTTTGCCAATGCCATTGGCAAAAAAAGAAAGAGCTATCCATTCATTCATTCATTTGAGACACGGTCTTGCTCTGTCACTCAGGCTGGAGTGCAGTGGTGCAATCATAGCTCCCTGTAGCCTTGAACTCCTGGTCTCAAGTGATCCTCCCACCTCAGCCTCCTGAGTAGCTGGGACCACAGGCTCTCACCACCACACCCAGCTACTTTATTTTTTTCGTAGAGATGGGGCCTTGCTATGTTGTCCAGGTTGGTCCTGAACCTCTGGGCTCAAGCACTCCTCCGGCCTCAGCCTCTCAAAATGCTGGGATTATAGGCATGAGCCACTGTGCCTGGCCAAAAAAAAAAAAAGTATCTTAATTTAAATTTCTTTGACTTCTAGTGAGCTTGAATATTTTTCCATGTATGTACTGGCCAATTTAAATTCTTTTATGAATTTCTAGATTATGTCCTTGGCTAGTTTTTCTCTTGGTGCATTCTGACCTCTGCCATCCTGAAGTTGAGGGATGGTGGTGCCATTCCTAGAGGAATTGTGGGGTCCTGGGACCCTCTGTCTTCCTTCCCTCACCACTGGCTCCTACACACACACACACACACACACACACACACACACACACACACACACACACGCCTGCATGTATGACCCATTCTTCCTCTGAGGTTCAGAAACCCCTGGGGTTTCCCAGCAATTAGGGCCCGGGCCCACCCTCTGGCAGCTGAGCAGCCCCTGTGTATCACCCCTCCCTGTTGGTGGCCTGAACTGAGACCTGCACCCCCTCTTTCAACATCACTCGGCCTGCCACACCACCAGGGCCTCTACTCCCACCCACCCCTCCCTGGCCCATCTTCACAGAGGCTTGTCCTGGGAGCCCTCTGGGGAGCTCTCAGCTCTGTTCCTCTCCAGTCTCTCTATCCTCCAGAACCCCACTGTCCCCTTCAGACACCAGAGGCCCTCGGCAGGGGACTTCTGTCTGCGTCTGACCCTGTGTTTGGCCTCCCTGCACGTGCCCTTCTGTTTCTCAATAAAGGCAGAATGTTGCATGTAATTGTTTTAGGAATCATGACGTTGCTTTTCTGTTTTATTTGGAAACGTTTTAATTTTTAAGAGCAAATAATAGGCTGGGCATGGTGGCTCACACCTGAAATCTCAACACTTTGGGAGACCAAGACGGGTGGATCACTTGAGGTCAGGAGTTTGAGACCAGGCTGACCACCATGGTGAAACCCCGTCTTTACTAAAAAACACAAAAATTAGCAAGGTGGTGGTGTGCACCTGTAATCCCAGCTACTTGGGAGGCTGAGGAAGGAGAATCACTTGAACTCAGGAGGCGAAGGTTGCAGCGAGCCAAGATTACGCCACTGCACTCCAGCCTGGGTGACAGAGTGAGACTCCGTGTAAAAAAAAAAAAAAGAAAAACGGAAAAACAAATACTATAATGGTATCCCCCAAGCCAGACAGGCGGGTCTTGCAGACGGAGGCCTGGGGGCCCTAAGTGCCTGAGTGGGCTGCGCTTGGGGGCCAGGGGGACAGTGCATCTGGTTTCCGCGCTCCCGCCCCAGCCCCGACTTGCGCTGTCCTTCTCCGCCCGGGCGTCCCCGCCGCAGCAGGCCTCAACCTCGCCCTCCCTCCCTAGGCCTCCTGCTCCACGACGTGACCATGGCCGGGCTGCAGGAGCTGCGATTCCCTGAGGAGAAGCCGCTGCTCCGGGGCCAGGACGCCACCGAGCTGGTGAGTTGGAGTCGCGCCTTTGAGGTCTTAGGGCCGAGCGCGCCACCTCGTGGCCAAGAGGGAGACCGCGTGCCTTTCCTGCAGCCGACCCTCCCTAGGGCCAGCCACACCGAGAAGCCCTGTCCCTGCCTGTGGGGGGAGTTCCGGCAGGCCTGAGTGCCACCCAGACCCAGCCAGCCTCACGGTGGCTTCAGCCGTCTTTGAGGCTAAAGGCGCCACAGGAGAGTTATCCCGGCTTTAATGACGAGAAAACCGAGGCACAGAGAGGTGAACCCAGTTGGCCAAGGTCACACAGCTAGTGGGGAATGAGGCCATATCAACCCCTGTTTCTGGACAGCCCAGGAGCCCCAAGTGCTGGCTCCAGCAGGGCATGCTGCTCCTCCGTCTGTGCGCTCTTTTCCTTATCTGCCTCCCAAGCCTCTGCGGCACCTGGGCAAGTCTAACCAACAGTGCCACCCGGGGCAGTGGGACAGAGGCATCACAGGTTATGATTTTGTCCCAAAGACCCCTCCGTCAAGGGACAAGGCATTAGAGGCCAGAGTGACTTTCATGCCACCCTTTTTTGTTGTGACAACACCCTGTCCACCTTCCCTTTCCCTCCCTCCCAGTGCCGTCATACTGGTGACTGTGACACAAACCACTTTCAAAAAGTGTGGGTTCCCTGCTTGTTGGATTCTGAGGCATCAGGGCTGGGGTCCCTGCAAGTTATGCTGCCCGGACCCCCTTCTTTTACAGATGGGGAGGCCAGGAGCCCAGCCCCTCAAATCTGCAGGGCACTGTAGTCTGCCCTGCCCTGCCTCCCCAGCCTCCCATCACCAGGAGGGGAGCCCAGGAGCTACTGAGCAGCCAGGATTGGAACTGTGCAGCCAGCCAGGGATCCAGGGATCCAACCACATGAGGTTGCAGTCCTGCCCCCAGGAAGAGTACAGTGTTATCTTCCAGACAGAACCTTGAGTTAACTGATAAGGCCTGGCTTATCCGAGGGCAGCCACGGATAAGCTGCCCTGGTGGGGTGGTGACTGCACATTTTTCAAGCCCTTTATTCTAAGTTTACTTGCTCCCTGGTCTGAGCCTCCATCAGCTGCTACCCCAGGATGCTTGCAGAAGCCTCCTTGCTGGTCTTTTTGCTTCTGCCTTCGCTCTGTACCCTTTTAAAATAAGCCATGAGCTGGGCATGGTGGCTCACACCTATAATCCCAGCACTTTGGGAGGCCGAGGTGGGCAGATCACCTGAGGTCAGCAGTTTGAGACCAGCCTGGCCAACATGGTGAAACCCTGTCTCTACTAAAAATACAAAAATTAGCCCGGGCGTGGTAGTGGGCGCCTGTAATCCCAGCTACTCAGGAGGCAGAATCGCTTGAACCCGGGAGGTTCAACCCCAAGACTGCACCGCCGCACTCCAGCCTGGGCAACAGAGCAAGACTGTCTCAAAACATAAATAAATAAAAAATAAGCCATGTCACTTCTCTGCTTAACGAGCCATCTCAGTCAGACATGGGACCCAGGATGCAATCTGCACCAGCTCCCCCGCCTGTTCCCAGCTTACTTCTCTCTAGCCTCCTTGAACATGCCCATCATATTCCTAGTACATCTGCTTGGGATACACTAGCCCAGAAATTTGCAGGGCTGGCTCCACTCCTTGTTTTATTCAGGCCTCTGCTCAAATGCTCCCTCCTCAGAGAGTCCCTCTCTAACCCCTGGGTCTAATATTGAAACCCCAACATGCTCTGGCCCTGGCCGTGTCACTTAGCCTGGTTTGTGTCTGCCCCGCCCCGCAGGTTCCCAGGACAGAGATCTGTTCTGTTTTGCACCCCCAGGTCTCCCCAGTGCCTCACACAGCACACATAGCTCTCAGTAAAAACATGGGCTGGGTGGAAGCCACAGATGGTGATACAGCTCAGAAGGAAGAAGTTTCTCAGAACTTTCTAAAAAGTGCCCCCCTACTCCCCACTCCTGCCTGTGTCTTTCTTTCTGTCTTTTCCTTCTTTCTTTCTTTTTTTTTCTTTTCTTCTGAAGCAGGGTCTCACTCTGTCACCCAGGCTGGAGTGCAGTAGTGCCATCATAGCCCACTGCAGCCTCAACTTCCTGGGCTCAAGTGATCCTCCTGCCTCAGCCTCCCGAGTAGCGAGGATCTTAGGCATGTGCCACCACAACTGGCTAATTTTTCCATTTTGTAGAGATCAGTCTTGCTCTGTTGCCCAGACTGGTCTTGAACTTCTGGGTGCAAGTGATCCTCCTACCTCAGCCTTCCTAAGTGCTGGGATTACAGGCCTGAGCCTCTGTGCCTGCCTACCAGCCTGTCTTTTGAGGCATGAAAGCAGAGTTCTCCTGTGAGGTTTTGATAGGGCAGATGGTGGCCCTTGGGGACCCCTGCATCCCATCGCAAGTGCTGAAGTGTGCAGGTTGCGGGACAGCCGCACGGAGGTGCTGCCTGCTGGTATGGAGTGTGCCTCTGTGGTCCAGCAGGGCCCCCCAGTACAATGGGGAGAACTAGGGCATCTTGGCCTGGTAACTTCCATGCCTGTCTCTTCCACTGCCCACCTCAGCTGGGCACCCTTCTCTGCCTACCCTGGCCCAGCCCTCACTGCCCCTCCCTCCCTGACTCAGTGGGCACACTCCTGCCTCCTCATGCCCTCTGGGCACCCTGGCCCTACTGCAGGTGGTGTCTCTATCTACCCATCACGAGGACCAGAGTTTGCCACTATAACATCCTCACCCCTGCATGAGGGTCTCCGTTTCAGATCCTGTGGAGGCTTCTTCCCTCTTTCATGAGTCAGCACAGGCCCCATGCTGTGGGCCTGGGCACATCTGCTTTTTCCAAAGGCACCTCAAAAGCCCCATTCCCGCCAGACATGTTGGCTCACGCCTGTAATCCCAGCACTTTGGGAGCCCAAGGTGGGCGGGTCACCTGAGATCCGGAGTTCAAGACCAGCCTGGCCAACATGGCGAAACCCCATCTCTACTAAAATTATAAAAATTAGCTGGGCATGGTGGCGCATGCCTGTACTCCCAGCTATTCGGGAGGCTGAAGCAGGAGAATCACTTGAACCTGGGAGGTGGAGGTTGCAGTGAGCCAAGATTACACCACTACACTCCAGCCTGGGCGACAGAGCGAGGCTCTGTCTCAAAAACAAAATAAAAGCCGGCCGGGCATGGTGGCTCACACCTATAATCCCAGCACTTTGGGAGGCCGAGGCGAGCGGATCACTTGAGGTCAGGAGTTCGAGACCAGCCTGACCAACATGGTGAAACCCTGTCTCTACTAAAAATACAAAATTAGCCAGATGTGGTGGTGAGCTCCTATAATCCCAGCTACTCGGGAGGCTGAGGCAGGAGAATCACTTCAACCCGGGAGGTGGAGGTGGCAGTGAGCCCAGATCTCACCAGTGCACTCCAGCCTGGGAGACAGAGTAAGACTCTGTCTCTAAATAAATAAAGCCCCACCCCACACCCGACACAGCCTCCTGGATGCTGCAGCGTGGCACCCCATGCAGTCCTACCCCCTCTCTCTGTCTTCAAGAGCTAGTCTGGCTCTCTCAGGCTGTGGCGCTCACAGACGATTCTCCTTTTCCAGCTGCAGTGCTGAAAGCATCCATCCTTTTCACTTTTTTTTTTTTCATTTTATTTAAGACAGAGTTTTGCTTTTGTTGCCCAGGCTGGAATGCAATGGCGCGATCTCAGCTCACCACAACCTCCGCCTCCCCAATTCAAGTGATTCTCCTGCCTCAGCCTCCCAAGTAGCTGGGATTACAGGCATGAGCCACCACACCCGGCTAATTTTGTATTTTTAGTAGAGATGGAGTTTCTCCATGTTGGTCAGGCTGGCCTCAAACTCCCAACCTCAGGTGATTGGCTCGCCTTGGCCTCCCAAAGTGCTGGGATTACAGGCATGATCCACTGTGCCCAGCCCCATCCTTTTCACTTTTTATTTATTTTTTGTTTAGAGATAAGTCTGGCTCTGGCACCCAGGCTAGAGTGCAAGGGGTGTGACCATAACAGCCTCCTCCTTCAGGGAGGTTAGAGAGGGCTCAAGTGATCCTCCTACTTCAGCCTCCTGAGTAGCTGGGACTACAGGCATGCACCACCATGCCTGTCTCATTTTTCTATTTTGTAGAGACATGGGATCTTTCTATGTTGCCCAGGCTGGTCTCGAACTCCTGGCCTCAGGCATTTCTCCCACCTCAGCCTCCCAAGTAGCTGGGATTACAATCGTGAGCCACTTCACCTGGCACCCTGTTCACTTTTTAAATGTTCTGCCATTTGCCAGGTGCAAATTCTTTCAGTCCAGTGGGAAGTGAGGATTTCCACACATCTACTCACAGCCTGCCCGCCCACTGCTGGAGCCTGGCTTTTGCCTTTGGAGACTCCAGTGCCTGGCCTGTCTGGGTTCCTCTGCTCCTATGTCCCCATCCTGCCTCCCACACACCACTCCTCTGCCTCCCTCAGCTGGGCCCGCACTGCCACCTGTTCTCCTCCTCGTGCTCACCCTGTTCCCACGGGACTTCAGGGGCCTCTGCATGGGCTTCTATTCTTCCTGCATTTTCTTGGCTTTTGAGTCCTTCCCCTCCCACACCCTTCATCTCCTGGGGCCCCCAGACCCAGAGAGCATACAGCACACCCTGCCATTATCTGCTCCACCGTGTGTGTGTGTGTGTGTGTGTGTGTGTGTGTGTGTGTGTGTGTGTGTGTGTGTGTGTGTGTGAGAGACAGACAGACAGTCTCGCCCTGTCACCCAGTCTGGAGTGTAGTGCCACAATCTTAGCTCACTGCAGCCTGGACCTCCTGGGCTCAAGTGATCCTCTTGCCTCGGCCTTCCAAAGTGCAGGAATTGCAGGTGTGAGTGACCACGCCCGGCCTTCTTTTTTGTTAGCTTTTGCTTGTAACAAAACTGCCGCCTCTGTCCTTCTCTGAGATAATTGCCCTCTTAAGGTCCCGAGTATAGACATCTCCCCTTCCTTCTCCTCAGCCCGCTTGTGCAAGGTCTTTGAGTGAGAGATTCATGATCAGCCCCAGGCCCTTGTCCTCCCCCTCCAGCCCCATCCTTTCCCTCCTCTCCTTCCCTCCTCCCTGCAGAGCCACCACAGGCCTGGAACGAATCTGCAGAAGAAGCCCAAGTGGGTGTGGCCATTCTCTATGTGACAGTCGCAGGCAGCCCAAAGCCTGGCTTTCCCCTTTGGGCATGGGAACCCCTAGTGCCCTCTGATTTTTCTCCACCACCTGGCCTGCTGGAATGCAGGTGGCTGAACTCTTCCTTATTTTGGGAAAAATGGCAGAAATACTGGTTTCATTCTTCTGCTTTCCACTCCTGTGATTTGGGGTCATTTTCCTCCTTGTACTTACCTAGCTGACTGCTTCCCTCATCCTCCTGTGGCACCCTATTTCTCATGTGACTGTCTCAGTCATCCGTGGTTTGTTTTTGTTTGTTTGTTTGTTTTTGAGACAGAGTCTCACTCTATCACGCAAGCTGGAGTGCAGTAGTGCAGTCTCAGCTCACTGCAACCTCTGCCTCCCAGGTTCAAGTGATTCTCCTGCCTCAGCCTCCCTAGCAGCTGGGATTACAGGCATGTGCCACCACACCCAGCTAATTTTTGTATTTTTAGTAGAGACACGGTTTTGACACGTTGGCCAGGCTGGTCTCGAACTCCTGGCCTCAGGTGATCTGCCCGCCTCAGCTTCCCAAAGTGCTGGGATTACAGGCATGAGCCACCATGCCTGGCCAATCCATGTATTTATTCCTTAGGAGGATCTGTAGCAGGCACAGTCCAGTGCTGGGATACAAAGGGCAGAACGATGGGCAACACTGAGCTTCTCCTCTAATCCTCACAACACTGAGGCTCGGAGGCTGAGTGAGCTGCCCGGGAGTTCACAGCCTCGCAGAGCGGGGCAGAGAGGTTTCTAGGCAGACGCAGGGGAAGGCAAGGCAGAACCTGTGAGTTCTCCTTTACCTGGACGTGTGCTGGTCCCTGATTAGTTTCCCTCACCAGGCCTGAAAGTGGCCCGAGTCTGAGCTGGCCAGCTGTCTTGTTGTACAGATGGGGAGACGGGGACCCAGAGTGGGTGAGTCGCACAGCCAGAGCCAGGCCCCCGCAGAGTGTCTGTGGGCCCCTCGGCCTCAGGGAGAGCCTGGCAACTCAGACGCGGGGTTCCAGCCCCCGCTCCTCCCCAGCCATCTGTGCAGCCTCGTAACCTGTGGGTGCATTTTGAGCCTCTCTCCCCTCATCGGTGAAGCCTGATTGTTCATCCAGATCTGTTTGTGTCTGGGGAGCCCCTTCCATGCCAGCATCATACTGAGAGCACAGCTAGATGTGGTCCCGCCCTCGTGGTGCCCGCGGTCCGGTGGGTAGAACACGCACTAGCCAGACTCAAACGGTTCACTGTGAAGTAAGCTCCAGTGATCTGAGGCACAAAGCGACCAGGTCTGGAGAGGTGGGAGCAGCTGCCACTGTAACTTTGTGTGGATTGGAAAAGGTCCCTCTTTCCCCCTCACTGTGTGGGCCTCAGCTTCCCCATCCCTACAAGTGGGCATGTTAGTCACGCCCACCTCCCCCCTTCCCTCCCTTCCTTCCACCCTTGTGGCCTGATGGTCAGACCATGAAAAACATCTATGGGAGCAGAAGGGCAAAGTGACCAACAGCAAGGATTTGCAGTGGGACATTCCAGCACTTTCTAGCCCTGTGACAGCCTCTCTGAGCCTCACCCTTGTGGCCTGTAAGATGGAATCCACACCTCCTTAATGAGGACGCTCACACGCTCCTCCACCAAGTACTTGGTAGCCAATGCCTGGCACTTCGGTGAGCCCTTGGTCACTTTTGTTAACATTGAGACAGACTGGTGGGCTGGGTGCGGTGTTTCATGCCTGTAATCCCAGCGCTTTAGGAGGCCAAGACAGGAGGATCATTTGAACCCAGGAGTTGGAGGATACAGTGAGCTGTGATTGCACCACTGCACTCCAGCCTGGGTGATAGAGTGAGACCCTGTCTCTAAAAAAAAAAAAAAAGAAAAGAAAAGAGAAAAGACAGACTAGGGGACAGAAATTGAGTCTGCTAAGGCCCCACGGGCTCCCCAGACCAGCCAGGGCCTAACTTGCCACCCCCTCTGTTTGCCTTCCCCTAGGAGAGCTCCGATGCCTTCCTCTTGGCTGCAGACACAGACTGGAAGGTAGGTCAAGGCTCAGACCCCCAAGATGTGGGACTGACAGCTGGCAGCCCCTCACCCCACCTGGCCAGGTCCCAGAGGAGGGTCACAGCCCTTCTGTGTGCCCCCTGCCTAACAGAGAGATGCTGGGGTGGGAGATGAACTGGCCCTGCTTCTGCGAGCAGCAGGGAAGAGACGGGGCCTCTAGGGGGAGTGAGAATGGAAAAGAGAGTGAGGGATGTTGTCATCTGAATCAGCATTTTCCTCCAATGAAAGGCAGGTTGACTCTAAAATAGCTCCTGTTTCCATGACAGCTGTTGCCAGGACAACCCTGTCCTCCTTAGTTGATGCCAGGTTCTCCGTGGAAACTGAAAGCGCCCTTTGTTTTTATTCCTCCGGGTGATGATGTTGCTCACTCGGCCAGTCGTTTCTCCCCTCTGAGTCCCACAGTGACCATTGATTTCCGGGTCTGGGAAAATGCCTGACAGCAGACACAAGGGAACCCTGCTGGGTTCTGGGGCCCCACTGGCCATCCCGACATGCTGAACCAATTCAGACCCTTCCTCCTGGTAAGGTGGAAGCAGCTCCCGAGTCTCTGTCCTTGCCTGGGCCTGACCTGGTTTTGGGTCAGCCTCCAAGCCCCGTGACAGCACCAGCCAAGTGGTCTGGATGCAGGGGTGACACGGAGGCGGGGCTGCCCTTTGGCTCGTCCCCCAGTGGGAGCAACGCGAGGATCAGTGTGAGAATCTGGGCCTGTGTGCTGGTCCCTCGGTCACGCGCCACTTCAAGGACGAGAGGGGAGACTTCAGGGCAGCCAATGTACATGTGCTCAGATCCTCCGGGAATGCCATCTCCAAGCACAAAGGGCTCTGGAGCTGGAAGGAGAGGCTAGGGTTCCGGCAGTGGGGAGTGAATGGGAGCCCAGGAGGTGGGATGGGAGGGAAGTGGTCGGGAGCTGGCCCAGGCTGGTGGGAAGGGACAGCCGGAGATCAGGGCAGGCTCACCAGGGGATTTTCTTTGTCCTCCATGCTGCAAATGAGGATGAGCTATGCAGGCAAATGGGCCCTGGAGGAGGGGGTTGGCCAAGTAAAATCTCAGAGCAGCCAGCCGGTGCCTCAACACACTGGTCCCACAGTGTGGGAGGCCGACGCCAACAGTGCTGATGCCAGCCCCAGCACACAGGCCCACGGTGTGGGGGACAGGCAGAGGGGAATCCTGGAGTCGTGGAGGAGACCCTACCATACCTCTGGGTTCCCAACTGCTGCTGCGAAGCTGCCTCTGGCCCCTGAGCCCTCTGAGCTGCAGCCCCGGAGTTGCGGGGCCCAGGGTGTGTGGGACCCCGGTTCTCAGGATCCTCTGCTTGGTAAAAGGCAGGTTGCATTAAAAGGCACCTTCCTGTCCACTCCTGTCACACCACATGGAGGCAGCATTTTTTTCGTTTTTTGTTTTAGAAAAGCAGCCACAAGAATGGATGGTCGTTATCTGGGCCAAGACCTGGCAGGGATTTTATCTCCTGCTCACTATGGCAGGCGTTGTCACTGTCCCCTGCCTCCGTGGGGGCAGCCAGTGGGGGAGGTAGTATAGCAGAGGGACTAACATGAGCCAGACAGACCTAGGTTCTGGCCCCGCCACTTCCAAGCATGTGACCTCCAGCCCAAGTCACTCCATTTGTCTACCGCATTTTCAGGGAGACAGGCAGCACGGACCTCCCGAGTGTTTCTAAGGCGATGGTGCCCATGGGCCCCTCATATGGACACTCAGCTGACCGTGACGAGTGGCCACCAGAGTGTGGAGTTAGCACCAAACTGCCTGGGTGTGGTTCCTGGCTCTGTGCCCACTAGCTGTGTGATGTTAGGCAGGTTACCAAACCTCCCTGTGCTTTATTTGCCTCATTTGTAAAGAGGGTATTAAGAGAGAAAATGAGTGCTCGCCCCAGCAGCACATATACCAAAATTGGAATGATACAGAGAAGATGAGCACGACCCCTGTACAAGAATGACCCACATATTCGTGAAGCCTTCCATACTTAAAAATATTTTCCAAAAAGAGGATAAAGGCTGGGTGTGGTGACTCATACCTGTAATCTCAGCACTTTCGGAGGCTGAGGCAGGTGCATCACTTGAGGTCAGGAGTTTGAGGCCAGCCTTGCCAATATAGTGAAACCCCATCTCTACTAAAAATACAATAATTAGCCAGGTGTGGTGGCAGGCGCTGGTAGTCCCAGCTACTTGGGAGGCTGAGGCAGGAGAATGGCTTGAACCCGGGAGGCGGAGGTTGCAGTGAGCAGAGATTGCACCATTGCACTCCAGCCTGGGCAACAGAGCAAGACCATGTCTCCAAAAAAAGAAGAAGAAGAAAAAAAAAGAGGGATAGAGAGAATGGGTAAAGCACTCCAAGAAAGCCTGGCACATGGAGGACATTTGAACATAGTGTTTGCCACTCTTGATTCTGAGACCTCAGGCCCACCCAGAGTGCTGGGGTACTAGTAGCTGCCGCTGCTTACTAGCCAAGTGAGGAAATTACCTAACCTCTCCAACTCTCAGTTTCCTCATCCCTTCTCATAGGTCCATGAGGATTATATGTATTATCCTTGCAGCTGCCTGTGCAGTAGGCACTGCTGTTTCTCCCATTTACATACGGAGGCTCAGAGAGGTTGATTGACTTCCCCAAGGTCACACAGCAAAGAAGTGGCAGAGCTATGAGTGGCACCAGGGTTTGGCTGGCAAGACCTGGGTTTGGCTGGCAAGACCTGAGCCTGCCTTGTCTGGCCACTGTAACTGCACAACCACCAGAAAAAGGGCCAACAATTTGGAGAGGCACACAGGCTGCCTCATTTCTCCCCTGCCAGGACCTGGGCAGGGGTGGGGTCAGATCTAGAGTGATTTCTGCAGTTTTTTCTGATTCTCACAGCAGCTTGGTGAGAAAGGCACACAGTCCCTGCTTTACAATTAGAAGCCTGAGACACAGAGAGGTTAAAAAAAAAATCTTGCCCAAGGTCACCCGGCTGGTAGGGGGCCAGGAAGGACTTAAACCCACGTCTGTGGGTTTGCAGACAGCTGAGCAGTCATGGAGGCTGTGGCTTGGAGTGGGCAGTGTCGCAGGTCAGCTTGTCACCTGGGTCCAAAGGTGGGGAGAGGCCACTCAGGGGTCAGAGGTTGGAGTGGGCGTAGGATTGGGTGGGGCCTTGGGGGACATGGGAGGGCATTGTGGGCAGAGGGCAGGGCTGTGCCTCAGTTTTCCAAGCCTCTTCCTGTGCCACAGTGCCTGCAGGAATGGGGAGCATGGCCAGGAGGTGACGGGCCAGGGGGACTCCCCATTCTACTTCCTGCTGCCCTGGGGAGCACAGGGCCTGTCAGTCTTCCCTAGGCCTCCAGAGTAAGAGGTGAGAGATGGAATAGGTGCCCCCAGGCAGAGGACATGACCAGCAATAGTGTACATAGCAGGTGTCGACCAGGTCAGCAGGTACCCAGAGATGAAGAGATGACCACTTTCTCCAAGGGCAGCCAGTCAGCATGCAGGGCCATCAGCATGGGCTGGGGTGAGTGGCGTGTTCCTTCTTCAGCAAGACAGGGAGAGGAAGCCGGATAGGAGGCAGCTACTGACGTTGACATGCCCACCTCCTGTAGACCCACCCGGCCCTTGTTCCTGGAGGCAACCAGTTTGGGGCTTGGCTCTCGGGTATCTGGGGAGCAGGACACTAGGGCTATCTCAGGCTCTGTGCCCTGACCCCACCCTTGCCCAGGCCCTGGCAGGAGAGAAATGGGGCAGTCTGTGTGCCTCTCCAAACTGTTGGCCCCTTTTCTGGCAGTTGTGCAGTTATCGTGGCCAGACAAGGCAGGGTCAGGTCTTGCCAGCCAAACCCTGATCCCACTCATAGGTCTGCCACTTCTTTGCTGTGTGACCTTGGGCAAGTCAGTCAACCTCTCTGAGCCTCCATATATAAATGGGAGAAACAGCAGTGCCTACTGCACAGGCAGTTGCAACGATAATACATATAATCTTCATGGATTTGGGAGCATAGGCACGCAGCAGCCCCCTTCTCTCTGTGGCTCCTGCTCTCCCAGCCTTGGGCCCCCTCCTCTGCTTCCCTCTCTGGCCTATTTCCTCTCCTCCTGTGCACTTCTTGGCCTTTCTTCTCCTCTGCTCACTCCACCTGCAGGCCTCGGGCGAGCTCGCCACCCAGATCCTTGCTGCCCAGGAGAACAGGGCACGGAGCCTGAGATAGACCTAGTGTTCTGCTCCCCAGAGACCCGAGAGCCAAGCCCCAAACTGGTTGCCTCTGGGAACGAGGGCCGGGTGGGTCTACAGGAGGTGGGCATGTCAATGTCAGCAAGCTGCCTCCTAGCCCCGCTTCCTCTCCCTGGTGGTCTGGAGCCCCTGGCAGCAGGGTGAGGGTGGGGAGGGCAGAGCTGGTGTGTGCCTGACCATACCCCTGGCCCTGCTATCTGCCCAGGGCCCCTGGCCCCCGGCCCCCAAACTCCATTTTCAGCATGTGGGGAAACCCCCTGTATCTGCGTGGGCAAGGTGGGATTTTCATCCCTGGTGGGTGGAGAAGGAGCAGCCCCTTGAAGCAGGGTGATAACCCAAGTTGCCCCAGAAAGCAGCAGCTCCCCAGGCCTCCACAAGGTTAAGCGATGGAACCTTCCTAATGGGAAGGCTGGGCGTGGGGGTCTGGTCCCCAAGATGTTGGGCTTGGGGCCCTCTCGGGCCCTCCATACTCCCCAAGGTGTGGGTCAAGGGCTCTAGCTGTCTGGGCAGTGCCCATGCACCCTGCCCTGCCCCGCATTGGTAAGCTGTGCATGTCTGTGACGACCCTGTGTGTACCTGACATGGGTGAGTCTGTACGTGTGGTCTCGGCTTTTGTATTCGGAGGATCCCGTGTGAGCTGCAGCTGTTGGCGTGTGCCTATGTGCTGGGGGCGGATGCAGGGGCTGGGGACCATCAAGGATGATGTGTGGCTGGGGTGGGAGGAGCAGTGACAGGGCTGGGGCAAGGAGGACTTCAGAAGCCAATTGGAGCCAGGCTTGTCTCCCAGCAGCCAATATGGGAGCTGGGGCTCCTGGTAAGCGAGTGGCTGCTCAGAAACCCTGCGGGGAGGAGGGGCTAGCTAGGCTGGGCCAGGATCCCTGTATAAATGGCCCAGGAGCTGTGCCCCATCACAGAGCCGACCATCTCCCACTCGAGCTGCCCCCGCCCTCTGGACCCGAGTGACTCAGGCCTTTGTTTGTCCTTCCTGGTAGAGGCGGGTTCCCTCCCTCGGCAAGATGCCGGAGTGCT
The DNA here is from genome assembly GCF_000001405.40 of Homo sapiens. Taxonomy (NCBI): domain Eukaryota; kingdom Metazoa; phylum Chordata; class Mammalia; order Primates; family Hominidae; genus Homo; species Homo sapiens. Next base: position 58,500,262 of record NC_000016.10, read on the forward strand.
GGGATGGGGTGAGTGAGGGCGCTGCGGGCATCAAGGTGGGCCGGGAGGATGGTGCATCCTTATGACCCACCGCAGGGAGGAAGTGCCCCCCTCAACCCACATCTGGTGGCAGCCCGGCCTTCAAATAGCCTCACCCTGGGGTCACTGAGACACGGCCAGAGTGCTCCAGGTTCCCTGGTGATCCTGTTTGCAGGAGTGGCTGGGGGCAGCTGCTAGTCAGAGCCCATAGCAGGGGCTGGGGGGAGCGTGTGGTTGGGGGGTGGGTGACATATCTGCAGGAAATGGAACGTGGAAGGCACTGTCTGACTTGGCTGCATTGCCCGTGTGGACCCGGGCGCTAGTGCCTGCATGTCCCTCTGACCGTGTGCCCTCTGGTGTGCGCTTGGATGGTGTCTGCCTTGGTGATGCCTGGGGCCATCAGGCCAGGGGGCGGGGGTGTCCTTGGTGAGCCCCCGAGGCTGTGTGCCCAGTGTGCGTGCCGGGTCTGTGCGTGCAGGGGCTGCCGTCCCAGTGGGCGGCCGTCTAGCTTGTTTGGATGGCTGCGCCAGTGTGATGGGAAGGACAGGCGGCCTCTTCCTTAGGAGCCACCTCACAGTTCCCAGGGCTCTGCTGCGCCAGCCGGGCAGAGGCAAGGAGGTCTGGGCCACACAGGAATGACAGCCTTTCAGGCAGGGGTCCCTGCTGGGGAGGAACGAGGAGGGGTTGCCTGCCTGCCTTATTTTGTAGGTGGGGGAAGGCAACGCTGGAGCCGTGAAGCTGGCAGGGCTAGGGGACCCCAGGTGGAGCCCAGGGCACCTCCTCTCGCCGGGGCATCAGGTACCCCGGCCCCATTCTTCCTCAGGAGGGAGAGGCAGGGGCAGACTCACCCCCACCCCCGGGCCCCACACGCCTGCCCTGCCGGTTCCGCAGACGATAGGTCACCCCGCACGCACGGAGGTGACGACGTCAGCACCTGCCCGCCCATGCAGACCCTGTCCCCTGAATTATTGATGCGGCTGACAGGCCGAACCACAGCACCACCAGCACCAACTCCCACACCGGCGCAAAGCCCGGCTCAAAGCCCCACTCCCCTCCAGTGCTCAAGGTCACAGGCGAGGGGAGACGGACCGACCGAGAGGAGCCGCCACAGCCCCCTCCCCTGCTGCCGCAGTGCTTCCCGCCTGCGCCTACCTGGAGGCGGGGCCGGCTCTGACGTCACCCAGAGCCAATGGGAGTGCTCGGCCCTGAGGGTTGGGGGCCTCAGAGTGCACCGCGCTGTGGCCCTTGTGGGGCTGCCCTTGCGCAGCGCTCCAAGGGACGGGGATGTTTGGCTTCGATCAGGCTGAACTGAGTCCTGAGCTCTCCGCAGAGGGTGAGAGAAGGCGTTAGGGAGGTTCGCAGCAGGGTTCAGCGAAGGTCACTGGACTTCGTAGGACAGGTAGCCCGGTGACGCCCAGGCCCAGCCCCAGCCCTTCCCATCCTGGGAGATGAGCCCTAGTAGAGCCTGATCACGTCACCTCAGGGGGATGGGGACAGGGGCGGCCACACCAGGGCTGGGAGAAGACAGTGGGGCCTCCTCAGCAGCAGAGAGCAGACACCCCTCACACCCCTCAGGCGGACCCGCACGCTGCGGGTCTGGGTTTGGAAGGCACCG